>NC_000003.12:47282727-47585757 GCF_000001405.40 Homo sapiens | reverse complement strand
ACCTTCATGATGTGTAAGGAACATACATTTTGAGGGTACCTCACCCACTGTTCATTTGCATGGTCAAAGTGAAAATGAGTGGAAGTTCTCCAAAAATGATGGCCAACATCCTGGCACCTCCAGGTGTGAGAAATAGCTTTGCTTGGTGAATGGGATAATGTTTGTCAGGATGCAGTTTAGACAGTCCCAAGTTGGAGGCAGGCCTTGAGGGCAGAAGATTCTGTGAACCTTGGGGGACAGCTTTTGGGTACTCACAGATATAAACCCTGTGCAGAAAAAAAGAAGTGATTGTTTTCAGGATGCTTATAAATCGAGTGAAGCAAAAGAAGAGGATTCTGTGTCTGCCATGAGATGAACGCCCTGCTCTTCACGAAGGTGTGCCTCTAATAAAGAGAGCCAAAGCCAGCTGGGTCTCACCAGATTCCTATACTTTCTCAAGGATGTTGGGGGAGGTTAATCCTTTATCGAAACTAAAGACTGGTTTATAAACTTGTGTGTGAATTATTTTTAGAATATTGGAGGACATGCAAGATCAACCAGTCTTACATAGGTTCCCTGGGTCCTTACCATGGAGTAATTCCCCCACATTCAATTAAGAATAGTTTAGGCTGGGTGCAGTGGCTCACGCCTGTAATCCCAGCACTTGCATTTTGGGAGGCCGAGGTGGGCTGATACCTGAGGTCAGGAGTTTAAGACCAGCCTGGCCAACATGGTGAAACCCTGTCTCTAGTAAAAACAAAAAATTAGCCAGGCATGGTGGCACGCACCTGTAATCCCAGCTGCTCAGGAGGCAGAAGTTGCAGTGAGCTGAGATCACGCCACTGCACTCCAGCCTGGGTGATAGCGAGACTCCATCTCAAAAAATTAAGTTTATTTTTTTAGAGGTGGGGTTTTGCTCTGTCACCCAGGCTAGAGTACAGTGGCACGATCATAACTCACTGCAGCCTCAACCTCCTGGACTCTAGTGATCTTCCCACCTTAGCCTCCCAAAGTGCTGGGATCACAGGCGAGAGCCACCACGCCCAGCCAAATTTTGCATTTTTAACAAGTTCCCAGGGGATGCTGATGAAGCTGGTCAAGGAACCACCCTTGGAGAACCAGTGGTTAAGAAGGTCGTATGATAGAGCAAGATCCCTATAGTTCCTTACAGTTTATTGTATGAGACCTTTCATACAGTAAACATTTGAGGGGCTACTATGTGCCAGACATTGATCCATTAATACAGTGTAATTGCAGTTGTGAATACAGTAGGCAGGACCCATGCCATCCAGGCCACTTATTCTAATGGGGTGGGGTACAAGACCATAAACGGTTAATAATATTTTGCATACTTCCAAGTGTTCATGAAGAAAATGAAACAATGCAATTAAGAGTTTCCTGGGGACAATGTGGATAGTCTGTGAATTGGGTGGTCTCCCATGATTTCTGTCCTGCTGGATATGGTAGCCTGAGGGGTTGACCTTCATTCCAGAAAAACATCCATCTGAATACCCAGAGCACCCTTTTGTCTATATAATGCCAGTTTGTGAGAGTACTCTGCAAACTGCTCTGCCTGTGACTATTACAAAACCCCTGCTTTCTACAGTTCCAAGAGCATAGTTCTTTCGCTCCCGTTAAAGGGGGATGTCTTCCTGGAAACAGTGTGAAAGCACCCTCAATCCCCTGTTGATGGATTATCTCCATTTAAGGAGGTGGTCTCAGAATGGGATGCAAAGGTATATCCCTGAAGGAAGTGCTACCTGCCTTCAGGCCCAAACCTCCTTTGTTGGATCTCCTTGTGAACAGCTCCTCCCCCCAGCTTCATTTCCCTGTGGCTTGTTTTTAGGCATGCCAGCACTCTGGCCATTAGGAAACACGTGATCCTGAAGTCCTTGGGACAAAGTTGAGGCAAGACTATCATACCCAAAGGGTGACTAAAGGGATAGAGAAGGTGCTATGAATCAACCTAAACAGAGGTTCCAAAACCAGCTGCAGCTAGCTAGCTAGCTCTAGGACCACCAATTCCTGTTCCAGCC
Source organism: Homo sapiens (assembly GCF_000001405.40). NCBI lineage: Eukaryota > Metazoa > Chordata > Mammalia > Primates > Hominidae > Homo > Homo sapiens. The sequence continues at coordinate 47,583,742 of NC_000003.12, read as the reverse complement.
CTATTGCAATTCTTATGGAACCCCTGCCTGTCATGCAGAATTGTAGTCATCTTTACTACCACTGCCCCCAAAGGCCTTTCCATGCGCTTTTAACCTATAGAGGGCAGCCAGTTGACTAATTCTGACAGCAACTTTACCCTTCAGGGGAGATAATCCCACCACCCCTCTGGAAAATGGCCATGCCTTAATACAGTGTGACAACCACCTTCAGACAAGTGACAAGGAAAATGCCTCCTGCTCTGGTTCTGTGGTAATCTACCATCTAAGGTGCCTTCTTGGGGCAGTTGGTCCAGAAGAATGTAAGGAAGTGGCAGCAGTCTTGGATGATGATAGCCACTCAGTTTCATTCTGATCCTCCCTAGCAGATTTCTATAGCAGTTTCAGAACTGGGCAGGTGGTAGAAGGTGGGTCCAACCAAACCGGCCCAGGCTGATTGATGTGTCTGGTTTGTTTCAGACATGGATGAGTTTCCTGTGGCATCCCTGTTTACAGTCAGCTTATTCCACAGTAGCTACAGGATGCCCGAGAAGTGCTTAGGTCACCTGCTGAGGCAGCAGGTCTCTTCTGCAGACAAACTTAGTTGCTTGGCCGTGCGCGGTGGGCTCACACCTGTAATCCCAGCACTTTGGGAGGCCCAGCTGGGCAGATCACCTGAGGTCGGGAGTTCAAGACCAGCCTGGTCAACATGGCGAAACCCTGTCTCCACTAAAAATACAAAATTAGCCGGTGTGGTGGTGCATGCCTGTAATCCCAGCTACTCGGGAGCCTGAGGCAGGAAAATCACTTGAACCCTGGAGGTGGAGGTTGCAGTGAGCCGAGATCATGCCATTAAACTCCAGCCTGGGCAACAAGAGCGAAACTCTGTCTCCAAAAAAAAAAAAAAGTTGCTCCACATGGTGAGGCCCTGTGTTTGCTTGTGCTATGTGGCTTTCTCCCAGCTGGTTTGGCTTTGGGGTAATGAAATTCAAGAGGCCTTTCCAATCTGTTTGCAGACCCATTGCCTGAACAAGATTATCACCTTCAGGTTGTGATGTCCTTAGATGACAGCACTTGCTCAACTGAGAATCCAGAGTTTTCTGCAGTCCAGAGGTGGTGGTCAGCACAAAGAACTCAGACCCCCTACCTCTTAGCCCTTCCCTTTCTGGGGGATGGTGTAAAGAGGCACATCGCGTAAAATGGTCACAGAGCAGATTGCCATGCAGCCTAGAACCAGGAGTCTGGTCTTGTTGCTGTGTTCCCTGGTAAGAGATCATGGCATTATTTCTTAAATGGCTAAGTGAAGGTGGGAGAGTTGGGGAGGGGAGGAGGGAGGTCCTCTGTTCTGCCAATTAATAGTCTACCTCTGTGTCCTGATTCCTCTTCTCAAGCAGGAATGAAAAGCCTCCATATTAAAACGAAAGGGTTTGGAATCAGGGTCTTAGTTCAAATCCTGTCCTTACCACTTCACTAGCGTACTCTTGGACAAAATTGCTAATTCTCTCAGTTTGCAGATGTGTAAAATAGGACTGACGATATTTGTAGTGTGATTGTGAAGAATAAGGCAAATTAGCACAAGGAAAACTAAAAACTCAATATGTTTGTGTTAGCCTGTTTGTGTTGCTATAAAAGAATAAAGAATATCTGAGATTGGGTAATTTATAAGGAAAAGTGTGTTTGGCTAACGGTTCTGCAGGCTGTACACAACATAGAGCCAGCATCTGCTTCCAGTCAGGGCCTCAGGAAGCTTACAATCTTGGCGGAAGACAAAGGGGAGCCAGCATCACATGGTGAGAGCAGGAGTGAGAGAGAAAGTACTAGGTTCATGTAAACAACCAGATCTCACATGAACCCATGAAGCAAGAACTCATTACCTCGAGCACCAAGCCATTCATGGGGAGTCCACCCCCATGACCCAAACACCTCACACTAGGCTCACGTCCGACACTGGATGTCACATTTCAGCATGAGATTTGGAGGGAATAAAACATCCAAACCATATCAATGTTAGTGGTTAATACTGAGGACTTAAAGCCAGGAATTTCCAGTCCACACAGCTATGCCCCCAGCCATGGCAACTGGAGCACTCCTCTGGACTGCAGCCCCCTGGTCAAGCCGGGGGTTTTTCATGCAGTCGGAGGCTGGCTGCATTCGTGGCAATGGACCTTGAGCCTACCTGAGCTCTGGAGGCAGGCTGCCAACCCAGTAAGAACCTCAGAGGCATGAAGAAACTGTTGACACATAAAACATCCCTGATGCCCAGGTGCAAGAGACATAAATACGGGGACATGGATATAAGGACGTCAGTTTCCCTTTCTTTCACTCTGTGGTTCCTACATCTTCTATCTCTTCTTTACCCTACCACAGTCCTGTGCTCAGAAGAAATACTCATTTGACTCTCTGGTTACCAAGCATTTTCACATATGAGAGACAGGTTGCTAACTCAAAGTCACGCTGCAGCTGAATCCTGCCCTTCCCATCACGTTCCACTGACTGAATTTTCCCATTCATCTTGTGGAGGTGTTACCCAACCAAGTGTGCTATGCTCAGTTCTCAAACTGCTAGTGAGATCCACTAGGGAAGATCAGAATGAAACTGAGTGGCAACAATTGATTTAAAGTCTCAAGTTGGGCCGGGCACGGTGGCTCATGCCTGCAATCCCAGCACTTTGGGAGGCCAAGGCGGGCGGATCACCTGAGGCCTGGAGTTCGAGACCAGCCTGAGCCAACATGGAGAAACCCCGTCTCTACAAAAAATACCAAATTAGCCGGGCGTGGCATGCCTGTAATCCCAGCTACTCGGGAGGCTGAGGCAGAGAATCACTTGAACCCAGGAGGCAGAGGTTGCAGTGAGTCAATATCACACCATTGCACTCTAGTCTGGGTGACAGAGTGAGACTCTGTCTCAACAAAAAAAAAAAATTCCAAATTGAAGGAAGCGTTAGCAGACTTCATCTCCAGGAAAGGGAAGAAGAAGATACTTAAATAATTAACAAAATATATTTAAAATGAGTGGGAGAACTTCCTCCATTAAACCCTGTTGAAAATGTGTGAGTGGTTGTCATGCCCCAGACATCAAGGAACCCATCCATGAGGTCTTCCCACACAGACTGGCCTCAGGAAGGGAAGGAGGAGGTAGGCCGCTCTGACAGCCACAACCCGAGTTGAGGAAACAAGCAAAGGAACACAGAGAGTCTACATACAGTAAAAGGTGACAGGAGTTAAGCTGCACACAAGGGAAGCAGAGATGGGTTGGAGGCAGTTAAGGGTGCGTTGCTGCCTCTGTGGCTGAGGTGAGTGCAAAGCCCTACATGGTCCCCTGTTTAGAGAAGGCTATTGTTTCAAACATATTTTACTTGGTCCCCGGAGGCAGCATGAAACTATGAAAGAAAGAGCCTTACCCCTTTTTTCAAGGCTCTCCAGACCACAGTTCTGGGATGGGTGTGGGTGGTTGCCATTCGTTCATTTATGCCTGTCTGATATGGAGCCTCCCTCTGTTACCAGCCCTGTGCACTCAAGTGCCTTGCAGTCCAGTGAGGAATAACTGTAGATAAGATGAGATGATGGGCATTAAGTGTAACTGCTGAGAAGCCTTCATAGAGGGAAAGGTGATAAGAACTGAGTTTTTCTGGCATGAGGAGTTTACCAGGCAGGAGAGGTGGAGACGCTAGGCTAGGCAAATAGGCTGCAGCCATAGTTCTGCTGAGAAACAGGTTTTGAACCAAGGCAACTCCATCTGGAGATATGTATCAGAAAGATTAGGAGATAGAATCTCCATCTTGGTCACTTATTTGGTCTTCTAAGACAGCAATGGGACCGTCTCTTAAATACTGGAGTTGTCCTATCTCCTTGGGCTGATACCCTGAACTGTCATTTGGGTGAGTAACACATTAAGGGGTAGACGGTCGGTTTGGGGGAATAAACTAAGTAACTAGGTTGCGGTTCCTCCTGCCGACTAAGCAGACCTCCTGGTGCGTGGTCTTGGGTTGCCCTGTGAGCCCTGAAGCTGTGAATGGGCCCCACAGATCACTCTAAAGCCAAGCATCCATGTGTGCCCGGCTGGGGATCTAGACCCCCCTGGTCTACCCAGGAACCTGAGTTTTGGTGGTCTGAGACACCTGGGGGACGACGTATCCCGGAGAAGGGACCAGGATTAAAGGCCGCTCCCCAGGCTGCCCGGAGACTAGAAGGAAGGCGAGGTAGCCGCAGTCCCAGGGAGGGTCTTACCCCTTGCTCCCGGGATGCGTTATGGCGGGCCTGGCTGTGCGAGATCTAGGCTAGTGGCTTTGGCTGCGAACGGATTAGATCTGATCCGATTAGAGCCTGGGCGGTCGGCTTCGCCCCCTTGCCAGGCTCTGCCAACGCCCGCCCCTCCCTCGTGGAGACCCGGAGACCTCCCTGAGAGCCTTCCCGCCCGGAACACGGGATTGGTGCAGAATCCGAGAGGCTCCATGCGCCCCGGGCCTGGCTTGTTTCCACAGTGGGGGCTCGTGCTTCCGCCCCCTGCGGCTCTTCTGGACCCCGCCCCGACCCTGCGGGTAACTGGGCCCGCGACGTCCCCGCCTCCGTGCTTGCCGCGTGGCGGGTGGGTTCCTCCGGGTCGGGGCCCCGTGCCGCCTGTTCACCTGGGGCGGGACCGTGGCCCCATCCCACAGGTCTCCCGCCCGTGCACCTGCCGCCTAACGCCGCGCGCCGCGCCGTGCGCCTGCCTCGCGCTCCCCGTCCGCCTGCCCCGCACTCCCCGTCCGTGTGTCTCCTAGTCCCCAGCGAGGGGTCTGTCTGTTCCCCTGGCAGGCTGACCAAGGGGCCGGCGTCACCGCTACGTGCGGCGGGGCCGGCGCGGCGGGCGGGGTGAGGGCGGCGCTGAGCGCAGCGGCGGCAGCGGCGGCGCGGGAGGCGGGGAGGCGCGGCGCGCCGGGGACAGCGGCGGACGGCGGCGGCGGCGGCATGCGGCTCCTCGCGCTGCCCATCGTGGGCTGAGGCGGCCGCAGAACCGGCGGGAGGCGCGGCGGCCGGGCGAGCCGAGGGCGCAGCCAGCCGGGCGGACCGCGGACAGCGGTCGGGGCGCCGCGCCATGGGGCGAGCCGGGGGCGGGGGCCCGGGCCGGGGGCCGCCGCCACTGCTGCTGTTTCTGGGGGCCGCGCTGGTCCTGGCCTCTGGGGCCGTGCCGGGTAGGTATGACTGCGCCCGGGACCCCCGCGGCCCTCGTGCCCCACCCAGGGCAGGGGTCCCGCTGGCGGCGGGGACAGGTGGAGCTGTGAGCTGTGGCAAGGGGGCGGGGCACCGCCTGGCCGCGGCCGGGCGGCGGAATGGTCCCAGGAGGTGGTGGGGGTCCGGGAAAGGCCGACCCGCGTGGGGGCCGACCCCGGTTGGGGTAGCCGGGACCCAAGCGCGCGGGCCGCGGTGCGGACTGGGGGCGGGGCCGGGGGCGGGGCCGGGGCGGGGCCGGGGCGGGGCCTGAGGGTGAGACTTCGGGGCGGGACCTGGAGCTGAGGGCGGGAGCCAGTGGACGCGGCTCAGGGTGGGTTCCCGAGGGTGAGACTTATGGGTGGGCCGAGCTGGGGGCCGCCCTGGCCTGGCTCTTCAGACGGCGGGGCAGGTCGGGCGGGGCCGAGCCGCGAGGCGTTGGGCGGGGTGTGATCCTCGTCTTGGGGGCAGACTCCGGGACGGGGCTTAGAGGTACCGGGTGGCTGGGGTCACACTGGGGCGGTGGGGTCTGAGGGTGGCGAGGTCTGGGTTGACCAGGTCTAGGCGAGCGGGCCTGACCGGGGCGGGCCGGGGCTCCAGGGCTCCTCAGCGCGCCGCCCTGACGTCCCGCCCCTTGCCCTCCCGCCCGCAGCGCGTGAGGCGGGCAGCGCGGTTGAGGCCGAAGAGCTGGTGAAGGGCAGCCCGGCGTGGGAGCCGCCTGCCAACGACACGCGGGAAGAAGCCGGCCCACCAGCGGCTGGGGAAGATGAGGCGTCGTGGACGGCGCCCGGTGGCGAGCTGGCCGGGCCAGAAGAGGTGCTGCAGGAGTCGGCTGCGGTGACCGGCACCGCCTGGCTGGAAGCTGACAGCCCAGGCCTGGGAGGAGTGACCGCAGAGGCGGGCAGCGGCGATGCCCAGGCCCTTCCAGCTACGCTCCAGGCTCCCCACGAGGTCCTCGGGCAGTCAATCATGCCCCCTGCCATTCCTGAGGCTACAGAGGCCAGCGGGCCACCCTCCCCCACCCCCGGCGACAAGCTGAGCCCAGCTTCTGAACTCCCCAAGGAGAGCCCCTTGGAGGTTTGGCTGAACCTGGGGGGCAGCACACCCGACCCTCAAGGGCCAGAGCTGACTTACCCATTTCAGGGCACCCTGGAGCCCCAACCGGCATCAGATATCATTGACATCGACTACTTCGAAGGACTGGATGGTGAGGGTCGTGGCGCAGATCTGGGGAGCTTCCCAGGGTCACCAGGAACCTCAGAGAACCACCCTGATACTGAGGGAGAGACCCCTTCCTGGAGCCTGCTTGACTTATACGATGATTTCACCCCCTTCGATGAATCTGATTTCTACCCCACCACATCCTTTTATGATGACTTGGATGAAGAGGAGGAGGAAGAGGAGGATGACAAAGATGCAGTAGGAGGTGGAGACCTAGAAGATGAAAATGAGCTTCTAGTGCCCACTGGGAAGCCTGGTCTGGGGCCCGGGACAGGCCAGCCCACCAGTCGGTGGCATGCTGTCCCTCCACAGCACACTCTGGGGTCGGTCCCCGGCAGCAGCATCGCCCTCAGGCCCCGCCCAGGAGAGCCAGGCAGGGACTTGGCCTCCAGTGAAAATGGCACTGAGTGCCGCAGTGGCTTTGTGCGGCATAACGGCTCCTGCCGGTCAGTGTGCGACCTCTTCCCAAGTTACTGTCACAATGGCGGCCAGTGCTACCTGGTGGAGAACATAGGGGCCTTCTGCAGGTAAGGGCATGGCAGGCAGGTGCATAGGGACACTGAAGAGTGTATGTGAGGCCGACTCAACAGAGGGCAGCGTAGCCGGGCGCGTTGGCTCACGCCTGTAATCCCAGCACTTTGGGAGGCTGAGGCAGGCGGATCTCCTAAGGTCAGGAGTTCAAGACCAGCCTGGCCAAGTTGGTGAAACCCCATCTCTACTAAAAATACAAAAAATTAGCTGGGCGCGGTGGCAGGCACCTGTAGTCCCAGCTACTCAGGAGGCTGAGGAAGGAGAATCATTTGAACCCGGAGGGTGGAGGTTGCAGTGAGCCAAGATCGTGCCACTGCCCTCCAGCCTGGGTGACAAAGTGAAACTCCATCTCAAAAAAAAAAAAAAACAAAACAAAACAGAGGGCAGCGTGACAGGCACAACTTGCAAGAGGTTGTACAGTCGCAGGATTCCCAGGTGGAGAAATGTTCACTCAGGCTTCTTCTACAGAATTACTTGGTAAAATGCACTTCCTGTGACCTTATCACTAGGAGAGGTTCCTCAGAAATAAGATTATGTCTTTCCTCTGTGTGTTGTGTCCTTACCCAAACCCTCAATTACAAAGGCAAAATGAGGCCGGGCGTGGTGGCTCACGCCTGTAATCCCAGCACTTTGGGAGGCCGAGGTGGGCACATCACCTGAGGTTGGGAGTTCGAGACCAGCCTGACCAACATGGAGAAACCCTGTCTCTACTAAAAACATAAAAAATTTAGCCGGGTGTGGTGGCACATGCCTGTAATCCCAGCTACTCGGGAGGCTGAGGCAGAATTGCTTGAACCCAGGAGGTGGACGTTGCAGTGAGCCGAGATCACGCCATTGCACTCTAGCCTGGGCAGCAAGAGCGAAACTCTGTCTCAAAAAAAAAAAAAAAAAAAAAAAAAGGCAAAATGAAGGGAATTCTTTAAGAGTTTTGGAAAAAGGGCTGGGTTGAGGGGTGTTTGCTGGAGGGTTCTGGTGGTACTGGTGAGAGGGGTAGGCCCATAAACCTACTCTGTGGGATAAAGACAGCTGTTGAACACCGCTCCATGCCTTGTGCTCGGCGGGAGGAGGGGCCAGTTCCCTGGAAGGAATGTAGGCACGCAAACTCAAAAGGGAGGACCTTCTTGGAAACAGACCCCAAAATGCAGCCACTCACACAGATAAAATCAAGCTGAGAGTCTTCGCATTGCAGATGTGCGGGTGTTTCTTGACTTTGGGAGGTGGCTTTTTTCTTTCTACTTTGATGTTTGTCTACCTTGGGATATCAAATCCATAATCCTTTTAAAGACTCAGAGTTTAGTTTTCCTAAGGGCATTGTCTGTAGCTCATCAGTAATTACCCTACTCACCTCACTCTTAGGAACTGTCCTCACAGTGAGGTATTTAACTTGCTGGAGAGCTTGCAGCCTGATTCCGGAAGAATCCCAGGGTGGGGTGATCAGGTGGTTTGCTTGTCTCCATCCTTTACAGGCTGTAGAAATGGAGGAGAGCCCTCAGACTCCTTTGAGGGTTGTCTCCATTAGTCCTAGATGGAGCATTTCTGTCATCTGTGTGTCTCTTTTTATTTTTAGTAGAGATGGGGTTTCACCATATTGGCCAGGCTGGTCTCAAACTCCTGACCTCAAGTGATCCGCCCACCTCAGCCTCTCAAAGTGCTGGGATTACAGGCGTGAGCCACCACGCCCGGCCAGGGTATCTCTTTTTCAAGTGTCATTCTCCATCCTTCTTGTTCTTGTTCGTTCTGCAAGTATATGATGAATTCAAGTTCCTTAGGTCTTGATGTAGTATATCAGAGAATAACATGTAGAAAGCAATGAGTATTTTGTCCTTGGCGTTGTAACTTAAGTTCCAGTTTCTTTCTATGAAGTTCTTTTTTTTGTTGTTGTTGTTTTTAGAGACGGAGTCTCACTCTGTCGTCCAGGCTGGAGTGCAGTGGTGCAATCTCGACTCACTATAAGCTCCGCCTCCCAGGTTCATGCCATTCTCCTGCCTCAGCCTCCGGAGTAGCTGGGACTGCAGGCGCCCGCCACCACGCCCAGCTAATTTTTTGTATTTTTAGTAAAGACGGGATTTCACTGTGTTAGCCAGGATGGTTTCAATCTCCTGACCTCATGATCTGCCCTCCTTGGCCTCCCAAAGTGGTGGGATTACAGGCGTGAGCCACCGCGCCCAGCCGAAGTTCTTTATTATAAATGGTCATGACATTAGGGTCACTCATAGGATGTGACCACACAGTTCTTGGAGTGGTCCAGCCATTGCCAGAAGGAGGTACTATGATTAAGAAATTGTAGCAATTTTATTTTTAAAAAGAAAATATGGCAATAAACTAACTTGCCAGTTGATTAAGGGCTACCAGAAATATGAGGAAACCCTGTGATTTTGCTCCTCAAAATTCAGTTTGGGGGACTATAGTGATGATTTCAGCCTGGGGGCTGTGCAACCTCTCTGCAAAATCATCATCTTTCATCCTATTGGAGGCCTGGAATTTTCACCTTCAAAGTGAACTCCCCATAATAGTATGAAATTTGGAGCCCTTGCTGCCTCTAGAGAGCTGTAAAAGTCCCCAGAATCTCCTGGAACTCTCAGAAAATTCCCAAGTGGAAGAATAAGATTGTCTTCCTCAGTAAGCTACATGGCTCTGCCAGCATGGGTCTACCAGCCTCTCACTGCCTCACAAGGGCTTCTCCACGTGTCCACTCCAGTTCCCCTTGCTTAGCTTCCATCCCAGGATCACATTCGGGCCTCCCTACCAGATTCCTCCCCTGGCTGTGTACACCCAGGCCTGGCCACGGCTTGAAAACTATTTTTGCATTCCACTCACAGGAGACTGCTGAGCCGTTGGTTGCAGACTGCAGTGTGCCTTTGTCTCTGTCACCCTGACCCACTGCAGGGAAATGAGCAGAGCTGTGGCGGAACTTCTCTAGAACACCGGGGTAGAGGCCCCACTTACAGGGGTCTGCATTCCCTGGCAACCTCAAACAGATAGCCTCCCCATGACGGCAGAGGCTCAGTTGGAAAATGAAGAATTTCTTGCTAGCCATGTCTCCCCACCCTATTCTAGATGTGGAGTAGCCAGTTTTCTGGTGCATAATTTCCCCGTTTCTGGAGCCCTTTCTCTTGTCTGTCATTCACCCTGAGGTTCATGTCCTCCCTCCTTTGCCTGCCTCTGTATCCTTCCACATCTTTCCTCTTTGAAGCAGCCTGGTTCCCATGGAAACAGCAATGTCATTGGAAGAGTTGGAGCCTGGGAATGTCCCCAAGGGCAGGAGAAAGTCACTCAACAAAAAGGCTAAAACCCACCCAGAGGGTTGATTCTCACTGTGCTTGCATGACAGTTCTCATAGTACTAGGATAGGGAGCTTTAGGGGCAGAACTTGGGGGGGCTGCAGAGATAGAAGAATCTACATCCATCTTTCTATTTGTCCTTGTCTGTCACTTCCTTATTTTTAGGTGTCTTCTCAGCCACGTGAACTAGGTGGGACTGCAAAGCAGCAAGATAGGTTTGCATGTGCAGGGCAGGTCCTGGGACTTTGTAGCTGTAGCTCTTATTCCTCTTGTTTTTCATCTTTCTTTCACCCAGAGCCCAGGGCAGGGAGAGGCCTGAGAGGATCCTGTAGGTGTCTTCATTGAGGCTGCAGAGCAGAAGACCAGGATTCCCTTCCCTCCTTGGTCACTTAGCAGTCAGAGAACTTTGACCAGTTCACTCAGTTTCTCTACACCTCGGTTACCTCATTTATATCACAGACCTCAGAGCTCCCTGGCCCACTTCATAGAATGGTTGTAAAGGCAGGGGCGATCACACCAGCTCTGAGGTCTGTGCAGATTCGGAGCATTGCAGTTCCTCTAGATGGCCTTCGGAACAGGCTGTGGAGATAGGTGTTGGGGTCAGGGCCCAGGCCCTTACTGTGGCCGTGGCTGCCTGCTCCATCGCCACGGTTTCTCAATGTCGCTGCTGCAGGTGCAACACGCAGGACTACATCTGGCACAAGGGGATGCGCTGCGAGTCCATCATCACCGACTTCCAGGTGATGTGCGTGGCCGTGGGCTCGGCTGCCCTCGTCCTGCTCCTGCTCTTCATGATGACGGTGTTCTTTGCCAAGAAGCTCTACCTGCTCAAGACGGAGAATACCAAGCTGCGTAGGACCAAGTGAGTCTGTGTCACTCACCCATCCACCCAGGTCAGGGTGTGGGAGGCCCCCCGACGCTGCTGCACCCCTCCAACTGATCCAGGGACTTTGTCGTGAGGGTTTCTGGCACCTGTGCTCCATTCCCAGCTGTTTTGTCTGTGCTAAAAATTCACTCAGGCTCATCTGTTCCTACACAAAATGTGCTGGAGCTGCAGCAGAGGTGAAGCCCCTGTGGCACACTGCCACTGTCCAGCAGCTTTCCCAAAACCCTGCACTAGGCATCTGAGAGCCTGCTGTGAAAAAGGCAGCCAGCATGTAGCTACTCCTCCTCTAGTCCCCAGGTAAGTTACTCAGTCTGCCCACCTGCCTGATAGACCCTTCTTCCCTGGACTGTGACAGCCAGCGGCCAGTGCGAGATTTCATTCATAATTCTGCGTGGAGGAACTCCATCTCCTTCACATCTGTCACCCAAAATCAGCTCCTCCTCGGTGAACACTGAGGAGAAAGGGTTTATTTAGCACCACACTGCATTGCTTTTTGAAAGCTAGTCAAGCCTGTGTCCAATCAGAAGTGCAAGGAACTTAAGAAAATCCTCTTTACCTCTCCTGAGTAGAATATGTGGGGAGAACTAGGGTTAACTTCCTCTACTGTGGATTTTAAGGGCCATACGGGATGTAGAATCTTATTTCAGCTCTTCTCTTGGCAAAGCAGTGACTGTTGTGTGCATGTGAGAATCAACATGTGTTTGCCTTTAAGCCCATGCCTTGAACACTCGGATGTGACCTTATACGCTATGAGAAAATTACTCCTATTACTAAGCAAAGTTAGAAAACCTTTTGGAAGTGTCACAGGAGTCACAAAAGGGAGATTGGAGTTCAGCTTCCTTGGGACCCCAGAGACAATTTATGCAGAACTGCCCCCACTTCCCTTTCAACCTGTTGCCCCATTAATCCCCCTCCCCTTGACCTGAGACTCCCTCTAGAGAATGTGACTGAAGGACTTTCCCTGGGTCCTGGGAAAAGGACAAAACACCATCTGTTGCTCCTTTGCTGGGTAGACTCATGCAATGTACAGATGCCAGCAGCTCTCTGCAGCCTTTCAGCTAACCGCCGCGGGGCTGGTACGGCCTCTCCATTGTGCCTGTGCACTGAGGCGGGCTGCATCTACACACGTGATCACTCCAGAAAGACACAGTCCTGGACCCCTGGCTCCTCACGCCTACACCAAGGGGGTGGGTGAGCAGGGGTATCCAGGGGGCAGGAGATGGGACTGCTTCAATCACAGCAGCTGCTGATGAGGATGGGGGAGAGAAAGGAACAACAGCCAGGGCAGTGGAGAAGCAAGAGCTGAGGCCAGGTGCAGGACCCTATTCTAGGGCCTCTTCCTCTAGCCAGCCCTGTGTTTTTCACAGAGCATGGCCCTCTTGTTTCTCCACATGCCTTCTTTCTTTCCCAAGCCTGGTTACTGCTTTGATGGTGTGACATGTGCCTGGTGCACTGCAGATACTGCCATAATTTATTTATTCTAAAATATACCTTTTTTCCCCACATATTAACATCTCTGAAATTGGATTGTGTCTTACAATCACTGCCATCTTTTTTTTTTTTTTTAATTTAATTGAGACAGGGTCTCACTATGTTACCCAGGGTGGTCTTGAACTCCTGGGCTCAAGTGATCCTTCCACCTCAGCCTCCCAAATAACTGTGACTACAGGAATGCACCACTGTGCCCAGCCACTGGCATCTTATGATCACTGTTGGCCATATGGTAGTTATGATGTAGTTGTAATTCCCTGGCATGCACAAATGGGTTCCTAGCTGTTCATATTGTTGTCAGTCCCTTATCTAAAGTCTAAATGAACTACTTCAAGTATATAAGAAAAGCTCAGCTGGGCACGGTAACTCATGCCTCTAATCCCAGCACTTTGGGAGGCCGAGGCAGGTGGATCACGATGGGTGGATCACGAGGTCAGGAGTTCAAGACCAGCCTGGCCAAGATGGTGAAACCCCGTCTCTACTAAAAATACAAAAAATAGCTGGGCATGGTGGCAGCCACCTGTAATCCCAGCTACTCGGGAGGCTGAGCCAGATAATGCTTGAACCCAGTAGGTGGAGGTTGCGGTGAGCCGAGATTGTGCCACTACACTCCAGCCTGGCCAACAGAGCAAGACTCTGTCTCAAAAAAAAAAAAAGCTCTAGGTGATAAGAAAGTATTGGATGATGGTTTAAGTGGTGGAAGTGTTTTTATTTTTTCTTAATGGTACATCAAATAATGGTGCACCTTATTACAATCCATGGCATTTGGCTGGATGCTGTGACTCATGCCTGTAATCCCAAGACTTTGGGAGGCCAAAGCAGGAATACCACCTGAGCCCAAGGGTTCGAGTCCAGCCTGAGCAACATAGCAAGACCTCATCTTTACAAAAAAAAAAAAAAATTGTTTTAAGATAATCTGGAAGAGGGAAGGGAGAGCATTAGGACAAATAGCTAATGCACGTGGGGCTTAAAACCTAGATGACGGGTTGATAGGTGCAGCCAACTACCATGACACACATATACCTATATAACACACTGACATATTCTGCACTTATATCCCAGAACTTAAAGTAAAATAAAAAAAAAAAGATAATCCATGGCATTTGATGAAATACAGTATTTGACTGGGCGCAGTGGCTCACACCTGTAATCCTAACACTTTGGGAAGGCTGAGGCAAGCAGATTGCTTGAGCTCAGGGGTTCAAGATCAGCCTGGGCAACATGGTCAAACCCCATCTCTACAAAAAATACAAAAATTACCTGGGCATGGTGGCATGCACCTGTAGTCCCAGCTACTTGGGAGGCCGAGGTGGAAAGATCACTTGAGTCCAGGAGGTCAAGGCTGCAGTGAGCTGTGATTGTGCCACTGCACTCAAGCCTGGGCAACAGAGTGAGACCCTGTCTCAAAAAAAAAAAAAAAGAAAAGAATAGAAAAGCCTTTAAAAACCGATAACCAGCACCAGGTACAATTCTGTACTTATCAATAAAATTTAAAATAATTTTTTTAATAAAGAAAGAAATACAGTATTTGTTTTTTGTAGGGATTTTTTGTAATTTTTTTTTTTTTGAGATGGAGTCTCGCTCTGTCAGCCAGGCTGGAGTGCAGTGGCACGATCTTGGCTCCCTGCAACCTCCGCCTCCTGGGTTCAAACAATTCTCCTGCCTCAGCCTCCCAGGTAGCTGGGATTACAGGCGCCTGCCACCACGCCCAGCTAATTTTTGTATTTTTAGTAGAGACGGGGTTTCACCATGTTGGCCAAGCTAATCTGAAACTCCTGACCTCGAGTGATCTGCCCACCATAGCCTCCCAAAGTGCTAGGATTACAGGCGCGAGCCACCACGCCCAGCCGAAATACAGTATTTGATCCAGAAGCTGAGACATTGTCATGTTTTGCCGTGATTATTTCACTTACATGTTTCCTTCACTCTTCTCTCCTAACCAGCAAATTCCGGACCCCATCTGAGCTCCACAATGATAACTTCTCCCTCTCCACCATTGCCGAGGGCTCTCACCCAAATGTAAGGAAACTTTGCAACACTCCCCGTACCTCCTCCCCCCATGCCCGTGCCTTGGCTCACTATGATAACGTTATCTGTCAGGTAACTTGTTTTCTTCACATCTCTCCTCTTATGCATGCTTTGGCCCCTGGCCCATGTCTGATGTCTATTTCAGAATATGAAATCCCCAGAGAGCTCTGGAGGTCAGCCTAGGGCAACTGAGTTGGGCAGCAAAGGTGGGAATAAGCACTTGATGGTGTATCACTTATTTGACAAGCAGAATTTTCGATACAAAAGGTCTTTTTCTTTTTAAAATTTTTGTAGAGATGAGGTCTTCCTGTGTTGCCCAGGCTGGTCTCGAACTCCTGGCCTCAAGTGGTCTTCCTGCCTCAGGCTCCTAAAGTGCTAGGATTATAGGTGTGAGCCACCTGCCTGGCTGAGAAGATCTTTTTCTAGGGTTACTCATGATTTTTAGCTTCATCTAAGCTTTAGAAGTCTGATTATTGTCTTATTTTCCATATCAAGGAGAAAGGCTCTGCTTTCACTGCTGGGGAATTTCATGGTGGTCAGTGAAGCAAACGGTGGTTGCTCTTTGGGATGGGTGGAAAGACTTCTGTGTCCTTGCTGCTATTTGAGGATCCTAAGAACTGGCAGGGTTATACACAGCTGGTTAAGGCCAAGGCCCAAATACAAAACACTGGCAGAGCCTTAAGTCCAGGAGTAATCCTGTTCTTAGGAGTATGGGCTTATAAATATCAGTTGAAATCCAATAAAAGATCCTAATAGACCATTTTCTAAAGACCCTGGCCTAGTGTATTGCCTGGATTAGACTGACCAGTCAAATACTAGAGAGAATTTCAAAAACAAGGCAGAAACCATATCCAAATCTCAAATCATGCCACATCCAAATCCTAGAATTCTCTATATAATGCAGGTTCCATACTTCAAGATAAATGCATTTTTACACAGATTATTACACAGATAAGCAAGTTAAACTGAGACTTCAGACTGAAGCAATGGACTTTAAGAGGAAATTTAGAAGAAGTTCTTAGAAATCATGGACCATAGAGTGTCAGACCTCACAGGGGCCTCAGCACTCTAGACCAATACGGTCCAGTGGAACTTTCTGTGAAATGGAAGTGTTCTATATCTGCTCTGTCTACTACAACAGCCACTAGCCACTTGCGGCTGTAGAGCTCTTAACTACCACATTACACAGTGCAGACCTAGACTCCTGGGCTCAAGTGATACCCCTGCCTCAGCCTCCTGAGTTGCTAGGACTAGAGGCATGTGCCACCACACCTGGCTAATTATTTTAACTTTTGTAAAGTTGAGGTTTTGCCATGTTGCCCAGGCTGGTCTCGAACCCCTGGGCTCAAGTGATCTTCCTGCCGCAGCCTCCCAAAGTGTTGGGATTACAGGTGTGAGCTACCATGCCTGGCCTTCTTCCTTTTATAGATGGGGAAATTGCAGCCCCAGAAGGGGGAAGAGAGAATAAGAGTAAATGTGTGGCCTCATTCACAAAACCCCAGAACAGGAAATTTTGGCCTGGTAGAGGAGAAGTAAATGGGTGAATTTAAATATGAAATGAAAGAGGTAAACTTAGGATAATTTTTTAAAGTCTTTGATATAAAGGGTAGAAAAAGAACAGATTATTTCACTTGGTTTGTACCAAGATACAACAAGTAAGGTCAAGATGAACATTATAACCAAGGAAACACTATGTCTTATAAACTCTAAAATTGGTCACCATGTTCATCAACCCACAGAGGGCAGGACAGAGTCTCGGTGAGCACATTATCCCGCCCTCTGCAGTAACATGCACACAGTTACCACTTGCTGAATACTAGTGAGTGATGGTGGGCTATGGGGGCTCTCAGTTCCATTGGCTGATCTGCCATCCTGCAGATGGCAGCAGGTCTGCCAGGACGGGAGCTCCTGTAGTCAGCATGTTCACTGTCCACGGTTGGACAGAGTCCTCCCACTCTGCTTGACAGAGTGCAAGCATCCTTAGGAAAGTTTCTGACCCTTGTGTTTCTAATACCACAGCTTCAGACACCTTTCTTCTTCTCAGAGGGGGAAAAGAAAGAGCTCCTCTTGGAGGGCTTGGCTACACAGCCGGTGCGAAGGTTTCTTGTTCTTGGCTGATCCAGCTTTGTGGAAAGTGAGGCTTTTGTACCTGAACGCTGCCACTGACCCTTAGTTCAGAAGATGGCAAGCCTTGAAAACAGCAGAGCAGGGGGTGGTCAGCCACGGGAGGGTGGTGGTCGGCCACGGTGTGTGGTTGGCCACAGGCAGTGGTGATCTAGCATGGGGCTTGGGGGTCAGCCACAGGGCGGGTGAGGCTGGTCGGCCATAGTGGGCTCTGCCTGAGACAGGGTGATGGGGTGGCCAGGGCGGCACTCAAGCCATCCCTTAGGAAGCAGCAAGATCTGGCTCTGGTTCTCTCCTGGCTCCTCTTGGATCTTGAGGCTGGTGCCTTTTTTTATTGTAACCAAATACCCAGACTTCAAGGAGATTGAGGCTGGTGTCTTTCCGTCAGCTTGTGCCCAAGGGGACATCATCTTCTCCTCTCTGAAAGCACTGTGGATGTGAGGGGTGACTCTCCTATCCAGCAAGGAATGTAGTGGTGGATTTTCTACCTTCATCTCTAATTCTCTCCACCTCATCCAAAGGTCAAACTTAGTCATATTCAAGATCTTGTGGGCATTGCCGATGAACACGGTTGCCACTTGTTTGTGAAGTGAAGCCCTGCTCACTGCTACAGCCGCCACACTCACTGCCTGCAAGGGGTGCCAGCAGCCGGGGAGAGTGAGAGATCCTCCAGATGATACGGGAGGAGAGACAAGGGGGCGCCGGAGTCCAGCCTGCCTCGTGGCTTCTCCCCACCCCTCTCTCCCCACCCCCAAACTCCTTGCTGGTATTGGTTTTCTCTAAAATTTTGGAGAGTTTTATTTATTTGCATCGAGGTGTTATTTCTTTTACATACGTAAAATAGATTGAGCAGGTCATTTTCCTACACTGTCGCAATCACCTCTACCAGCCACACTCTGAAAAGATTGCAAGCAAAAAAGTCTGGGGCTTTGGGCCTGTGACAGGGAAGGGTCAGTGGCTGGTATCTGTGCCGGTGGCACCTCTTTCCCTCCTCTGCTCCTCTCTGCCCTCAGGCTGATGTGCGGCTCTGTAGCTGGTGGGCCTTAGGCTGAGTCTGTGTGAGTGTCTTGCGTAGCTGAGCAACCAGCCTTGAAGGGTATGTCAGGAGGCACAGAGAATGTAGGAAGCTGCCCGTGCTCCAGGCACACTGCGTGAATGAAGCCACCAGAAACCCAGGGCAGCTGCCCCAACACTGGGCTGCCCTGATGGTCCTCACAACGGTGCTGTCGAGACCATGGGGGTAACTTGGGTTGTGCTAAGATTTGACAGACCTTCCGGGATTTCAGTTTATTCCTAGGATTTCTCCATTGATGTTCCTGTGCTTTTTTTTTTTTTTTCCTATTTAACTCTTTCCTACTCTCCAGACTCTTCTCTTGCATGTATTTGTTAAAGCACTGACTGCCCACCCTCTTCCAATAGATGTTTGCCTCTGGCCAGGCCTGAACCCACATGACCCCTGGGTTGAAGGGTGCCCATACTGCTGGGATTGAATGCTGGGAGCAGTGAGTCCACAGTGGTTCCTAGGAACTTATGCCAGATGTTGATCCAGCTCCCTTGTGATGAGGTACTTCTATTAAGTCAAAGGCAGTTGGACCTGCTGTGGAATTCAGCTACCCTTGGCTTAATAGGATCAAGTTCTGGAGCAAACACCTGAGTTAGGAGAGCCCCATCTTGGTGTAGACATTCCTTTGCCTCTTGTGTTTGTTGGAGGTATTCAGCTTGTCTAATAGCACTGTTTGCATATCTCTTGCTTTTGGGATATGCTTCTTCCATCCCTTGGCTCAGAAGACAGTTTTCTAATCTAGATCCCATGAGCCCTCGAGGGCTCAGGTTTAATCTGGGAGCCCACCTTCATGGCATCAGAGCTCTGAGACCAGGGTCTGTGAGGAGTCACTTAGTCCACTTTTCTTCACATCATGAGAATGTTTCTGTACCCCTGTATGCCCCCAGAGAATATGTGATGAAGGAGTTGAGGGTGGGAGGTTATCTTGAAAGACATAAAAGCAAGTTGTATCCTTGTAAGAGGAGAGGTGATTATAGGTCCTCTTGTCCTGTTCTAGATTTTAGTGTGATTCAAAGTCCATCCTACCTAAGATACTTATAGCTCAGCTCTCCAGCTTTCATGACCATGGTTTCCCCCAAACAGTACAGAAGTACACGAAATAAAAAAGTGCAGCTCTACTTCACCCCCACCTCCCTCTCCGTAAAGTACACACGTGTGTATATATATATACACACACAAACACACACCTATATCTATATTTTTAAAACATAAATGAGAGTTTGCTATACATGTTCTACCCCTTACTTTTTTTCAATCAGTGTATGATGGAGATCTTTCCGTCTCAGGAGATGGACATTTATGTCACTGCACAGTGTTTTGTGATTCTAAGCAGTGATTGACCATTCAACTGGCCGCGCGTGCTGTGTGCAGCTGCCTTACCTGACATCTGCCTCAGTACTCTATGAAGTTCATTTTCTTGTTCTTGTCTCATTGGAACAAGAAACATGTGTTCCCCTGTCTATAAATCATGTGTGAAGTCTTTGAAACTCTACTAAATTGTCCTCCTTAATCTGGGCCTCTGGAGAAGCACCGAGTGAGGCTGTGGGCAGTGGGCAGCTGGCAGTGATTTCCATATGCACAGAACTCATGGATGCCCCGGTGTCCTGTGTGTACAAGAACCATGGAAAGCCCGGGGTCTCTCCCTACTTTCTTTCCAACTCATCACTCCCATAACCTAGTGCTGTTATGGGTCAAACTTGGTAGCAGGCAGCACAGACGAGGGCTCACCAGACTTCTCTGGAGAACACTCTGGTCCTTAAGCATGATGGTAATCTTGAATTTTGGTAGTGGTTAAAGCAAGAATGGCCTTAGCTAGCTGGTCAGATTAGGACACTCTCTACCTTCTTGTCATCCATGAATCTGCCTTAGTGGTTACACACTGTCTTCTATCAGCAGAGTTCCAAGCACTTACAACAGCTATTTGGGGCACCAGAGAAAGAACTGAGGCCCACTGAATTGCACTGGGTATATTCCCCTTAGGTGGTCCTAAAGGAAATGAGTAAAGCAAGATTTGCCACAGAAGTTCTCTGAACGTGCAGAATGTAGACCTGGAGGACTATGTGCTAGTGTGAGCTTCCTGAGAACCTTTAAGAGGCAAATTCAAGCCGGCGTGGTGGCTCACACCTGTAATCCCAGCACTTTGGGAGGCCGAGGTGGGTGGATCCCTTGAGGCCAGGAGTTCGAGACCAGCCTGGCCAACATGGTGAAACCCTATCTCTACTGAAAATACAAGTTAGCCGGGCATGGTCACGAGCGCCTATAATCCCAGGTTCTGGGGAGACTGAGGCACGAGAATCCCTTGAACCCAAGAGGTTCAAGATTGCAGTGAGCCGAGATCACACTACTGTACTCTGGCCTGGGCGACAGAGCAAGACTCCTTCTCAAGAATAAATAAATAAATACATCAATAAATACATAAATACATAAAATGCAAATTCAGCTCAGGTTCAGGAGTTTGTCAGAGGGAGCTTGTCACAGGGCTGTAGGCAATATACATGGATTATTACATTAGAATCAGCAGTACGAATATCATGTGATGCAGAGTGTGGCAAGCCATTGAGGCAGCCAGGGTCATTCGGGCTTGGATTGAGGACATACCTTTTTAGCTAGCATCTTTTAGCAGGTTCACTTGTGACAATGAGAGGCTGACACATCTTTGACCTCTAGTCAGCGGAGATGCTCTTACTGTGGGGAGAGAGGCCCCAGCATAGTCAGGAGCAGTTCTGCACTTTACCAGTTCTATGCATACCCCACTGTATACACTGATGAGACATGTTCCCTGACCAAGACATCTTTGTGAAAGCAAAACTCAACAGGATGGAAGGCCAGAGGAAGGCCGGGCTCAGCAGGCCCCGCAGAGCTCATCAACACATGAGGCTATAGAGGCGCCTGGGCCAAGGGACTCTTTCTCCCCAATCTCTGTCCAAGAGAAAACCTTGGACATGGCACAAATTAAAGTTATTTGTAAACTGATTACTGTCAAGTTTTCCTCTCTGCCTGGCCATTTCTTGTAAGGATGACTTTCCTAAAAAGTTGCTGCTAATGAGTTACTTTGGTTCCTTTTAGTTCATTCAAGTCTTGGAGCTTTTTCCTTGTTTCAGTGATGCTTCCTTCAACCAGATAGAAAACGCTGATATTATTATTTGGTTGCTGTATGCATTGTCTCCCCCCCCCCAACTTTTTCCCTCTTCCAGGATGATCCTAGTGCTCCCCACAAAATCCAGGAGGTTCTCAAGTCCTGCCTGAAAGAGGAGGAGTCATTTAACATCCAGAACTCCATGTCGCCCAAACTTGAGGGTGGCAAAGGTGACCAGGCTGACTTGGATGTGAACTGTCTTCAGAATAATTTAACCTAAAGCAGAGCAAGAAGAGAGGAAGCGGGGGTAGTGGGTGGGGGGTAGGGGAAGAAACATTATCTCCTCTTGTACAGAGTCTATTTCTTGTAACCATTTGTTAAACTCTTTTCTTTTTCTGATCTCATGGCATGCTTTTATGTATTTTGTACAGGAGGCAAAAAAATACTTAAAATAAGCAAAGAAACTGAACAGAATTGCATACATTGGGTTGTTTTTTCTGTGCTGTCTGTACATTGCTTCTGCTGCTGTGATTTCTAAACCTGTGCTGTTATTCAACTGACTTTTTTTTGTACTTTGACCCACGTTTTTTTGAAATACCAGTAAAAAACAAAGTTCTTGAAATAAAACTTTTTAAAAAGTTATTCATTTTCTTAGTCTTTGTGTCCACTCCTTTAAGTTTGAGTTGAGTAACCTTCATTGAAGATGTTTGTTTATTTATTTATTTATTTTGAGGTGGAATCTCGCTCTGTCACCCAGGCTGGAGTGCAAGGCTCACTGTAGCCTTGACCTCCCCAGCTCAAGTGATCCTCCCACCTCAGCCTTCTGAGTAGCTGGGACTACAGGTGCAAGCCACCACACCTGGCTAATCTATAAATTTTTTTTGGAAAGGCAGGGTCTCACTATGTTGCCCAGGCTGGTCTCAAACTCCTGGGCTCAAGCAATCTGTCTCCTCAGCCTCCCAAAGTGCTGGAATTACAAGTGTGAACCACTGCACCTGGCCAAAGATGTATATTTATTTATATTTATTTATTTGTTTATTTATTTTTTGAGACAGAGTCTCACTCTGTTGCCCAAGCTGGAGTGCAGTGGCGCGATCTCGACTCAATGCAACCTCCACCTCCCGGGTTCAAGCGATTCTCATGCCTCAGCCTCCCAAGTAGCTGGGACTACAGGTGTGTGCCACCATGCCTGGCTAATTTTTGTATTTTTAGAAGAGACGGGGTTTCACCGTGTTGGCCAGGCTGGCAAAGATGTATATTTAAACATGTTTGAAATATCAGAAATGCTCTGTGTGTTTGTCTGCTTAGGCTATCACGACAAAATACCACAGACTGGGTGGCTTAAACAGCACAAATTTATTTTCTCATGGTTCTGGAGGCTGGAAGTGCAAGATCAACCCAATAGGGTTGGTTTCTTACGAAGCCTCTCTTCCTGGCTTGCAAACAGCTGCCTTCTCATTGCGTCCTCACACGGCTTTTTCTCTGTATGCATGTGGAAAGAGAAAGATCTTTGATGTCAGTTCCAGTTCTTACAAGGACACCAATCCTATTGGTTTAGGGCCCCTCCTTTATCACCTTTTTAATCTTAGTTAGCCCATTAAAAGCCCTATCTTCAAATACAGTCACAGTGGAAACTGGGGCTTCAACATATGGATTTTGGGGGAACACAATTCAACCTGTAACAGTCTGTATCACCTATTATTAAGAATACTCTGGCTGGCCGCAGTGGCTCACGCCTATAATCCCAGCACTTTGGGAGGCCGAGGCGGGTGGATCACGAGGTCAAGAGATTGAGACCATCCTGGCCAACATGGTGAAACCCCGTGTCTATTAAAAATACAAAAATTAGCTGGGCGTGGTGGCGCATGCCTGTAGTCCCAGCTACTCGGGAGACTGAGGCAGGAGAATCACTTGAACCCGGGAAGCAGAGGTTGCAGTGAGCTGAGATGGCGCCACTGCACTCCAGCCTGGCGACAGAGGGAGACTCTGTCTCAACAACAACAACAAAAAAACTCTTTCAGGCCAGGCATGGTGGCTCACACCTGTAATCCCAGCACTTTGGGATGACACAGGGGGATCACCTGAGTCAGGAGTTTGAGACTAGCCTGGTCAACATGGCGAAACCCCATCTCTACTAAAAAAAACTATATATATATATAGTAGCCGGGCATGGTGGTGGGCACCTGTAGTCCCAACTACTCAAGAGGCTGAGGCAGGAGAATCACTTGAACCTGGGGTGCGGAGGCTGCAGTGAGCCAAGATCGCACCACTGCACTCCAGCCTGGGTGACAGAGTGAATCTCTGTCTCGAACAAATATATACACTTTCATTCTTTCGAAAATGTTTAGTAAGCTGGGCAGCATGATACACACATATAGTCCCAGCTACTCTGGAGCCTGAGGCAGGAGGATCACTTGAGTCCAGGAGTTCTGGGCTATAGTGCACTATGATGATCAGGTGTCCACACTAAGTTTGGTAACAATATCTTGTCCCCCTGGGAGTATGGGACCACCAGGTTGCCCAAGGAGGGGCGAACTAGCCCAGTTCAGAAGCATAAAAGGTCAAAACTCCCGTGGTGATCATTAATGGGATTAAGCCTGTGAATAGCCGCTGCACCACAGCCTGGGCAACACAGCTGAGAACCTGCCTCTGAAAATTAAAATAATGTTTATTAAGCACTTACTCTGAGCTAGGCACTATGCTAGATGCTAGGAATACTAAATGAATAAAATAGATCCAAACCTCAACAAGTTAGTAGTCTGCTTGAGAAACAGACATAAACAAGCAATTGTAACAGTGTGTATTATAATAGTGTGTCAGTACAAATAATTAGAATAGTGTGTCAGTGTGTAGAAAGCTATGAGAGTTGGAGTTAAGATTTCAGGGCAGGGCGCCGTGGCTCACACCTGTACTCCCAGCACTTTGGGAGGCCAAGGCGGGCGGATCACGAGGTCAGGAGATCGAGACTGTCCTGGCTAACACGGTGAAACCCTGTCTCTACTAAAAATACAAAAAATTAGCCGGGCGTGGTGGCGAGTGCCTGTAGTCCCAGCTAAGCGGGAGGCTGAGGCAGGAGAATGGCGTGAACCCAGGAGGCGGAGCTTGCAGTGAACCGAGATCGTGCCACTGCACTCCAGCCTGAGCGACAGAGCAAGACTCCGTCTCAAAAAAAAAAAAAAAAGATTTCAGAAAGCGGCCGGGTGCAGTGGCCCACGCCTGTAATCCCAGCACTTTGGGAAGCCAAGGTGGGAGGATCACCTGAGGTCAGGAGTTCGAGACCAGCCTGGTCAACGTGATGAAACTCCGTCTCTATTAAAAATGCAAAAATTAGCTGAGCATGGTGGCGGGCACCTGAAATCCCAGCTACTCGAGAAGCTGAGGTAGGAGAATTGTTTGAACTCGGGACGAAGGTTGCAGTTAGCCGAGATCGCACCACTGCACTTCAGTCTGGGCGACAGAGCAAGACTCCGTCTCAAAAAAAAAAAAAAAAAAAAAATATATATATATATATATGTACACACACACACATATATATACATTTTATACATATACATATATATACACACATATATATATTTTTCTGAAAGGCTTCAAAGAGAGGAGGTTTAAATTGCACTTTGAAGGATAAGGAGGCATTTTTCAGGATAAAATAGGAGATGAGGGCATTAAAGGCAAAGGTAGAATACTCAGGAAAGTAGTCTATATGATGAGTATATGACGAGGCTGAAAAGGGCAATTTAGGACAGATTACAAACAGCCTTGAATGCCATTTAAGCACAGAGCTGAAGGATGGTCAGATTTGTTTTGTGTAAAGACAACTCTGGAGACAGTGGGTAAGGCAGATTGAGGATGGGGGTTGTAGAATGGGGATAGATTAGAGAGTGAAGATTTCAAATAGCCAGACTTACCAACAACTGGAGGAGTTTTCTTGAACATTTTGCCTGTGTTCAATCTGTGATCATTCCAATAACTGGAATCCCTGTGTGTTTCTGTCACCTAATTTCTGCTGGTTCTCCCTGATGTGTGTTCACATGTGCCTCATTTTTTACTTTGTGCTAGACATCGTATTTGAAAACCTGTTTATTAAAGTATTTTGAAGCCTAGGACGATTTCTCCCTCCAGAGAGGAATTTTATTTGCTTCTGTCAGGTACCCAGGAGCTCTAGAATTCTGGGGTCACAGTAATCCAGATTCAAGGTTGGAGATTTTCTAAGCCACTGAAACCAACCCACAGACCTGTCAGACTATGCAAGGGCTGGTTTGCTTCTGGTTTATCCTTAACCCTAGGGTATAATCCTCTCAGGTCACACCTCAAAACAGGCAGTGGTTTACCAGTATCCCACCTTTGGTAGGCCCCGTACTCCAGCTTCCCCTGCCCAGCTCTACAAAACTTTCAGAAACACAACCCATTCTCTCCATCACCTCTGCTAAATGGGCAGTTGCCTCCAGGTCCAAGTGGCCCAAACGCTGGGCTCACCTGTCTGGATTCGTGTCCTCTCTGGGATGTTAGCCTAGTAATTCTTTAGTATCTTGTTAGCTTTTTGATGCTTTTCAAATGTTTTGGCTCCTAGTGCAAGAGTTGGTACAATTTACCTAGCCTCCCATTTACTAACAACAGAAGTCCTCTGTTTTCATCTTGGGCCTTTTACCCAGATGGTGTTTAGCTGGCGCCATGAGCTCAGGCTGCTCTTTGCTGTGGCATAGGGCTGCATACTGGGACGTGTGTCATGGGTTCCTAACCATATCTCTTACCCACTTTGGACAGCTCGTTGGTTCTGCTTAGGACTTCCTGGACTCTGTTAACTTTCATGGTTAAGTACCTTTGGATCCTTTCATAAGAAGGCCCAATCAAGAGGGACTGGATATAAAAGTACTTTGTAGGCCAGGCGTGGTGGCTCATGCCTGTAATCCCAGCACTTTGGGAGGCCAAGGCGGGCGGATCACCTGAAGTCAGGAGTTCAAGACCAGCCTGGCCAACATGGTGAAACTCCGTCTCTACGAAGAAAAAATACAAAATTAGCCAAGCATTGTGGCAGACGCCTGTAATCCGAGCTACTCGGGAGGCTGAGGCAGGAGAATCACTTAAACCCAGGAGGTGGAGGTTACAGTGAGCCGAGATCACCCCATTGCACTCCAGCCTGGGCTATAAGAGCGAAACTCTGTCTCAAAAAAAAAAAAAAAAAAGCACTCGGGAGGCTGAGACAGGAGAATTGCTTGAACCCGGGAGGCAGAGGTTGCAGTGAGCTGAGATTGCGCCACTGCACTCCAGCCTGGGCGACAGAGCGAGACTCCGTCTCCAAAAAACAAAAAACAGTGCTTTGTAAATACTAGATCCCAACCAGACATAAGGGTTTCTTAGTGTTGTGCTCTGTTTTGTTTCTGCCACAAGAGTGTTATGAAATATGTGTCAAAGCCCTTGGCTCTGTCTCACCTACCCAGCACAATGCAGGAGGGATAGGAACGCCCAGATCAGAAGGGGAGCAGGAGGTGGTGTAGGCCTGTGGAATAGAGTTACTGGATGTTGCCAAGAGTCTTTGATCCAAAGAAGGGGCTGAAGTGTTAGAACAGGGTATATTGATTTCCATCTGTGCCTGTCCTATTTCCTGCCGGAGTGTTTGTGCTTCTTGATGATTGTGATCCACAGGCCTGGCAAGAGTCCTCTGGAGACCTTGTCCTTTCTCAGATAATTTATCCTGGTGAAAAGTCTCATCTGTGCTCCAGAAAGCAGCACTAAACACTGAACTTGGAGCTAGAAGTTCTCTCTGTTTAGGAGCCATGTGCTTTCTGAACCTAAGGCTTTTCATCTATAGAATCTTTGCCTTTTTCTAGGACTAGCTAGGCATCAGGGATATAGCAATGAAGAAAACAGACCAAAAACTTTGCCTTATGAAGTGTATTTCTCAGTGTCATGAAATTCATTCAGGGTTTTCCAGGCCCAAGGGAAAGGGTGGGTACCAGCAGGGGAATAGGGGCAGCTTCACTGGTCCAGGAGCAGGGAGTGTGGGAATACCACCCTTGCTGGGTGCTACAGCAGAAGCTCTTTCCTCAGCCCAAGAGTTCATTGCAGGCATACAACCAGCTATGGGGAAAGAGTGAGGAACTCCTCTAAAGCAAGCTTGGAAATAATACTGTCTTCTGAGTGTATAACCATGAGATGACACAAAGTACATGGGAACAAGATTGCAGAGTTACCCTAAGGACTCAGATGGCCAGCCAGACTAAGTAACACTCTGGCCAATGGTTTATCAAAACCAGAAGAAGAATGTGACGATCAGAGGCATTCACCTCCTGGTACCCATGTGCATGCAATTCTGGAGCACATACCTAGGAGCAGAATTGCTAGAGTGGAATTTAACTTATCTTCACCTTTACAAGATCATAGTTAAAAGTGGTTGTATCAGGCTGGGCATGGTGGTTCATGCCTGTAATCCCAGCACTTTGGGAGACCAAGCCAGGAGGAGCATTTGAGGTCAAGAGTTCGAAACCAGCCTGGCCAACATGGTGAAACCCCTGTCTCTACTAAAAATAGAAAAATTAGCTGGGCATGGAGGCACACATCTATAATCCCAGCTACTTGGGAGGCTGAGGCAGAAGAATCTCTTGAACCCAGGAGACGGAGGTTGCAGTGAGCTGAAGTCACGCCACTGCACTCCAGCCTGTGTGACTCTGTCTCAAAAAAAAAAAAAAAAAAGTGGTTGTATCAGTGAATGACTTCCACCAACAGTGGATGAGCTGCCTTTGCTCCACATCCATAGCAGTGCTTGATAGTTTTATACTTTGTCAATTTTAGCGATTCTTGTTGGCTAAAATGTAGTGGCAAGTAATAGTGATTTTAATTCGCATTCTCTAATTATTAATGAGATTGCACAGCTTTTTTTTTTTCGAGACAGGGTGTTGCTCTGTTGCACAGGCTAGAGTGCAGTGGTGCAATCATGGCTCACTGCAACCTCAACCTCCTGAGGCCAGGCTTTTCCCACCTTAGCCTCTCAAGTAGCTGGGACTATAGGTATGTGCCACCACACTTGGCTAATTTTCTAATTTTTTGTAGAGATGGGGGTCTCCCTATGTTGCTCAAGTTGGTCTCAAACTCCTGGGCTCAAGTGATCCTCCCGCCTCAGCCTCCCAATGTGCTGGGATTACAGGTGTGAGCTACTGCACCCGGGTTGCACAGCTTTTAATATGTTTATTAGCAATCTGGATTTCTGCTTTTGTGAAGTACTTTCTTAACTCTTGAGTCCATTTTTCTTTTAGGTTATCTTCTTCTTAATGATTCAAGGGCATTCTTTAAATATCTTGTTTATGAGCCCCTTTATTCTTTATATGTGTTGCAAATTTTTTTCCTATTTATGACTCCTAATTTCACACTATTAGGTTAATATTAAAGCTAGTTTTTATGTAGTCAAATTTATCCATCTTCCTTTATGGTTATAAAATCATTCCTGAAGCATTGTTTCCACCTGAAAGTCACATGAGAATGTCACTCATACCCTAATAGCAAGAAAAAAGTCAGAAAACCTAC
The DNA here is from genome assembly GCF_000001405.40 of Homo sapiens. NCBI lineage: Eukaryota > Metazoa > Chordata > Mammalia > Primates > Hominidae > Homo > Homo sapiens. The sequence goes on along the minus strand of NC_000003.12, from coordinate 47,555,361 downwards.
ACAATCACAACTTCTTGAGCCCATTAAAGTGTTGAGGTCACGAGGCAACCAGATACATTGAATTCCAAAGGATGACAAGCCCCTCTAAGCCAGAGAGGACACAGGGGCTGCTTTATCCAAGGCAGGAGCCAGGAGGAAGACGCAACACCACAAAAGCAGGAAGAAAGACAGTTAGGATGCGAGCACATGTGTGAAGGTGGAGTGTGAAGAGTAGAACAGTCAGAATCCCTGTAGCTCCAGATACGAGAGTGCAGCCATGCACAGCCTCTTCCACAAGCCTGTTTGGTGCTCACAGGAAAAACTGGGTGGGACCAGCCTGGTCAACAGTGTGAGACCCCATCTCTATTAAAAATTAAAAAATTAGCCAGGGATGGCGTGTGCCTGTGGTCTCAGCTACTCAGGAGGCTGACGCGGGAGGATCACTTCATCCCAGGAAGTCAAGGCTGCAGTGAGCCATGATTGCACCACTGCACTCCAGCCTGGGTGACAGCAAGCCCCCCTCTCAAAAGAAAAATAAATACAAAAAACAAAAAGAAAAAAACTGGGTAATGGGTCTGAGACTTGAGAACACCAGTCAGAGGTGCACAGGAAGAAAACCCCACTCATTTTCCAGACTCTTCTAGCAATCCAAGCAAAAGCCTTAAGCTGCCGAAGGAGGGACAAGAAACCCTCCTGAAAAAATCAACGGCCTCTGGAAGGGGTGCAGCAAAACCCTCTCCCCACTACAAGCCTGGCCACAAATAACTGTTGGGGGATGGGCAGGAACCTCTCCTGCCATCAGTTCCAAGCAAAGGTACTGTCACAGAGGCAGGGGTCAAAGCAAAGACATATCCACCTGGTGGAGGTGGGGAAAACCTTCCTGGGCCCAGAACCCTGCCCTGACACAAAGCAGAAGCCGGCCACCACTGAGGGAGGGGCGGAAAACTCTCCCACCCAGCCCTCCACGGATACAAGCCAGAGTTTGGCTGCCAAGGAAGGGAAGGGCAAGAAAGCCAAGAAAGCCCTGCCGGGCACAGTGGCTCACACCTGTAATCCCAGCACTTTGGGAGGCCGAGGCGGGTGGATCACTTGAGCCCAGGAGTTTGAGACCAGCTTGACCAACATGGTGAAACCCCGTCTCTACTGAAAATACAAAAATTAGCCAGGTGTGGTGGCGTGTACCTGTAATCCCAGCTGCTCTGGAGGCTGAAGCAGGAGAATCACTTGAACCCAAGAGGCGGGGATTGAAGTGAGCTGAGATCATGCCATTGCATTCCAGCCTGGGCGACAGAGCAAGACTCTGTCTCCAAAAAAAAAAAAAAAAAAAAAGGCCAGGCATTGTGGCTCATGCCTGTAATCCCAGCACTTTGGTAAGCCAAAGCAGGTGGATCACCTGAGGTCAGGAGTTCAAGACCAGCCTGACCAACATGATGAATCTCCATCTCTACTAAAAATACAAAAATTAGCTGGGCACAGTGGTGCGTGCCTGTAGTCACAGCTACTCGGGAGGCTGAGGCAGGAGAATCGCTTGAACCCGGGAGGCAGAGATTGCGGTGAACCGAGATCACATCACTGCACTCCAGCCTGGGTGACAGAGCAAGACTCTGTCTCAAAAAAAAAAAAAGAAAAAGAAAAAAAGGTAAGAGAGTCCCACCCTGAGAGTCAGGAGCACAACATCTGCCTAAGCCTGAAGCTGGACCAGGAAAACTGAAAAGCTGCTCCCACCGCAGGACTGGCCCTGATTAACATGCAGCGACAGTTTACAGCTGGACGAGTGGGAAAAGCATAAAGAGAAGGCCTCTTTCTCTGACGTGCAGGCATACAGGGCCTGCCGAAAGTGTAGGCAGAGCAGAAACACTGAGCAGAACGCTCCAGCACCTCAGGCCTCACGCTAATCAAAAGGTAGAAGTAGCCTACCAGTGGAGGCATTTGTTTTTTCTTTTTTAGAGACAGGGTCTTGCTCTGTTGCCTAGGCTGGAATGCAGTGGCGCGATCATAGCTCACTGCAGCCTCAATTTCAATTTCCTGGGCTCAAGGGATCCTCTCGCCTCAGCCTCTATGATTAGCTGGGACCACAGGTGTCTCCCACCATGCTTGGCTAATTTATTTTTTATTTTTTTAGAGACAGAGTCTTGCTATGTTTTCCAGACTGGTCTTGAACTCCTGGGCCCAAATGATCCTCTCACCTCAGCCTCCCAAAGTGCTGGGATTACAGGTGTGAGCCACCACACCTGGCATGTTTGGAGGAATTATAGGAACAACAAAATTCAAACCCAGCTCTGCTATTTAGTACCAGCTGGACCAACTCAATCCCTTACACTGAAAGCAAAACAGAAGAAAGAGACATATCCATCTATCGGCCAGGTGTGGTGGCTCACGCTTATAATCCCAGCACTTTTGGAGGCTGAGGCAGGTGGATCACCTGAAGTTAGGAGTTTGAGACCAGCCTGGCCAAGATGGCGAAACCCCGTCTCTACTAAAAATACAAAAATTAGCTGGGCGAGGTGGCATGTGCCTGTAGTCCCAGCTGCTCAGGAGGCTGAGGCAAGAAAGTTGCTTGAACCCGGGAGGCAGAGGCTGCAGTGAGCTGAGATCGCACCACTGCACTCCAGCCTGGGTGACAGAGTGAGACTCCATCTTAAAAAAAAGAGAGAGACACATCCGTCTCTGGGCATATATACTATTTAACTAGGCCTCTATTGGTTTTTTTTTTTTTAAAAGAAAGAACTTATCAAGTGATAAAGGAGACAAAACAATCAGAGCCAGAGATGAGCCAGATGATGGGACTATCACACAGAGACTAATTAATATGTTTAAAGATCTAGTGGAAAAGGTGAACGAAACACATAAAAGATGGGGAACTTGAGCAGAGGCAGAAACTACAAAAAGGAGTCATGAAAACGCTAGAAATAGACAACAACAAAAAGACCACCACAAAATCGGAGATGAAGAATTCCTTCAACTATATTAATAACGGACAAAATAGATTTCAGAGGCCGAGTGTGGTGATTCACGCCTGTAATTCCAGAACTTTGGGAGGCCAAGGTGAGAGGATTGCTTGAGCCTAGGAGTTTGAGACTAGCCTGGGCAACACAGTGAGACCTCATCTCTATTAAATATTTTTAAAAATTAGCTGAGTGTGGTGGCACGCACCTGTGGTCCCAGCTCCTTGTGGGGCTGAGGTGAGAGGATCACTTGAGCCCAGGAGAAAGAGGCTGCAGTGAGCCATGATCATGCCTTTGCACTCCAGCCTCAACAACAGGGCGAGACCCCCTCTCAAAAATAGCAACAACAACAACAGCAACAGCAAAATGGACTTCAGAACAAGGGACAAAGAGGGACATTATGCAGTGATAAAAAGATCAGTCCATCAAGAAGACAATTCTAAAAGTATATGCACCTGACAGCTTCAAAATATATAAAGTGAAAACTGATGAAAATGAAAGGAGAAATAGCTAAACTAAGGCCAGGCGCGGTGGCTCACGCCTGTAATCCCAGCACTTTGGGAGGCTGAGGCGGGTGGATCACGAGGTCAGGAGATCGAGACCACCCTGGCTAAAACAGTGAAAACCCCGTCTCTACTAAAAAATACAAAAAAAAATTAGCTGGGCATGGTGGCACGTGCCTGTAGTCCCAGCTACCCGGGAGGCTGAGGCAGGAGAATGGTGTGAACCCGGGAGGTGGAGCTTGCAGTGAGCCGAGATCACACCACTGCACTCCAGCCTGGGAGACAGAGCGAGACTCCGTCTCAAAAAAAAAAGAAAATAGCTAAACTACAGTTACAATTGGAGTCTTCAACACCCTCCCTCAGTACATGGCAACCAAAAATCAATAAAGATATAGAAGACATAATTAAGACAATCAAATATGATCTAATCAATATTTGTAGAACACTCTTTCCTACAGCAGCACAATACATACTATTTTCAAGAGCACAAAGAACATTACTCAAGACAGATGATATTCTGGACCATAAAATAATTCCTCAAAAATTTAAATGAGCCAGGTGTGGTAGCACATTTCTGTTGTCCTAGCTATTCAGGAGGCTGAGGGAGGAGGATCACTGGAGCCCAGGAGTTCAAGGCTATAGCGAGCTGTTATCATGCCATTGCACTCTAGCCTGGGGTAGCAGAGGGAGACCCTGTCTCTTAAACTGTGTGTATATATGTAAATGTATTTAAATCATACAAAGCATGCTCTCTGACTATAATAGAAGTAAACTAGAAATCAATGACAAAGATATCTGGAAACTTTCACCTCAAAGCATTTGGAAATTAAATAACACATTTAGACCTATAGTTCAAACACTCAGTAATTCCTAAAGAAGAATAAGAAAATATTTCAAACTGAATGAAAATAAAAACACAACAGGCCAAGTGCAGTAGTTCACACCTGTAATCCCAGCCCTTTGAGAGGGTGTGGCAGGCAGATCATTTGAGCCTAGAAGTTTGAGACCAGCCTGGGAAACAAGGCGAAATGTCATCTCTACAAAAAAATACAAAAATTATGTGGGTGTAGTGGCACATACCTATAGTCCCAGCTACTGGTGGGAGACGGGGACAGGGTGGTTGGGGGTAGTATCCTGAGGTGGGAGGATCACTTGAGCACAGGAGGTCGAGGCTACAGTGACCTGAGATCACTCCACTGCACTCTAGCCTGGGAGACAGAGAGAGACTTTGTCTTAAAAAAGAAAAAAACAAAAAAAGACAACCTGGTATTTCAAATGAGCAAAAGATCTGAACAAAAAAGTCACCATAGAAGTTATTCCCTACCTTGGCCAACATGGTGAAACCCTGTCACTACTAAAAATACAAAAATTAGCTGGGTGCACACCTATAATCCCAGCTACTCAGGAGGCTGAGGCAGGAGAATCAATTGAACCCGGGAGGCAGAGGTTGCAGTGAGCCAAGATTGTGCCACTGCACTCCAGCCTGGTAACAGAGTGAGACCCTGTAAAAAAAAAAAAAAAAAAAAAAAAGGTATTCCCAGCACTTTGGGAGACCAAAGCAGGCAGATAGCTTGAGCTCAGGAGTTCAAGACCAGCCTGAGCAACATGGCAAAACCCCATCTCTACAAAAAATACAAAAATTCGCTGGGCGTAGTTGTGCGCACCTGTAGTCTGAGGTACTAGGGAGGTTGAGGTGGGAGTATTGCTTGAGCCACGGAGGTTGAGGCCGCAGTGAAGCTATTTTGTGCCACTGCACTCCATCCTTGGCAACAGAGCAAGACCCGGATGATGAAGAAGAAGAAGGAGAAGGGAAGGAGAAGGAGAAGGAGAAGAAGAAGAAGAAGAAGAAGAAGAAGGAGAAGGAGAAGGAGAAGGAGAAGGAGAAGGAGAAGGAGAAGGAGAAGGAGAAGGAGAAGGAGAAGGGAAGGAGAAGGAGAAGGAGGAGAAGGAGAAGGAGAAGGAGAAGGAGAAGGAGAAGGTGAAGGAGAGGAAGAGGAAGAGGAAGAGGGGGAGGTGGGAGGGGGAGGAGGAGGAAGGGGAAGGGGAAGAAGTTGTTATTTGGATAGCAAATAAGCACATGAAAAGATGCACAATATCATTAGTATTTAGGGAAATACAAATAAAAACTACAGTAAGATACCACTACTTACCCACTAGAATTGCTCAAATTAAAAAGGCTAAATAGCCCGGGCACAGTGGCTCACGCCTGTAATCTCAGCACTTTGGGAGGCTGAAGCGGGCAGATCACCTGAGGTCAGGAGTTTGAGACCAGCCTGGCTAACGAGGTGAAACCCCATTTCTACTAAAAATACAAAAGATTAGCCAGGCATGGTGGCATGCGCCTGTAATCCCAGCTACTCAGGAGACTGAGGCAGGAGAATCGCTTGAACCTGGGAGGTGGAGGTTGCAGTAAGCCAAGATCGCATCATTGCACTCCAGGCTGGGCAACAAGAGCGAAACTCCATCTCAAAAAAAAAAAAAATTGCTGAAGATAAGTGCTGAAGAGGACTGGAGGAGCCACTGGAACATGGCTTAGAAAGCAAGTTGGTATAGCCACCCTGGAAAACAATTTGGCAGTTTCTTATAAAGGTAAACATGTACAGAACCCAGTAATTGCATTTCTAAATATTTAGTCAACAGAAATAAAACATGTCCTTACAAAGACCTGCATATGTATGGGGCTAGCAGCTTTAAAATAACTGAAACCAAAAAATAACCCAAAGTATGCCAACTGTGGGTGGATAAACTGTGGTACAGCCATACAGTGGAATACTATTTAACAACAAAAAAAAGTATGAGCTACATCAAATGGGTGAATCTCAAAAACCTTAAGCTGAGCAGAGGCAGCCAGACTCAAAAGGCCACATACCATACAATTTGGGGTTTCTTGTTTGGTTTGGTTTGGTTTTGAGACACAGTCTCAAAAAAAGATATCATGGATATCTCAGCTCACTGCAACCTCCACCTCCCAGGTTCAAGCGATCCTCCTGCCTCAGCCTCCCAAGTAGCTGGGATTACAGGCACCCACCACCACGTCAAGCTAATTTTTGTATTTTTAGTAGAGATGAGGTTTCACCATGTTAGCCAGGCTGGTCTCGAACTCCTGACCTCAGGTGATCCGCCCACCTCAGCCTCCCAAAGTGCTGGGATTACAGGCATGAGCCACTGAGCCCGGCTGATTTGGTTTTTTTTTTTAATTTAATTTTTATTTTTTTACAGGTAGGATCACACTCTGTCACCCAGGGTGGACTGCAGTGACACACAAATAACACTGTAAGCTGGAACTCCTGGTCTTAAGCCATCCTCCTGCCTCAGCCTCCCAAAGTGGTGGGATTACAGGTGTGAGCCACTGCTACCAGCCAACTTTTTAGTTTTTAATTTTTTAGTTATATATTGCTTTTCATATTGAAACATACATACTGCTTTTTGTAAAGAAGCTCAATTATTTTTTAGTATTGATTTGGTATTCAGCAAACTTTGCTAAATACCCTTATAATAATTCATCCATACATTCTTTTGGATTTTCTTTTCTTCTTCTTTTTTTTTTGAGACAGGGTCTTGCTCTTTTGCTCAGGCTGGAGTGCAGTGGTGCAATCACAGCTCACTGCAGCCTTGATCTCCTGGGCTCAAGCGATTCTCTCACCCTAGCCTCCTGAGTAGGTGGAACTACAGATGCCCACCACCATGCCCAGCTACATTTTTTGGTTTTTAGTAGAGACAAGGTCTTGCTATGTTATCAGGCTGATCTCGAACTGCTGAGTTCAAGCAATCCTCCCTCCTCTGCTTCCCACAGTGCACTGGGATTTTCTATGTATAAAATCATGTAATCTCCATATAATAATAGCTTTGTTTCTTCCTTTACAATCCTTACACGTTTTAATTCTCTTTCTTGGATATCACACTAGCCAGGACCTTTCAGTACCTTAAGAATACATAATGGTGAGAGCAGACATCCTCATATCATTGCCAATCTCAAAGAGAAAAAATGCCTTCAACATTTCATCATTAAGACTGCCTGCTGTAAGCTTTTTTTGCAGCTACCCTTTATCACATTAAAGTTCTCTTCTATTCATAGTTTTGAAGAGTTTTAATTTTAATGGATGTTAAATTATATCAAAAGCTTTTCCACATCTATTAGGCTAATCATGTAATTTTCCTAACTTATTTGCTTAATACAGAAAATTACATTGATTTTTCAAATGTTAAACCAATCTTGTAATTTTGGAATAAACCTAACTTGGTCAGATGCATTAACCTTTCAAATTATTATTAGATCAAATTTGCCAAAGTGTATTTTTAGTCTTTGCATATATGTTAATGAGTTAGATTGGCCTATAACCTGCCTATCTTTGTTGGGTGTTTGGTATCAAGGTTATGTCAGCCTTCTAAAATATATTGAGTAGCTGGATGTGGAGGCGGAGGCAGGCAGATCACCTGAGGTCAGGAGTTCGAAGCCAGCCTAGCCAACATGGCAAAACCCAGTCTCTACTAAAAATACAAAAATTAGCTGGGCATGGTGGGGGGTATCTGTAATCCCAGGTAGTCGGGAGGGTGAGGCACGAGAATTGCTTGAACCCAGGAGGCAGAGGTTGCAGTGAGCCAAGATCACGCCACTGCACTCCAGCCTGGGTGACAGAGCAAGACTCCATCTCAAAAAAAAGATGTGTTGGGTAATGTACTTCTTTTTTTTTTTTTTTTTTTTTTTTTGAGACAGAGTCTCACTCTGTCGCCCAGGCTGGAGTGCAGTGGCGCGATCTCGGCTCACTGCAAGCTCCGCCTCCCAGGTTCACGCCATTCTCCTGCCTCAGCCTCCCGAGTAGCTGGGACCACAGGCGCCTGACACCACGCCTGGCTAATTTTTTTGTATTTTTAGTAGAGACGGGGTTTCACCATGTTAGCCAGGACGGAATCGATCTCCTGACCTCGTGATCCGCCCACCTCGGCCTCCCAAAGTGCTGGGATTACAGGTGTGAGTCACCGCGCCCGGCCAATGTACCTCTTTTTATATTTTCCTGAGGGGTTTGTGTATATTGGCACCATATCTTCCTTTAATGTTTAGTAGAACATTGTGGAATTTTTTTTCTATTTTTCTTTCTTTTTTTTAGACAAGGTCTTGCTCTGCCTCCTGGGCTGGAGTGCAGTGGCACGATCTTGGCTCACTGGAGCCTTGACCTCCCAGGCTCAAGCGATCCTCCCGCCTCAGCCTCCTGCAAAGCCAGGACCACAGATGCGTGCCACCATGCCCAGCTAGTTTTTGTAGTTTTTTTTTGTAGAGACAGGGTTTCGCCATGTTGCTCAGGCTGGTCTCCAACTCCTGACCTCAAACGATCTGCCCGCCTCGCCCTCCCACAGTGCTGGTTTTACAGGTGTGAGCCACCATGCCTGACCTGCACTACTATCTAATACCTAATAAAATATTTTTTAAAAAATATCTCGGCTGGGCGCAGTGGCTCACGCCTGTAATCCCAACACTTTGGGAGGCTGAGGTAGGCGGATCACCTGAGATCAGGAGTTCGAGGTCAGCCTGGCCAACATGGCGAAAGCCTGTCTCTGCTAAAAATACAAATACAAAAATTAGCAGGGCGTGGGGCGGGCACCTGTGGTCTCAACTACTCGGGACGCTGAGGTGGGAGGATCACTTGAGATCAGGAGGCGGAGGCTGCAGTGAGCCGAAATCACACCACTGCACTCCAGCCTGGGCAACAGAGCAAGACTCAGTCTCAAAAAAAAAAATCTCATTTGAAAATCCATGAGTAAAATTAAAATTTCAAATTTTATTCATTACCATTGCCCAGTTTGCAAAATAAGAAATGATTATTTTTATCATTTTATGCTTTGCCACTATCAGTTTGAAAGTTATTAGCTTTTTTCAAGGCTGGTAGCGGTGGCTCATGCCTGTAGTCCTGGCACTTTGGGAGGCGGAGGCAGGCAGATCACTTGAGGCCAAGAATTTGAGACCAGCCTACCAACATGGCGAAACTCTGTCTCTACTAAAAACACAAAAATTTTCCAGGCGTGGTGGTGCACACCTGTAATCCCAGCTACTCGAGAGACTGAGGCAGGAGAATCACTTGAACCTGGGAGGTGGCAGTTGCAGTGAGCTGAGATCATGCCACTGCCCTCCAGCCTGGGTGATAGAGCAGAACTCTGTCTCAAAAAAAGAAAAAAAAAAAAGAAATGAAAGTTACTCGCTTTTTCTATATTCATTTAGTAATTTCTCTAGAAGAGTTTTGACCCATTTTTCATTCTGTACTGAATGAAAATATTCGGTGTTGCTGCTGTTCAGTGTGGTAACCACATGTGCTATTGAGCATTTGAAGTGTGGCTAATACAACTAAGAAACTGAATTTTTAATTTTGTTTAATTTTACTTAATTTAAATGTAAATTGACCGTCATGCGACAGCTCTCCTGGCCCCTCAATGTCACGTGGCTGGCGGCTACTATATTAGATAGCATGGTTGTAGAAATTATAACTTGCATCCCTTTCTTGTCAATATATGGTTTTCACATTATTGTTATCTTCTTCCCAGGCAATTAAAGAACCTTAGAGCACTAACTCATTTGTTTCTCTCCTCATATATATGCTACAGTTAATATTTTTAAATTCTCACTATATATTTAAAATTCCAAAAGCTATTATCGTCTTGTTTCCCTTTTGTTCAATCCATCCTATGGCCACTGTGGTCTTCCTTATGTTCCTTGAATAACAAGACTCACTTCAGAGTCTTTGCACGTGCTGCTCCCTCTGCTGAGAATGTCTTTCCCTCACATCGCTGTACGGATGGCTCCTTCCCATCATTCAGATCCCTGCTCAGAGCAACGTCCTCAACGAGGCCTCCCCTGACCCTTTGTTGCAGAATTTGGTGGTTGCCTACCCAACAACAATATGGTGATCCTTCCTGAGGACCTCGTCTTTGTTTCGTTACCATGCCTCCCCTGAGAGCCCCTGTGTTTAGGAGCGAGTCCTAATTGGTAACCCAATCCAGGTGATTTCTGTCACCTTGCCAGTGATTGGTTTTATTTTTACATTTTTATTTATTTATTTATTTATTTTGAGACGGAGTTTTGCTCTTGTTCCCCAGGCTGGAGTGCAATGGCACTATCTCGACTCACCGCAACCTCCACCTCCAGAGTTCCTGCGGTTCTCCTGCCTCAGCCTCCGGAGTAGGTGGGATTACAGGTGCCCACCGCCACAGTAATTTTTTGGATTTTTAGTAGAGACAGGGTTTCACCATGTTGGCCAGGGTGGTCTCGAACTCCTGACCTCAGGTGATCCACCAACCTCGGCCTCCCAAAGTGCTGGGATTACAGGTGTGAGCCACCGTGCCCAGCCCTTAATTTTTAATTTTTTAAAATTTTGTAGACACAGGGTCTTGCCATGGTGCCCAGGCTGGTCTCAAACCCCTGGGCTCGAGTGATTCGCCCGCCTCAGCCTCCCAAAGTGCTGGGACTACAGGTGTGAGCCACTGCGTCCAGCCTTGGTGATCAGCTTTAAGCGTGAACACGTGACGCTGCTCTGGTAAATGAGTTGTGAAGTGAAGCTTACTGGGGTGAATTCCAGGAAAGTTTTTCTATCACCAGGAATAGACGATCTCTTCTCCAGTGACCTCTGACATGCATTACATCCTTAGATATAATCCTTGGCACAGTGGCAGCCATCTTGTGGCTACGAGGGGCACCAGCCTGAGGCCAAGGCTGAAGGTAACAGAACAGAGAGCAGCAAAGTGCCTGGTTCTTCACAGATGTCCGTGAGTCCCTGAAATGGTCAGTTCTGGAGCTGCCCAGTTTCCAGGTTTCTTATTACTTGAAGCCAAAAGCAGTCTAATTTTTACCTTCCCTGATGTGGCTCTCCTCACCCCACACCTCCCCCGACACTCCCTCCCACTCAGGTTCTTCAGAGTATATGTCTCTACTGGAAACTACTTTATTTTTCATTTAACAAACACTTGGCCAGGCGTGGTGGCTCACGCCTGTAATCCTAGCACTTTGGGAGGCCAAGGCTGGCAGATCACCTGAGGTCAGGAGTTCGAGACCAGCCTGGCCAACATGATGAAACCCTGTCTCTACTGAAAATATGAAAAATTAGCTGGGTGTGATGGTAGGCACCTGTAATCCCAGCTACTCGGGAGGCTGAGGCAGGAGAATCACTTGAACCTGGGAGGTGGAGGTTGCAGTGAGCTGAGATCGTGCCACTGCACTCCAGCCTGGGTTACAGAGCGAGACTCCGTCTCAAAACAAACAAACAAACAAATGAAAAACAATATTTCTGTGATGTTTACTATATGCCAGGTAGTGTTTGAAGTGCTTTACATATATTAACTCCTTTAATTCTTAGAGCTATCCTGTGTGATAGATACTTTTATTATCCCACCTTACAGAGGAGGAGGCCCAGGCACAGAGGTTAAATAGCTTTCCGGTGGTCAGATGGTGGAGCCAGGGCTGGGCTTTGAACCCAGAGCCTTCAGCCTGTGGAGTCAGTGCCCATAACCATTCTTTGCCTCTGTGTAGTTTTTCCGCATTGGTTTACTTGCTTTCTGCCTGAGGAGTCAGAATAGAGATTTCTGAGAGCAGGGATCCTGATTGTCTTGTTCACTACCTGGTCTCAGGGCACTCAGTAGGTGGTAGTCTTTGTTGAGTGAATGGATGGATGGATGAATGAATGCATGGTAGACTCTGTTTCCTTGAGGATGGAGCAGTTTCTTGTTTGCATCGTGGCCCTGGGCTTGGAAGAGGGCTGAGCCTTCTTGGGATGTATTGATGGGGCCTGTGGAGTGAGCTGAACTCTGGATCCCTGATGCCACCCCTCTCTGAGGCCCCCGGGGAGGCCTGTGCCGAGGTCTCAGGAGCCCTCAAAAGCGTGGCCCTTTGTTTGGGTTTGCCCTCTGGTTGCCGGGTGCTCCCTCGGCCGGCTCCCTCCTCCCTTCGCTGCAGAAGAAAGGGAGCTGGCCCTCTTTCCCCTTGGCACTATGTGTGCTCATTGGAAGTTCCTGAGGCCAGGCCCAGTGGGCGGCCCGAGCTGCCATCGTTAATCACACAGCCTGCTGCTGCCTGCCCACGCGGCTAGCTTTGAGGGCCGGCCAGAGCCTCTGGTGGGAACCACTCGCTGCTCTAATTGGGCCTCTCCTGGGAGGCGGCAGGCCCTGATTCTCACTTGTCTTTACTCTGGTGACTGCTTGGCCCTCTCAAGGAGGACAGCACGCTTCCTGGTCCGGCCGGCTCTATGGCCAGCCAGGGCAGAAGTTCACCCTTGTTCTACAGATGGAGAAACAGAAACCCTGGGGCAGACCGGGTCCATGTCCAAGGCCACGACAAGGTTGCCAGGAGTAACCACCAGAAAGCCAAGTGCCATGGCTTTGCTCCTCACTCTGCTGGCAACTGGAATGAGTTCCCACAGGAAAAAAGACCTCCCTTTGGCTCCCCTGGCTTCCCAGGCCCTGCCAAATGCCAGACACCGGACTCTAGCTTCTGGCATTCATAGAGAACTATCCATGTGAGAACTGTCACCCACCCCAGAGACCCTGCCAACCTGCAAAAAAGTGGAGGAGAGCATGACCAGCAGGAGCACACTGCAGGCCCCTCTGACACGGAGCGGGACAAGCTGGTAACCAGGTACCCATGTGACTTCCCTGCCCTGTGCCTTGATTTACCCTTCCTGGAAAATGGAAAGAGTTTCAGATGCATAATGTCAGGGACCAGGGGAGGCTTGTCTGTGAGGGACTTGCAACATGCTTTCCCCAGGCAGACTCAGAGAGACTCTCGGGGCAGGATGAGCTTGATCATCAGCTGGCCCCAGACCTCCATCTGTGGCTGAAATCACCCCTGCAAAATTTCAAAGATCATGCACCTCGCACAGTTGGACTTCCTCCAGCAGAAAGCCCTCATGACTTCCCACCGTGCTTCACTCCCTGTTTTGTTCTTCTACCACTTCCCCACCTTCCCCACCTTTTGTTAGATGGGTCATTTTTTCAGTGAGCCCTCCTGCCTCCCTGAGTCACACTGTGGACCTAGTCTACTCTCTGAGCGCTTGGAATAAATGAGTAAGTCCTCCTTTTTCTTTCATCATCTTTCCAAGAACAAAATACAACTAGAGTGCCACTCCTGAACCTTCTCTCCTCTTGGCTGAATGTCTTTAGTCCCCTCAGCTGACCCTCACGTGACAGCTCTCCTGGCCCCTCAATGTCACAGGTGCTTTTCTTAGGACATTTGTGGGGGTTCGGAAGGGGCTGCGCTTCTCTAGGTGCTGCCTGAACTCAGAGGAGCACACATGCCTCCTTGCCCAGGCACACATGAACATTCACAGGGCAGGACTGGGGGACACACAGAGGGCCATGTCTGAAAGTTTATGAGTAATCGTACAAACTAACTATTCAATAAGCAAATCTCCACTCTGACCTTCATGATGACTTGGAATGCTAAGTTTGAATTTAGATTTCTTGGACTCCTCAGAGTTCTGTTTGAGAATGTGCTGGGGCCGGGAGAGGAGCCCTGCTGCCCCCAACCTGGTCCCTCTCCTTGTATCCCGGGCTGTACCTGTAATGCAGGGGATTTCAGGGATCCGCGTGCGGCCCCCTGAGGCCACATGTTCCCGCTTTGTTCACAATCCCTTAGCCTCCTCTCAGACCCCATCGCTAGGGGAGCAGGGGCTTGGAGCCTTTTGGGCAAGAGATTCTGGGATCCCCAGTGCCAAGCATGGTGTGTGGCCTCTGAGTGGGCATGTCCTTTGCCTCTGAGGAGCATTGCCCCACGGGGAGGATCACGGCCCTTCTTGCCCGGGTCTGAGGACCTCAGTGACTTGCTAACATCATGCATCTCTCAGTTTAGTCACCCTGAGCTGGTCCCCAATGTCATTTTTCTGATAGAAGTACTACTCCATTTGTTCAGATGGGTTTGGGGGCACAAGGACAGACTTGGCCTTTGTAAAAACTGAGTATCATATTGCTAACCTGTTGAAATTCTTTTGAGCTCCAATTCTGTCCTCCAGAATTCTGAGCTAACTACAAGTGCCACCTGCCATGTGCACCTTTGTTGGGTGTGCCTTTTGTACCCCCAGCCAAGACCTTCACCAGTCTCAGTCCCAGAGCCTGGCTGTTTCACCTGGTGTCACACTCCTCTCTGCCTGTGTGTTGGTTGGTCCCAGGGTGCGGTGTCAGTGGCGCTAAAAGCAAGCTGATGAGGGGTGGGGTGGTGGGGAGTGTGAACAATGCTTTGGAAACTGTGAAGCTCCTGTTCTTGTTTCCTGGGTCGCTAGTTGACCATTTCCCAGCCTGTTGGCTTAGCTGGCTTAACCTGCAGGAGGGAGGTCACTGTGCACGGCACTGCACACAGGACTGCTGAGGACAGTGGGTTTGATGAGGAAATTTAGAAGGTTTCTGCTCAACCCTTGGGTGGCCAGGATATTCCTTCCAGAGTAACCCTCAAATCCTCAGGCTTTATTAAGCCATGATTCATAAGCTTAGTAGTAACTGTCACAGAGCCAGACACTATGCACAGTACTCAACAGCATTATTTCATTTAATTCTCATGACAACCCTCAGATGTATGTAGGCATTACCTTTACTGTTTTTCTTTTTCTTTTTTTTTTTTTTTTTGAGATGGAGTTTCGCTCTCATTACCCAGGCTGTAGTGCAGTGGCACGATCTCGGCTCACTGTAACCTCTGCCTCCTAGGTTCAAGCGATTCTCCTGCCTCAGCCTCTCAAGTAGCTGGGATTACAGGCTGCCACCACAACCAGCTAATTTTGTAATTTTAGTAGAGATGGGGTTTCACCATGTTGGCCAGGGTGGTCTCAAACTCCTAACTGCAGGTGATCCACCAGCCTCAGCCTCCCAAAGTGCTGGGATTACAGGCGTGAGCCACCGCGCCCGGCCTAACCTTTTGAAAAAATCAGCTAGGCACGATGGCTCATGCCTGTAATCCCAGCACTTTGGGAGGCTGAGGTGGGCAAAACACTTGAGGCCAGGAGTTCAAGACCGGCCTGGCCAACATGGCGAAACCCCGTCTCTACTAAAAATACAAAAAATAGCAGGGAGTGTGGTGGTATGCACCTGTAATTCCAGCTAGTTGGGAGGCTGAGGCAGGAGAATCATTTGAACCCAGGAGGTGGAGGTTGCTGTGAGCCAAGATCACGCCACTGCACTCCAGCCTGGATGACAGAACAAGACTCCATTTCAAAAAAAAAAAAAAAGAAAAAGAAAAAACGTTCACACCTGTAATCCCAGCACTTTGGGAGACCAAGGCAGGAGGAGGGAAAGAGGTCAAGGCTACAGGGAGCTATGATCGCACCACTGCACTCCATACTGGGCAACAGAGGAGACCTTGTCTCAAAAACAGGAGGAAGCTGAAGTTCAGTGAATTTCATTGAGGTTGCAGTGTGGGGAAGTTACTCATTCAAGACGTCCTACTTCAGCCCAGTATTTCTTTTTTTTTTTTCTTTTTTTTTTTAGACAGAGTCTCGCCGTCGCCCAGGCTGGAGTGCAGTGGCGCGATCTCGGCTCACTGCAAGCTCCGCCTCCCAGGTTCATGCCGTTCTGCCTCAGCCTCCCAAGTAGCTGGGACTACGGCGCCCATTACCATGCCCGGCTAATTTTTTGTATTTTTTTTTTTTTTTTTTACTAGAGACGGGGTTTCACTGTGTTAACCAGGATGGTCTCGATCTCCTGATCTTGTGATCCGCCCTCCTCGGCCTCCCAAAGTGCTGGGATTACAGGTGTGAGCCACCGCACCCGGCCTCATACCAGTATATCTTATCTCTCACCCTTCTTATCTATTCACTCAAATAGCTTCACCCAGGCTGCATCTTCATGCTTTTATTAATCCTTTAGGGAAAAATATTTTTGAAGTTTCTTTATTTCTGTTGTTGTTGTTGTTGTTGTTGAGATAGGGTCTTGCTCTGTCATTCAGGCTGGAGTGCAGTGGTGCAGTCACAGATCAATGCAGCCTGGACCTCCTGGGCTCAATTGATCCACCCAACTCCGCTTCCTGAGTAGCTGGGACTACAGGTGCATGCCACCATGCCACCATGCCCCGCTAATTTTGTATTTTATATGTATGTGTGTGTAGAGATGGGGGTCTCCTCATGTTGCCCAGGCTGGTCTTGAATGTCTGGGCTCAAGCAGGATAGGAGTTCATCAGGGTAGGGTTCCCAGCAGTGGATGCGGGTGGGCGGTATAGGTGAAGGAAGGAGAGAACTGTTCTTTTATTTATTTATTTATTTATATTTATTTTTATTTTTATTGAGATGGAGTCTTGCTCTGTCGCCAGGCTGGAGTGCGGTGGCGCCATCTCGGCTCACTGCAAGCTCCGCCTCCCAGGTTCATGCCATTCTCCTGCCTCAGCCTCCCAAGTAGCTGGGACTACAGGAGCCCGCCGCCACACTCGGCTAATTTTTTGTATTTTTTAGTAGAGACGGGGTTTCACTGTGTTAGCCAGGATGGTCTTGATCTCCTGACTTCGTGATCCGCCCGACTCGGCGTCCCAAAGTGCTGGGATTACAGGCGTGAGCCACCATGCCCGGCCAATTTTTTATTTTTTGTAGAGATAGAGCCTCACTATGTTGCCCAGGCTGGTTTTGAACCCCTGGGCTCCCTCTTCAACCCCCCAAAGTGCTGGGATTGCAGATGTGAGCCTCCAGGCCGGCTGCATTAATTACTTTAAAAGCAGAAATGTAAGCCCCTGTGGGCTGCAGGCTTGAGCCCTGGGGACCACCATGGTGAGGAGGTTGGATCACCTGAGTTCAGGAGCTCAAGACCAGCCTGGCCAACGTGGCAAAACCACGTCTCTACTAAAGATACAAAAATTAGCTGGATGTGGTGGCAGGTACCTGTAGTTCCAGCTACTCGGGAAGCTGGGGCTGGAGAATCGCTTGAACCTGGGAGGTGGAGGCTGCAGTGAGCCAGGATTACACCACTGCACTCTAGCCTGGGTGACAGAGACAACAACGGCAGGGCGCGGTGGCTCACACCTGTAATCCCAGCACTTTGGGAGGCCGAGGCGGGCGGATCACGAGGTCAGGAGATCGAGACCATCCTGACTAAAACGGTGAAACCCCGTCTCTACTAAAAATACAAAAAATTAGGTGGGCGTGGTGGCGGGCGCCTGTAGTCCCAGCTACTTGGGAGGCTGAGGCAGAATAGCGTGAACCCGGGAGGCGGAGCTTGCAGTGAGCCGAGATCGCGCCACTGCACTCCAGCCTGGGCGACAGAGCAAGACTCCGTCTCAAAAAACAAACAAACAAACAACAACAACAACAACAAAACAACAACAAAAAACACTTGTCTGTGGATGGATCTACCTTCTCCCCGGCTCCACGCTGTGCTCTTTGGCGGGTGGGACACTTGTCTGATTGACTGGGTGGTCTAACTGCATGTAGTCCCAATTACATAGCCACCTTACTCAAACATATGGCTCAGGAGTGAGACAGGGCCCGGGATCTGCCTGCAGAGTCTGAAGTGTCTCCATGGATACACAGTTCTTTGTTTCGTCTTTAAAATTCAGGTGAATTTTGCATTTCACTTCACGGCTGTTTGTTTTCCTTTTAAAGCACTGACTTTATAGTGCTTATATGGTATCTTTTTAACTTCTCCCAACTAAATATTCAGGTAAAACTGGTGGCCAGTTGTCCTCTGTCTTCTTGAAGTCCTGTCTCTGTGGGGTACCTGTGTCCCTATTTTGCATGCCCAGGCCTCTGGGACAGGGTTCACTTTTTACAGTCCTTGTGTAGCCGCTGCCAGCTGCTCACCCCCATCCTCAGAACACCGTCCTCGGCTGTACCGCTGTCCTCCTGGCAGGCCCCACCTCCTTCCTCTTCTCCCAACCCCACCTCAGTCATCTGTCCTGCTCCTACCCACTCTTCCAAGTCCAGCAGAGCCTTGTCCAGCTTCCCCAGGGGTCAGGCGGGTTGCTGTATCCTCTGAGAGGCCGCACTGGAACAGGGGCACTTCTTGCCTTGTATGGAGGTGTCTGTCCCTCAACTATTCAGACAGGGAGGTTCTGTGTGGGAGGCCACTGCACCCACCTCTTCCAGGCCCCGTCAGTCTCAGCAGAGAGCTGTGGGTCTGTCTACGCCTCCTAAAGGGAAGAGGGAGCCAAAAGAGGTCCCATGACTACCTAATCCGGGGCCACCTTATGGCTAGAACAACAATCTGGGATCCCAAGGGAGGGAGGAAGAACCTTGGGCCCAGCCACACCGGGCAAAGCTGGGGCTCTGACTTGGACAGTGGCTCTCAGGACAGGGTGGATGCTCAGCCTTTCCTGAACCATCCAAGCCCTGTCCAGAGCTCTCGGTCTGAGCACCCCGTCGCCGGGGCCCGAGTGGTGATTGCATTCAGTGGTGCGGTTGCTTGGCTGGGGCAGCAGCCCTTTGTGATGCGACTGGGTTGGCACCAGAGTGTGGGACGAGGGGCAGGCTGGCAGGGAATCAGAGCAGCCCTTCTGCCACCGGCTCCGGCTTTCCGCTGGTGACACGTAAGAGGATTAGGGCTCAGAACTCTGGACAAGGGGCTTTTATTCTCAGGGCTGCGTTTCCATTGGCCTGCAAAGCCCCAGAGACAGGAACAAAAGGTGACGAGGGACCGCCAATCCCATGCCCTCCAAGTCTTGTGCTTTGGGGGGGCACAGGGAGCCCCAGTCTCACTTCTGGTGGGTGGCTGGCATCCAGCCCCATCCAGATCTGCTTGAGGCCAGAGCTCCAGGACCCGGGGGCCACCCTCACCCTGCCATAAAGGCCTGAGCTACCCACAGGCTGGCACAAGGGATTTCCTGAGGACACAGTGGCTTAGAAGGGAATCACAGAATCCTGGACAGTCAGGATGGAAGGAAACATTGGCCACCTATACCAGCCTCTGTGGAAACTTACATATGGGGAAACTGATGCCCAGAGAGAGGCCATGACTTGCCCAATGCCACTCAGTGATGGAGCGCCTGAGCTGGGACTGGAATATGGAATGCAAGGCATGGGGGCCGCCCAGGAGTGGGGCCTTGCCCTCTAGCCAGGGGCTGAGTTATTCCCACCCTTGGAAGGAAGGAAGGAAGGAAGGAAGGAAGGAAGGAAGGAAGGAAGGAAGGAAGGAAAGAAGGGAGGGAGGGAGGGAGGGAGGGAGGGAGGGAGGGGAAATCAAATGAAATGAAGTGAAACCTTGGCCTTTAGGTCACTGTAAGGACCCCAGCTTTTCTCACAGAATGTGGTAAAAGCCATTGAAGGGTACTTAGCAGAAGGATGTTGTGGTCTGATTTAGTTTTGTTATTTATTTCTTTGAGACAGGGTCTCACTTTGTCACCCAGGCTGGAGTGCAGAGTTGTGAACATGACTCATTGCAATCTTGGCCTCCTAGACTCAAGTAGTCTTGCCTCAACCTCCCGAATACCTGGGACCACAGTCACACAACACCATGCCTGGCTAATTTTATTATTTTTTGTAGAGACAGGGTCTTGCCATGTTGTCCAGGCTTATCTCAAACTCCTGGGATCAAGCAATCCTCCTGCCTCAGCTTCCCAAAGTGTCTGGATTATAGGCATAAGCCACTGTGCCCAGCCTGATTTAATTTTAGAAGGATCACTTAGCTGAAGCTAGGGCAAGAGTAGACTAAGAGGACTGGTTAGGAGCCTACTGCACTGACCCAGGCAGGAGATGCTGGAAGCTCAGAGTGGACTGCTGGTTATAGAGCTGGTGGGAAGTGGTCACATTCTGGACATATTGTGAAGGTTGAGACCACAGATATTACTGGTGGTCCCAATGTGGGATGAAAGAAAGTGAGAAGTAGGCTGGGTGCAGTGGCTCACGCCTATAATCCTAACACTTTTGGAGGCCGAGGTGGGCAGATAACTTGAGGTCAGGAGTTCGAGACCAGCCTAGACAATATGGTGAAACCCTGTCTCTACTAAAAATACAAAAATTAGCCGGGCATGGTGGCAGGTGCCTGTAATCCCAACTACTTGGGAGGGTGAGGCAGGAGAACTGCTTGAACCGAAGAGGCAGAGGTTGCAGTGAGCTGAGATTGTGCCACTGCACTCCAGCCTGGGTGAAAGAGTCAAACCCTGTCTCAAAAAAAAAAAAAAGAAAAAGAAAATGAGAAGTGAAGGATGACTTGGTTTCAATACTAGAAGGATAGAACTGCAGAACACTGTGGGAGAAGCAGGTTTGGTGAGACGATCATGAGTTGGTTGGAGACTCCTATTAGGCATCTAAGTAGCTATGTCAGTTGTTGTGGGTGAGCAGCGACTATCTGGACCGGTGGCAGTCAGACACTTTCACACGGACACCTTTCAGTCCCACCAGAGTGTAGCTCCAGCCAGAGACCTACAGTTGTTTCTGTGCTTAGATGCTTTCCACCAAGGGTCCCAAGTTGGGAAAGAGAAAGACAGAGGGGAGAGAGTTTCCTGTAAGGAGAGAGAGTTCCCCATACGGGCCACCGAAGTGTCACAGGTCACAACTATCTGGGGCTGGTGTCACCTGGGTGGTAAAAGAATTTACCAAGACAGCTGTAGGTAAAGAAAGGTAGAGTTGTTAGAAAAAGCATGAAAATATGTTGCAAGGGTGCAATGGGCAAGTCAGCAAGAGAGGAGCTGACTGCAAAGAGACAAAGCCTTGCTGGGGATTTTATAGGGTGGTGTTTGTGCTGTGTGTCGAAGAGGGCTTTGTGTAGTCATGATAACGTCAAGGTTGCAGTGAGCTAACTTGCATTTTTCTATCAGCCGAGGGTCTGGTGATAGCTGGCTGCAGGAAGATTGTGAGTTATTTACACAGGAGGGCTATGTGTCCTGGACCATGAAGAAAGGCAGACTCATAGCTTATCTGCTTTCTCTTTTTGCTTTTACCTGCTCCAGCCAGCCTGGCTCCTCCTCCCCAGTTAGAACTCCACATCAGTGAGGTAGCTGGAACCGGGTGTGGGCTGGAAATGTACATCTGGATGTTACGTTGTACTGGAAGGTCCAGCCTAGACAATTAGGCAAGAAAATAAAATTAAAAACATACACATTGGAAAAGAAGTAAAACTATCTTTATTTCTATGTGCCATGAACTTGCATATTGTGTATAGAAAGTACAGAACATCCTAAAGAATACACACACATACAACGATTAGAGCTAATAAATGAGTTAAGTTGCAGAATACAAGATTAATATACAAAATCAATTATATTTCTATACACTAGCAACTATCTGAAAATGAAAAAAAAAAATTCATTAACTCAAATTCATTGCTGGTGGGGATGTAGAATGGTACAGTCATTTGGAAAACAGTTTGGCAGCTTCTGACAAAGCTAAACACACCCTCGCCACATGATCCAGCAGTCATGCTCCTTGGTATTACCCAAATGAGTTGAAACTTTTGTTCACACAAAAACTTGCATACACATGTTTGTAGCAGCTCTATTCATATTGCTAAAACTTGGGAAAGCTACTAAGATGTCCTTCAGTAGGTGAATGAATAAATTGTGGTACATCCAGACAATGGATTATTATTCAATGCTAAAAGTAAATAAATTATCAAGCCACAAAAGATATGGAGGTGGCCGGGTATGGTGGCTCACACCTATAATCCTAGCACTTTGGAAGGCCAAGGTGAGCGTATCACTTGAGGTCAGGAGTTCGAGACCAGCCTGGCCAAATTGGTGGAACCCCGTCTCTACTAAAAATACAAGTTAGCTGGGCATGGTGGCGGGCACCTGTAATTGCAGCTACTTGGGAGGCTGAGGCAGGAGAATCACTTGAACCTGGGAGGCAGAGGTTGCAGTGGGCCAAGATCGAGCCACTGCACTCCAGCCTGGACAACAGAGCGAGACTCTGTCTCAAAAAAAAAAAAAGAAAGAAAGAAAGAAAGACATGGAGGAATTGTAAATGCATATCACTAAGCAAAAGAAGCCAATCTGAAAAGGCTACATACTGTATAGTATAACACTCTGGAAAAACTATGGAGACAGTGGAAAGATCAGTGGTTGACAAAGTTTTTGGAGGAGAGAGGAATGAATAGGTGTGGTGCAGTGGATCTTTAGAGCAGTGATACTATTCTGTATGACATTATAATGGTATCAACATGTCATTATACATTTGTCAAAACACATAGAATGGCCGGGCGTGGTGGCTCACGCCTGTAATCCCAACAACTTGGGAGGCTGAGGCAGGAGGATAACTTGAGTCTAGGAGTTTGAGAGCAGCCTGGGTAACATGGTGAAACCCTGTCTCTACAAAAAATACAAAAAGTAGGTAGGCATGGTGGCACGTGCCTGTAGTTCCAGCTACTCAGTAGGCTGAGGTGGGAGGATGGCTTGAGCCTGAGAGGGTGAGACTGCAGTGAGCTGTGATTGTGTCACTGCACTCAAGCCTGGGTGACATAGTGAGACCCTGTCTCAAAAAAAAAGAGAAGTTACACACACACACACACACACAATTCCATTTACAATAGCATCAAAAAGAATTAAATATTCTTTTTTATTTTTAGTTACTTAAAAATATTTATGAAGGCTGGGTGCAGTGGCTCATGCCTGTAATCCCAGCACTTTGGGAGGCCGAGGTGGGCGGATCACCTGAGGTCGGGCATTCGAGACCAGCCTGACCAGCATGGAGAAACCCCGTCTTTACTAAAAATACAAAATTAGCCGGGTGTGGTGGTACATGTCTGTAATCCCAGCTACTTGGAAGGCTGAAGCAGGAGAATTGCTCGAACCCGGGAGGCTGAGGTTGCAGTGAGCTGAGATTGTGCCACTGCACTCCAGCTTAGGCAACAAGAGTGAAACTCTGTGTCAAAAAAAAAAAAATTACGAATAAATTTAACAAAACAAGTGCAAGACTTTTACACTGAAAAAAGAAACATTGTTGAAAGAAATTAAAGCCCAAAATAATGAAAAAATATCCTGTGTTCCGGTGGCTCACACCTGTAATCCCAGCACTTTGGGAGACCGAGGTGGGCAGATCAGAGGTCAGGAGATTGAGACCATCCTGGCTAACACGGTGAAACCCCGTTTCTACTAAAAAAAAATACAAAAAATTAGCCGGGCGTGGTGGCAGGCGCCTGTAGTCCCAGCTACTCGTGAGGCTGAGGCAGGAGAATGGCGTGAACCCAGGAGGGGGAGGTTGCAGTGAGCCGAGACTGCGCCACTGCACTCCAGCCTGGGCGATAGAGTGAGACTCTGTCTCAAAAAAAAAAAAAAAAATCCTGTGTTCACAGATTGGAAGACTTAATATGATTAAGCGAGGGCCAGGTGTGGTGGCTCACACCTGTAATCCTAGCACTTTGAGAGGCCAAGGTGGGTGGATTGCTTGAGTCCAGGAGTTTGAAACCAGCCTGGGCAATATGGCAAAACCTTGTCTCTACTAAAAATATGAAAATTAGCCGGGCATGGTGGTGTGCACCTGTAGTCCCAGAGACTCAGGAGGCTGAGGTGGGAGGATCACCTGAGCCCAGGGAGGTCAAGGCTGCAGTGAGCTGAAATCATGCCACTGCATTCCAGCCTGGGCAATTGGAGTGAGACCCTGTCTCAAAAAAATAAAAAATAATATTATTAAGATGGTAATGCTCCATAAATTGATCTGAAGATTAAATGCAATTCCAACAAAATCCCAGCTGCCTTCTTTGCAGAAATTGACAAGATGATCCTAAAATTCATTTGAAATGCAAGGAACCCAGATTGTTGCATTGAAAAGAACAATCTTGAAAAGAACCAATTTGGAGGACTCACACTTTCTAATTCAAAATAAAACAGGCAGAAGACCCCTCGCAGTGGCTCATGCCTGTAATGTCAACACGTTGGGAGCCAAAGGTGGGAGGATCGCTTGAGCCCAGGAGTTTGAGACCAGTCTGGGCAACAGAGCAAGACTCCCATCTAAATAAAAAATTAGCCAGGCATGGTGGCATGAGCCTGTAGTCTCAGCTACTCAGGAGGCCAAGGTGGAAGAACTGCTTGAGCCCAGGTGCTGAAGGCTGCAGTGAGCTGCAATTGTGCCACTGCACTCCAGCCTGGGTAACAGAGCAAGACCCTGTCAGTAAGAAAATAAATAAATAAAACAAAATTTTAAAATAGCTGGGCATAGTGGTTCATGCCTGTAATCCCAGCTACTGGGGACACTGAGGGTGCTTGAGGCCAGGCATTGGAGACCAGCTCGAGCAACATAGTGAGACTCTGTCTCTAAACAAAACGCAAAAATTAGAAGACCTAAAACTAAGGCAACAAAATTTATAATGACATCAGCAAAAATGGTAGGACCTCCAAAAATTTGTCTCTGTATAAAGGCAATGAAAACACTGGCAAGGCCGGGTGTGGTGTCTCACGCCTGTAATCCCAGCACTTTGGGAGGCTGAGGCTGGAGGATTGCTTGAGCCCAGGAATTTGAGACCAACCTGGGCAACGTAGTGAGACCTCATCGCTACAAGTAATTTAAAAATTGGCCAGGTGGCTGGGCACGGTGGCTCACGCCTGTAATCCCAGCACTTTGGGAAGCCGAGGCGGGCAGATCACCTGAGGTCAGGAGTTCAAGACCAGCCTGACCAACATGGAGAAATCCCATCTCTACTAAAAATACAAAATTAGCCAGACGTGGTGGCCTCATGCCTGTAATCCCAGGTACTTGGGAAGCTAAGGCAGGAGAAGCACTTGAACCTGGGAGGAAGAACTTGCAGTGAGCCGAGATCACACCATTACACTCCAGCCTGGGCAACAAGAGTGAAATTCCATCTCAAAAAAAAAAAAAATAGCCAGCCAAAAAAAAAAAAAAATGGCCAGGCATGGTGGCTCATGCCTGTAGTCCCACCTACTTGGAAGGCTGATGTGGTAGGATACCTTGAGCCTGGGAGGCGGAGGTTGCTGTGAGCTGAGATTGTGCCACTGCACTCCAGCCTGGGTGACAGAGTGACACCCTGTCTCAAAAAAAAAAAAAAAAAAAAGATGAAAACACAGGCAAAAAATATGGATTCAAATTACTATCTGGAGTTGCTTGTTTTCAGGCTAAAAAGTTTTCCTTTAGTATTTCTTGTAAGGCAGCCTAGCAACAAATTCTCTGTTTTTGTTTATCTGGGAATGTCTTTATTTCGCCTTCTTCTTCTTTTTTTTTTTTTTTTATACAGAGTCTCGCTCTGTCACCCAGGCTGGAGTGCAGTGGCGCCATCTCGGCTCACTGCAAGCTCCGTCCCGCTGGTTCACGCCATTCTCCTGCCTCAGCCTCCCGAGTAGCTGGGACTACAGGTGCCCACCACCACACTCGGCTAATTTTTTTGTATTTTTAGTAGAGACGCAGTTCACCGTGTTAGCCAGGATGGTCTTGATCCCCTGACCTCGTGATCCGCCCACGTTGGCCTCCCAAAGAGCTGGGATTACAGGCATGAGACACCACACCCAGCCTATTTCACCTTCATTTTGAAAGGTGGCTCTACTGAATATAATATTCTTTTTTTTTCTTTTCTTTCTTTTTGAGGCAGGGTCTTGCTCTGTTGCCCAGGCTGGAGTACAGTGCCATGATCAAGCTCACGGTTATCTTGAACTCCTGGGCTCCAGCAACTCTCCCGCCTCAACCTACACAGTAGCTGGGACTATAGGTGCTCACCACCATGCCCAGCTAATTTTTAATTATTTTGTAGAGGCAGGGGTTCTTGCTATGTTGTCCAAGCTGGTCTTGAACTCCTGGTCTCAAGTGATCCTCCTGCCTCAGATTCCCAAAGTGCTGGGATTACAGGTGTGAGCCACCATGCCTGGCCTAATATTCTTAATTGACATTTTTTTTGAGCTCTTTGAACATGCTCTTTTTTTTTCTTTTTTTGAGATAGAGTCTCATTCTGTTGCCCAGGCTGAGTGCAGTGGTGCGATCTCGGCTCACTGCAACCTCCACCTCCCAGGTTCAAGCAATTCTCCTGCCTCAGCCTCCCAAGTGGCTGGGATTCAGGCGTCTGCTGCCACGCCCAGATAATTTTTTTGTACTTTTAGTAGAGACGGGGTTTCACTATGTTTGCCAGGCTGGTCTCCAACTCCTGACCTCAGGTGATCTGCCCGGCCTCCCAAAGTGCTAGGATTACAGGCATGAGCCACCTCGCCTGGCCTGAACATGCATTCTTACTACCTTCTGGCCTCCATTGTTGCTGATAAGAAGCCACCTGTAGCCCGGTGCGGTGTCTCACGCCTGTAATCTCAGCACTTTAGGAGGCCGAGGCGGGCAGATCACGAAGTCAGGAGTTTGAGACCAGCCTGCCCAACATGGTGAAACCCCATCTCTACTAAAAATACAAAAATTAGCTGGGCATGGTGGCGCGTGCCTGTAATCCCAGCTACTCAGGAGGCTGAGGCAGGAGAACTGCTTGAACTGGGACCCGGAAGGTGGAGGTTGCAGTGAGCCGAGATTGCACCATTGCACTCCAGCCTGGGCAACAAGAGTGAAACTCCGTCTAAAAAAAAAAAAAAAGAAGCTACCTGTAAGGCTTATTGGCATTGGCATTCATTGTCAAGTGATGAGTCATATTATTTCTCTTGCTGCTTTCAAGATTTTTCTTTGTCTTTGCCTTTCAGAATTCTTAATATAATGTTTTGGTTCATTGATCTTTTTGTGTTTACCCTACTTGGATTTCAGTGAGTGTCTTGGATGTATTAACACTTTATAGCAAATTTCAGACGTTTTCAGCCATTATTTCTCTGAGTATTTTGTTCTGTTCCTTTCTCTCTACCTTCTCCTTCTGATATTCTTATGCATATAATTGGTATATTTAACAGTGTCCAACATTCCTCTGAGGCTATGTTTGTTTTTCTTCATTCTTCTTTCTCTCTGTTCTTTTGATGGCATAATCTCTGTTGATCTACATTCAAGTTTTCTTTTTTTTTATTCTGCCAGTTAAATCTACTGTTGAGATCATCTAATAAAATTTTCATTTCAATTATTACACTTTTCAACTCCCAAATTTCCATTTGATTCTTTTTTTTTTTTTTTTGAGATAGAGTCTCACTCTGTTGCCCAGGCTGGAATGCAGTGGCATGATCTCAGCTCACTACAACCTCTGCCTCCCAGGCTCAAGTGGATTCTTGGGCCTCAGCCTCCCAGGTAGCTGGGATTACAGGCATGTGCCACCACACCTGGCTAATTTTTGTATTTTTAGTAGAGACGAAGTTTCGCCATGTTGGCCAGGCTGGCCTTTAACTCCTGACCTCAAATTGTCCACCCACCTCGGCCTCCCAAAGTGCTGGGATTACAGGCATGAGCCACTGCGCCTGGCCCATTTGATTGTTTTTTTAAAAATAATTTCTGAGCTGGGCACAGTGGCCCAAGCCTGTAATCCCAGCAGTTTGGGAGGCCAAGGCAGGAGGATTGCTTGAGTTCAGGAGATAAAGACCAGCCTGGACAAATCGAGACCCTGTCTCTATAAATGTACAAAAAAGGGCCAGGCGCAGTGGCTCACGCCTATAATGCCAGCATTTTGGGAGGCTGAGGTGGGCAGGTCACGAGGTCAGGAGATCCAGACCATCCTGGCTAACACGGTGAAACCCTGTCTCTACTAAAAATACAAAAAATTAGCTGGGCATGGTGGTGGGCGCCTGTAGTCCCAGGTACTCAGGAGGCTGAGGCAGGAGAATGGCATGAACCTGGGAGGCAGAGTTTGCAGTGAGCCAAGATGGTGCCACTGCACTCCACCCTGGGCGACAAGAGTGAGACTCCGTCTCAAAAAAAACAAAACAAAAACAAAAAATTACAAAAAAGGCTGGGCACAGTAGCTTATGCCTGTAATCCCAGCACTTTGGGAGGCCAAGGCAGGAGGATCACCTGAGGTCAGGAGTTTGAGACCAGCCTGGCCAACATGGGGAAACCCCGTCTCTACTAAAAATACAAAAATTAGCTGGGCGTGGTGATGGGCGCCTGTAATCCCAGCTATTCAGGAGGCCGAGGCAAGAGAATCGATTGAACCCAGGAGGCGGAAGTTGCAGTGAGCTGAGATCATGCTACTGCACTCCAGTCTGGGCAACAGAGCAAGACTCTGTCTAAAAAAAAAAAAAATAGCTGGGTGTGGTGGCTGAGGTGAGAGGATCGCCTGAGCGCAGGAAGTCGAGGCTGCAATGAGCTGTGATCACTCCACTGTACTCCAGCCTGGGGAACAGAGGCTGTTTCTAAAAAAATTTTAAATAATAATAATTTCTATCTATCTTTTTTTTTTTTTGAGATGAAGTGTCTCTCTGTCACCCAGGCTGGAGTGCAGTGGTGTGCCGGCTCACTGCAACCTCCACCTTTTGGGTTCAAGCGATTCTCCTGCCACAGCCTCCCACATAGCTGGGATTACAGGCATGCGCCACCTCGCCCGGCTAATTTTTGTATTTTTAGTAGAGACGGGGTTTCACCATGTTGGCCAGGCTGGTCTCTAACTCCTGACCTCAAGTGATCCACCCACCTTGGCCTCCCAAAGTGCTGGGATTACAGGCGTGAGCCGCCATGCCCAGTGTCTATTAACTGATATTCTCTATTTGATGGGACATTTTCATCACACCTTCCTTTACTTCTTTTTTTTTTTTGAGGTGGGATCTTGCTCTATCATCATCCAGGCTGGAGTGCAGTGGCTCAATCTCAGCTCACTGCAGCCTTGACTGCCCAGGCTTAAGTGATCTTCCCACCTCAGCCTCCCAACTAGCTGGGACCAGGGGCACATGCCACCACACCCAACTAGATTATTAAATTATTTGTAGAGACGGGGTCTCACTATGTTGCCCAAGCTGGTCTCGAACTCCTGGGCTCAAGCGATCCTCCCACCTCAGCCTTCCAGAGTGCTGGGATTACAGGTGTGAGCTACAGTGCCCAGCCCCTTTACTTCTTTAATCATGGTTTTCTCTAGTTATTTGAAAATATTCATAATGATTGCTTTAAAGTCTTTCCATTAAATCTGACATCTGAGCTTTCTCACAGGTAGTTTCTATTGCCTGTTTTTTCCCCTGGGGTTTGGGTCAGACCTTCCTGTTTCTTTGCATGTCTTCTATGTAATTTGTTATTGGAAACTGGACATTTTAGGTGATATATTGTAAAACTTCGGGCACTGGTTTCTCTGTTCCATGGCTTGTTATTGGTTTTTGTTTATTTGTTTGGTGACTAGTGGATTATTTAGTGAAGTCTACACTCATCGGCCCCCACCCCAATCCCGATCACCACCCATAGTGTGCAGCCTCTTATGTTGCTCCCCAGAGGGCACAGCCTTGGGTATGCCCACAGTCACCCTGGGATGGCAGTGATTCTGGCAGGACTTGATCTCATTCCCTGACCACATACAGCTGTTACACTCCGCTAATTGCTGTCTGATTGCTCTACTGTTTTCAACAATTCCTTGGGGTACAAATTGCTCTACAGAGGAATCCAATTGAATCTGGGCTTTTTTGAAGGAATCTCTCTCTCTCTCTTTTTTTTTCTTTTTCTTTCTTTTTTCTTTTTCTTTTTTTTTTTTTTTTTTGAGGCAGTCCCGCTCTGTCCCCCAGGCTGGAGTGCAGTAGTGTGATCTCAGCTCACTGCAACCTCTGCCTCCTGGGTTCAAGTGATTCTCCTGCCTCAGCCACCCAAGTAGCTGAGATTACAGACGTGTGCCACCACACCTGGCTAATTTTTATATTTTTAGTAGAGATGGAGTTTCGCCATGTTGGCCAGGCTGGTCTTGAACTCCTGGCTTCCAGTGATTCTCCCGCCTCTGCATCCCAAAGTGCTGGGACTACAGGTGTGAGCCACCGTGCCTGGCCTGAAGGGATATCTCTTTAGGTCAATGATTGAGACTTGTGACTCCAGAATGGCTCTTAACTGTATCTTTCCTTGGTCCTGTCTAGTAAACTAGCCAACTTATGGTTTTGCTTCTATCTCTGATTTATTTTCTCAATTCCTCTTAATGGCATTTGTTTTTAAAATCAGAACCTCCATTGTTTCTGAGAGCACCATTAGGCTTGAACTTCTCCACATTCTTGCAAACAAAGTCAATTTGTTTGGGAAAAAATCTGAAGCTCCCGGCCTTCCCCTTTACCCAGGCAAAAATCTCTGAGCCACAGCTCTGGAGCTGGGGTCAGGGACAATGGCCCATCTCTTGCTGAGTGACACACCTGCTGTAAGAGATTGTCACTCTGTGGAGAGTAGGGAAGTAGTCTTCTTGGCTTGCCTCTGCCTTATGAGCCAGAATTAAGACAATCAGGGCCCCGGTATTTTCAGTGGCACCACACACAATGTAGTGTCTCTATTCCCTGCCTGAGGCCTAGGTGCACTAACAGAGCTACCATCTTGGCCATACTCATATAGGGCTTAGCCTCCGCAACCGGTAGCTGGGAGCCGGGTGGAAAATGCCGGCATTCTATCCCTCTTGGGAAGACAGTTCTCCAACTGGGAGCTAGTTGGAGAGGGAATCCTTTGTTCTTGGCTGAACCAGTCTGGAGTGGACTTTCCATCTCACTGAACTGGGAAGGAGAAAGAAGGAATGCATGTTGGTTTAAATATCATAGCTTTGATTAGTCCTACCAAGTTTTAGTAGATTTACTTGAATAAATATTTACTCATTTTCTGAATGCACTTAGGACCATTTCCAGAGGCTTTATTATTATTATTATTATTTAATTTTTTTGAGACTGAGTCTCACTCTGTCGCCCAGGCTGGAGTACAGTGGCGTGATCTTGGCTCACTGCAACCTCCACCTCCCAGGTTCAAGCAATTCTCATGCCTCAGCCTCCCAAGCAGCTGGGACTACAGCCTCCATGCCTGGCTAATTTTTGTATTTTTAGTAGAGACAGGGTTTCACCATGTTGGCCAGGCTGGTCTCAAATTACTGACCTCAGGTGATCCGCCCACCTTGGCCTCCCAAAGTGCTGGGATTACAGGTGTGAGCCACTGTGCCCAGCCTGTGTTTCTATTTTTGAGACAGGGTTTTTCTCTGTTGCCCAGGCTGGAGTGGAGTGGCATGATCATAGCTCACTTCAACCTTGAACTCCTGGGCTAAAGTGATCCTCTCACCTTGGCCTCCAGAAGTGCTGGGATTACAGGCATGAGCCACCACACCTGGCCCTGGATAGTTTTTTTAACATTTCTCCTCTCCCCGTCCCCACTGCAAGTCCTGGTTTAGCCCCTCCCAGCCTCCTGCCCCACCCCTTCTGAGGCAGCCAGTGCTGTGGCTTCAGTGGCTGGTCTAAAACATGCACTGGCGGCCAGGTGCCGTGGCTCACTCCTGTAATCCCAGCACTTTGGGAGGCTGAGGCAGGCAGATAACCTGAGGTCATGTATCCCTAGCATCTAGAAGAATACCTCTGATACAGTAGGTGCCAAAAAATGTGAGGAATGAGACAAGGACCTATGGTATAGCTGGAGAAAGATGTGCTTGCAAGAGGGTCACAAAAGATGACAAAAGAGTGTATTTAGCCTTGCTTCCCCAAAGGCTGAGCTGAGTGGAGGTCCTTTATGAGGAAGGAAACCCCAGCTGGGAGTGAGGCAGAAGTAGGAGAGGCCTGGGCAGGCAAGAGTTGTCAAAGTGGAGGAGCTGGCTGGCGTCTGGGAAAAGCCAGCAGAGTGTCTCCCAGAGCTGTACACATGCCAGACAGGTGACTGGAACAACTTTCTTTTTATTTATTCATTTTGAGACAGGTTCTTGTCCTGCTGCCCAAGCTGGAGTGCAGTGGTGCAGTCATGGCTCATGGCAGCCTCAACTTCCTAGTCTCAAGTGATCCACCAATCTCAGCCTCCTGAGTATCTGGGACCACAGGTGTGCACCACCATGCTCAGCTAATTTAATTTTTTGTAGAGATAGTGTCTCACTATGTTGCCCAGGCTGGTCTCAAACTCCTTGCCTCAAGTGATCCTCCTGCCTCGACCTCCCAAAGTGCTAGAATTACAGGTGTGGGCTCTTCAGAGGCATTTACTGAGATGGAATATGAGGCCAACACCTGTGGAAGGAAGGAGGCGGAAGCAGGATGGGGCAGGAGAACTTGAACAGTGATGGGCACCCAACAAAGTCTTGGAGAAGTTAGACAGTCGGACAGAGTCTCACATGAGATGGAAATGGCCAGTTCTTTATAGCCCCTGCTTTGCTCAGTCACCAGATGAAGGCTGCCTTAGGAAGGGTGTGACCTCAGGTGAGGCTGTATGCAGCCGTGCTGGGCCCTGCAGGAACAGAGAGCTGGAGGGTGTCTGGTGACTGCTCTTCCCCTGGGTCCTGCTGAAAGGGATGTGGTGGTGCCGTCTGTGTGTACTTACAAGGGTGTGCTCAGGGAAGGCCTGAAGGAGTTCAAGGAAGCGTGCTCTGCAGACACCTGGGGGAATAGCTCATAAACAAAGGGAACAGAAGCACATGGCCCCTGAGTGTGCCCGTCTCTGAGGCCTGGAATAACAGCGCGGAGCCTGGTGGTGCCACAGTGAGTGGGGAACGGGTAAGGATTCCAAGCAGCCAGGGCTGTGAGGCCACTGTAGGACTCTGGCTTGCACTCTGATCTGCAGAGGAGCTGTGAAGGGATGAGGGCAGTGGGGACATTCCTTAAGTCAGGACAGCCTGAAGCAGGAGAGCCCATGAAGACTACCACTGGGCTCCAGAGAGATGAGCTAAGGGCAGGCTGGGGCAGGGGCAGCAGAGAGATTGCCAGATGCACGG
Organism: Homo sapiens; assembly: GCF_000001405.40. Taxonomy (NCBI): domain Eukaryota; kingdom Metazoa; phylum Chordata; class Mammalia; order Primates; family Hominidae; genus Homo; species Homo sapiens. Next base: position 47,522,393 of record NC_000003.12, on the reverse strand, counting down.
CAGATTCCGACCTCTGAGGACTGTCTGCGGTGAGCTCTGCCCACGTGCTGGCCATTGCAACTGTTTCCAGCACTCAGGACTTATGACTAAGAGCTTTAGCCAGTGTCTGCTGCCCTCTGGTGGGTGTGCTGGAGATAACCCAAGGCTGCTTCCCGCTTTTTTCTTTTGTCAACAGTTTATGGGTTCTACAGGTTCACCTTCAACTTTGTGGTATGAAAACTCTCTAGACTGGGCGTGGTGGCTCACACCTGTAATCTCAGCACTTTGGGAGGCTGAGATGGGAGGATCGCTTGAGCCCAGGAGTTCGAGACCAGCCTGGGCAATATGGCAAAACTCCATCACTATTATTATTATTATTATTTTTTTTTTTTGAGATGAAGTCTTGCTCTGTTGCCCAGGCTGGAGTGCAGTGGCGTGATTTTGGCTCACTGCAACCTTCAATCCCCAGGTTCAAGCAATTCTCGTGTCTTAGCCTCTTGAGTAGCTGGGACTACAGGCGCACACCACCACACCTGGCTGATTTTTGTATTTTTAGTAGAGACGGGGTTTCACCATGTTGGCCAGGCTGGTTTCGAACTCCTGACCTCAAGTGATCCGCCTGCTTCAGCCTCCTCAAGTGCTGGGATTACAGGTGTGAGCCACCACACCTGGCCCTTATCTCTATTATTAAAAAACAAAACAAAAACACAACCTCTTGTCACAGATGATAGAGGTGTCAGACAACAACCTATTGATGAGGCAGCAAGTCATCAACTGAGAGACAGGGAGGCACAGGGAGCCATAGTGTCCATGCAGCAGCGCGGGGACTGGGGCTGGCAGGGCCCGTGCTGTTTTCTAGAAGTGAGGGTCACCAGCACCTGGAAGAGAAGTGGGGCTACAGGATGCATCCAGGACGGGGAGCTGCAGAGCAGGTGCCATTCCCAGGAGGCCAACAAGATGAAGATGTTGAGGGTGCCTGCAAGAGAACTCTGAGTTCAAGGATAGTTCATAGATTCCTGCTAGGGATGGAAGGAAATGGAGCTAATGGAAAGAAAATGCAGATGATGAAGGCCTGTAGATCCAAAAGAAGCTGAATATATGGCGAACTGAGGGCGTGATGGGGACTGTGGACAGAAGGAGCTATGGGAACTGCAGAGCCATCGGAAGTGTGGCTGCCCTCGTGGCTGCTGGAACCCAGGCACCTGTGCTCACCCCTGCTGCCTCTGCTGAGACCGTCGCTGCCTGCTGCAGCCCAGTCACCCACTACTGATGCTGACCCTGCCAGGGGAGTGATCATGAACAGAAAAATTCCTTCTTCCTGCCTTCCAGTCTCCTTCCAGTGTCTCCCTGACAGAGCTGCATTAGAAACCAGCTGGAAAAGCAGTCTGGAAGATTTAGTTTACAAGCTTCCAGCCCACTTCAATACAGAGGAGAGCACTCAAGGCCAGGGGAGGTAGGAGCTTCCTAATTGCTATGTAAAATCCCCTTCACCCTTTTGTTCCTCCAGTCCTTTGAACACTATTCTTTCCTGCAGAGAAGCTGTTTGAATTTTCCATAGTTGCACTATGCTGTTCAACATGTGCATAAGCAACAATGGGGGCAAATCCAAGTATTCCAGGACCTGAAGCTTATACAATTGGAGGGGAGTTCTCTTTGACAAAAAGAATACAACATTATGAACAGTAGATTAGCTTTATTAGCTTTATGATAAATTCAACGCTGCCTATAACCCAACAATTCCACTCCAGATACTAGAGAAACTCTTGCATATGTTCACCAAGAGACATGGTTTAGTATGTTCATGAGGGCATCGTTTTTTGTTTTGTTTTGTTTTTAGGCAGTCTTGCTCTGTTGCCCAGGCTGGAGCATAATGGTACAATCTTGGCTCACTGCAAGCCCCTGTCTCCTGGGCTCAAGCCATCCTCCCACCTCAGCCACCTGAGTAGCTGAGACTACAGGCATGCACCACCATGCCTGGCTGATTTTTTTTTTTTTTTTGAGACGGAGTCTCGCTCTTTTGCCCAGGCAGGAGTGCAGTGGTGCGATCTCGGCTCACTGCAAGCTCCACCTCCTGGGTTCACGCCATTCTCCTGCCTCAGCCTCCGGAGTAGCTGGGACTACAGGCGCCAACCACCGTGCCCGGCTAATTTTTTGTATTTTTAGTAAAGATGGGGTTTCACCGTGTTAGCCAGGATGGTCTCGATCTCCTGACCTCGTGATCTGCCCGCCTCGGCCTCCCAAAGTGCTGGGATTACAGGCGTGAGCCACCGCGCCCAGCCTGCCTGGCTGATTTTTGTATTTTTAGTAGATACAAGGTTTCACCATGTTGCCCAGGCTGGTCTTGAACTCCTGGCCTCAAGTGAGTCACCCGCCTTGGCCTCCCAACCTGCTGGGATTACAGGCGTGAGCCACCGCGCCTGGCCAATGAGGGCATCTTTCTAATGGGAAAATAAGTAGAACTAATTCATCACTATCAAAACAAGAATGAATAAATATAGGAAGAATCAATATTGTATATTAAAAATATATTGATTATCCTCAACTATATCTAAGATTCAATATATATGGATTAGACTAGAACCAAAAAGTAATAAGAAGAAAGAAATGGAAGAAAAAAAAGGAAAAAAAAAGATAAAACATAATACCAATCAACTTACCAGCAAAGTTAAATGCAACATGCTATTCTAAAATTGATCTGTATTCCTTCACACCAAACACAAAAATCAATTGCAGGTAGATTAAAGACTTAAATGTGAAAAGAAATACTTTATAACTTTTCAAGAAAATATAAGAGAATATCTTTATGATATTTGGGGTAAGAAAGACCTTTTTTTAAAAACTCAATAAGCTCAAACAGTAAAGGAATATGTTCTTAACTTTGGATCTCAAAAGATAATCAAAGCAAAATAGAACAACGACAAAAAGATAATCCACAGACTTCCATTCCCAGCAAAGGACATAATCCATGAGAGATGGGAAAATAATGTGATGAACCTAGGATCGTCTACGTTCACACTACCTTGAAAGAATTTCCAGACAGTAAGGAGAAACTAAGGTGGAGCCTAGAATACTCCTTTTTTTTTTTTTTTTTTTTTTTTTTTTTGAGACTGAGTCTCGCTTTGTTGCCCAGGCTGGAGTGCAGTGGTGCAATCACAGCTCACTGTAGCCTCAGCCTCCCAGGCTCATGTAATCCTCCCACCTCAGCCTCCCAAGTAGCTGGGACTACAGGTGTGCACCACCATGCCCGCATGCTGTATTTTTCGTCTTTTTTTTTTTTTTTTTTGAGGCGGAGTCTCGCTCTGTTGCCCAGGCTAGAGTGCAGTGGCGCGATCTCGGCTCACTGCAAGCTCCACCTCCCGGGTTCACGCCATTCTCCTGCCTCAGCCTCCCGAGTAGCTGGGACTACAGGCGCCCGCCACTATGCCCAGCTAATTTTTTTGTATTTTTAGTAGAGACAGGGTTTCACCGTGTTAGCCAGAAGGGTCTTGATCTCCTGACCTTGTGATCCACCCGCCTCGGCCTCCCAGAGTGCTGGGATTACAGGTGTGAGCTACCACGCCTGGCCCTGGAATACTCCTTGAGTTGAAAAGACAGAGCTAAGGCCAGACGCGGTGGCTCACACCTGTAATCTCAGCACTTTGGGAGGCCGAGGCGGGCGGATCACGAGGTCAGGAGATCGAGACCATCCTGGTTAACGCGTTGAAACGCCGTCTCTACTAAAAATGCAAAAAATTAGCCGGGCATAGTGGGGGGCACCTGTAGTCCCAGCTACTCGGGAGGCTGAGGCAGGACAATGGCATGAACCCAGGAAGCGGAGCTTGCAGTGAGCCAAAATTGCGCCACTGCACTCCAGCCTGGGTGACAGGACGAGACTCTGTCTCAAAAAAAAAAAAAAAAAAAAAAGAAAAGAAAAGAAAAGACAGAGCTAAGAGTCTGGGGAAACCAAGGCAGCTGGAGTTCATAGGACAGAGCACCAGAGATGACAGTGTTGCACAGAGAGAGAACCTGGAGACTTGCAGAGGGTCACCAAGCATTCAGCATACAAGGAAACTACCAAGGCCAGAAAAAGGAGTATCAAAAAAGGGAACATTTTCAACCTGATAAAGGGCATCCATGAAAAACCCACAGCTAACATATATTTAATGGTGAAAGACTGAAAGCTTTGCCCTAAGATCAGAAATAAAAGATGTCTGCTCTCACCATTTCTAGCCACTGCACTCAAGCAAGAAAAGGAAATCAAAGGCATCTAGATTAGAAAGGAAGAAGAAAACTGTCTATTCATGGATGACATAATCATCTATACAGAAAATCCAAGGGAAATCTTCAAAAAGCTACTAGAATGAATAAGCAAGTTTAGCAAAGTTGCAGGATAAGATCAACATACAGAAATCAATTGTATTTTGGCCGGGCGCAATGGCTCATGCCTGTAATCTCAGCACTTTGGGAGGCCAAGCCAGGTGGATCACAAGGTGAGGAGATCGAGACCATCCTGGCCAACATGGTGAAACCCCATCTCTATTAAAAATACAAAAATTAGCTGGGCATGGTGGCACACGCCTGTAGTCCCAGCTACTCGGGAGGCTGAGGCAGGAGAATCACTTGAACCCAGCAGGCGGAGGTTGCAGTGAGCCAAGATTGCACCACTGCACTCCAGCCTGGCGACAGAGTGAGACTCCGTCTAAAAAAAAAAAAAAAAAGGACAAAATATTTGAATAGACACACTTCACCAAAGGCATATGGATGGCAAATAAGCACATGAAAAAATGAAAAATGCTCAACATCATTCATTACTACAGAAATGCAAACTAAAAGTGCAATGTGGTCAGGCACGGTGGCTCACGCCTGTAATCCCCGCACTTTGGGAGGCCGAGGTGAGTGGATCACTTGAGATCAGGCATTCGAGACCAGCCTGGCCAACATGGTGAAATCCTCTCTCTACTAAAAATACAAAAATTGGCCAGGCACAACGGCTCATGCCTGTAATCCCAGCACTTTGGGAGACCGAGGCAGGCGGATTGCCTGAGCTCAGGAGTTCAAGACCAGCCTGGGCAACCCGGTGAAACCCCATCTCTACTAAAATACAAAAAATTAGCCGGGCATAGGATGTGCCTGTAGTCCCAGCTACTCGGGAGGCTGAGGCATGAGAATTGGTTGAACCCAGGAGGCAGTGGAGGTTGCAGTGAGCCGAGATCGTGCCACTGCACTCCAGTCTGGGCCACAGAGTGAGACTCTGTCTCCAAAAAACAAAAACAAAAAACAAAAAAATAAAAACACAGAAATTAGTTGGATGTGTGGTGGACGTCTGTAATCCCAGCTACTCAGGAGGCTGGGGTAGGAGAATTGCTGGAACCTGGGAGGTGGAGGTTGCAGTGAGCTGAGATCACAGACTATACTCCAGCCTGGGCGATAGGGCAAGACTCTGTCTTAAAAAAAAAAAGAAGAAAGAAAAAGAAAAGAAAAGAAAAAGCAGTGTAATATCAGGGTGGCTAAAATTAAAAAGATTGACCATACCACCTATTGCCAAGGAACTGGAGCCCTTATACATTGCTGGTGGGAATGTAAAATGGTACAACCACTTTGGAAAATAATCACCCAGGCTGGAGTGCAATGGCGAGATCTCGGCTCACTGCAACCTCTGCCTCCCGGGTTCAAATGATTCTCCTGCCTCAGCCTCCCGAGTAGCTGGGATTACAGACATGTGCCACTAAGCCCAGCTAATTCTTGTATTTTTAGTAGAGCCAGGGTTTCACCATGTTGGCCAGGCTGGTCTCAAACTCCTGACCTCAAGTGATCTGCCCACCTCAGCTTCCCAAAGTGCCAGGATTACAGGCATGAGCCACCGTGCCCGGCCCAATGCCTGGCAGTCTTTTAGGCACTGAGGAAATAACAGCAAAGAAGACAGGCAAAAATCCCTGTCCTCTTGCCTTCTGGTACTAAAGTTCAAATAAGGAAAGTAAGAAACGTAAAATTAGTTCAGACTGTGAAAACCTGTCCTGCTATTTTCTCATCACAGATAATAGATGTGCAGGCTGGAGTGCAATGGCGCGATCTCAGCTCACTGCAACCTCCATCTCCCAGGTTCAAGGTCTCCCACGTAGCTGGGATTAAACATGCTGCAGCTGTAGTCTCATAAATAACCCCTTTCTTTGAGAGACTACCGCTTTTTTTCTTTTTCTTTTCTTCCTTTTCTTTTCTTTTTTTTTTTTAAGACAGAGTCTTGCTCTGTCGCACAGTCTGGAGTGTAGTGGTGTGATCTCGGCTCATTGCAGCCTCCACCTCCTGGCTTCAAGTAATTATCTTGCCTCAGCCTCCCATGTAACATGAGCCACCTCACTCGGTGGCGACTACTGCTTTCTTAGCAAGAAACTTTGTTCTCTAAAATTAAAACTTTGCTGCTTGACATCATGTCTATTCCCTCCAGGCAATGACCACCAGGAATATACTTATTACTGAAAACACTAAGTTTATTACTCATTGCTATGAGGGAGAATGTACACCATGGGGGAACCATGGGGTGTCTCATTAAGAGAGTGTTAGAAAATAATTATAGGATTTGGGCTTGTTAAGTGATTTAGGGGAGGGTTTAAGGAAGTACAGCTTTGCTTGGAGATGGAGGCTGTCAGAAGATTGGGGTAATTCTATGATTAGGTACCCTGATATATCTTATTTACAGGGAGGCATCTTTGCAAAGCCAGTATGTGATAAACAACTGGTATCAGGCCAAAAAAAAAAAAAAAAGAACTTGTATCAGGCTAAAGAGATTGGTAAAGAAGTGGTACTCTTATTTGCTGGGAAATGAGATGTTTGGTTGTGGCTTGGACAATGTACATGTTTTGTGTTCAACATGATTATGGAGTGTTCTAGTTTTGTCTTGATCCGTCACAATCAGTCTGATGTTGGTGTTTTATGAAATTGTTTATGCTCAACAGGAACACCAAGACCTAGCTGTGAGTGTCAGGCCAATTTTTTTTTCTCTTTCTCACATTTCAATAAGCATGAAACATCTCATTCTTGGCTGAAGGATCTACATCCCTTTGACACAGAGAAGCAGCCTTGATTTCCATCCCAGGTGCAGAGCTTCAGCTAACGATTACATTCCACATCGATCTTAACCTTGTAGTTTCCACAGAAATGACCCTGGGTCCCCTTTGCAGTCCACGCCAGATTAGGACTCCACACACAGCTGTGCTGTGCTTTGAGCATATCAAACACCGGTTCACTTAAATTTCACCTGAATTCGACTCTTTCCCAAATCATATAACAATTATTTTAGTGACTGTCAATAAACTTGACTTTGGTGGAATTACAGGTTTGTCCACTGATCTGAGGCTGATTGGGCTAGAACAAAACTATATACGGTATAATAGATATAAATGTTATGGAAAAAAATAAAAGCAAGGAAAAAGAAGTGTTGGGAAAGGGACAGTTTGTGATTTAAGTAAGGTGCTCAGGGAAGGCCTCACGAATAAAGTGACATCGGAGCAGAGACCTGAAGGAAGTGGGGAATTTTAAAATCAGCTTAATATCTGGGAAAAGGGGCATTCCAGGAAGAGGGAAGAGTTAGTATAAAGGCTCTGAGGACAGGCATACAGGGCGTGTTGCAACCACACTGTTTTTTAACGAAGTCTCACACTGCTGCCCAGGCTAGAGAGCAATGGCGTGATCTCGGCTTACTGCAACCTCTGCCTCCCAGGTTCAAGCGATTCTACTGGCTCAGCCTCCCGAGTGGCTGGGATGACAGGCGCCCCCCACCACGCCAGGCTAATTTTTTGTATTTTTAATAGAGAAGGGGGTTTCACTATATTGGCCAGGCTAGTCTCGAACTCCTGACCTCGTGATCCCTCCGTCTAGGCCTCCCAAAGTGCTGGCATTACAGGTGTGAGCCACCGCGCCCAGCCGCAACCACACTTTCTTAGTGAGACCCACCCTGACAACCTCTTTAATTCTGGAACCTACCCCTGCCCCCATTGGTACTCTCTAATCCCACTTTGCTTTTCTCCACACAACTTTTCAAGATATAATTCCGTGTCGGCCGGGCGTGGTGGCTCATGCCTGTAATCCCAGCACTTTGGGAGGCCGAGGCCGGCGGATCACGAGGTCGGGAGATCAAGACCATCCTGGCTAACACGGTGAAACCCCGTCTCTACTAAAAATACAAAAAATTAGCCGGGCGTGGTGGCGGGCGCCTGTAGTCCCAGCTACACTCGGGAGGCTGAGGCAGGAGAATGGCGTGAACCCAGGAGGCGGAGACTGTAGTGAGCCGAGATCGCGCCACTGCACTCCAGCCTGGGCGACAGGGCAAGACTCCGTCTCAATTAAATAATAATAATAATAATAATAATAATAATAATAATAATAAATTCCCTGTCCTTTGTTTTTGTTCATCGATGTAGCCCAAGCTCCCAGGAGTGTGGGGCATACAGAAGGCGCTTGACAGCCACGTGTGGAGAAAAGGAGCCCGGGGCTGGGCAGAGAGCGAGGCCAAGGGAAGAAGAATACTCGGTCGCGTGGAGCCTTGGGGGCCCACTGGGAGGGCTCGGGCGCCACGCAGATCTGCGCGGAATGAGCCGCCAGAGGCCGCTGGCAGTCGCACAGAGAAGCCCATCGTTTCCTACCACCTGGGACTCGACGGACGTCTACGCGCGTGCGCAGCGGTCCCATCGAGGCACCCGCCTCATTGGCTGTGGCTGGCTCGCAAAAGTGGCATTGCGCATGCGCGCTTCCTTGCGCGAGCCGGGCTGTCGGGTGTGTTTTGCTCTCCAGCCTCCGTCGTCTCTGCAGCACTCCGGGTTCTCCTCCAGAGCGCTAGTCCCAGGAGCTCGGAATGTTCGTGGAACTTAATAACCTGCTTAACACCACCCCCGACAGGGCGGAGCAGGTAAGAGGTCCCGCTGGCCGGAAGGGGGCGGGACCTGGCAGGGCAGCGGAATACTGCATCCGGGAGGCGGTGCGCACGACCCCGGGGAATGGCGCGACGACCCGGCACGGGGTACCTGGGAGTTGTAGTCCGCAGAGGATCGACCCGGGGATTGGACTGGAGGCTTGGGCCCGCCGAAAGTGGGCTTCTGGGCCATCTCGCATATTCTCAACGGCTGTGCGTGTCCTTAAAAGTCCCTGGGAAGCGGCCGGGCGCGGTGGCTCACCCCTGTAATCCCAGCAGTTTGGGAGGCCGAGGCGGGTGCATCATCTAAGGTCAAGAGTTCGAGACAAGTCTGGCCAAGATGGTGAAACCCCCGTCTCTACGAAAAATACAAAAATTAGCCGGGCGTGGTGGCTCATGCCTGTAATCTCAGCTACTCGGGAGGCTGAGACAGGAGAATTGCTTGAACCCGGGAGGCGGAGGTTGCAGTGACCCGAGATCTCGCCACCGCACTCCAGCCTGGGCGACAGAGCGGGACTCCACCTCAAAAAAAAAAAAAAAAAGTACCTGGGAAGCATGGCCGACAGTGGGGTTGGGTTATATTCGCGGACGTGAACTGTGGCGCGCTGTGCATGTTCACTGGGGTGGGGGGTCCCAGGCGCTCAGAGGAGACTGCAGAATAGGCCCGAGAGGAGAGGGGAGTTCGTTTCGCCGCCGTCTTCATGGGCGAGCTTCCTAACCGCCACCTCGCCCCGGAGCAATTGGCACATTGTATTGAACGCTGCTGTTCTTCTTACTCTTCCTCCTTGTGATCTCTAATAGAACTGTTAGAAGCAGGACAGAGCCAAATTGGCTTGGACCAAGTCCGTCTTGGGCACCCCAGGCTGGCCTGTTCTCTCCACCCTCCTCACACTCCGGGGTACCTTGAAACCTTTCACATTTTAACGTAGGAGTAACCTCTTTCAGGAGTGTATCTTTTGGCTTATTTATTTATTTATTTATTTTTGATGGAGTCTCGCTCCCTCGCCTGGGCTGGAGTGCACTGGCGCGATCTCGGCTCCCTGCAACCTCACCTCCCGGGTTCAAGTGATTCTCCTTATTCAGCCTCCCAAGTAGCTGGGATTGCAGGCGTGCGCTACCACACCGGGCTAATTACTTGGCTGATTTTTTTTTGTATTTTTTGTTAGAGACGGGGTTTCACCATGTTGGCCAGGCTGGTCTGGAACTCCTGACCTCAGGTGATCCGCCCGCCTCTGCCTCCCAAAGTGCTGGGATTACAGGCGTGAGCCACCACGCCCAGCCTGGTTTATTCATAATCTTTGTCTTCCTAATGAAATGGTAAACTCCTCCAGGCAACCAGGATACTAAGTGTCTAAAGCCTTTTTATGACCCCATAGCGCCAAATTGTAGCTTTCAGTAGATCCTTGTGGATTTTAGTTGCCAGGCAGTTCTTGTCCAGATGACTCTGATTACCTTGCCAGTTACCACTGGCACTTCCAAAGTCAGCCTAGGGCCAGGTGAAAGAATGGAGTAATCAAGTGGGCACCAGGAAATGACAGCACTAGGGGTAACACTGAAGGTCTGACGATGTGATCTTTCACATTTTGTAAGTGAAAAAACCTGAAGCCCAGAGAAGTTAAGGCATTTGTGGAAGGTCACACGGCAAGGAGGTGGCATGCATGATATCACTTGATCCTGACCTTCCCTGTCACTGACAGAAATAGAGGTGAATGGAGCAGGACAGTCAGGCTCTGCAGAGACCACCCTTAGAGGTCTTTCTAGAGCTCTCCATGATCAGGCCTCTGAAGCAGGGCCATTGGGTGAACTTTGTTATCAGACATCTGTATCAGCAACTGCTTCTTCCTCCCTTCTCCCTCACCCTACAGAATAGAATTGGCATCAGAATATAAAGTAGTTGGCAGGGAGGCCTTTTGAAGGCCTCTTCCAGTCCTAGCAATCTGATTTTCACTGGAGTCTGATGGTAAAAGCATCCTTTGTTCAGGATCCAATTCTTCCTAAGACTGGTTCCTGAGTGACTAACATGAGAAGTGAGGAAGAGAAATAAGTTTATTCTCTGTTTGCTTTGAGGAGGTGGAGGCTGAGATATGCTTGCCTATCATGAGTAACAATAAGTGATAACTTTAGTCATGGATTTTCCATAATTTTGACTTATTTTCATCATTTCAGGGTACCTTAGCATGTATGTCATTAAAAAAATAAACTCTTCAGGTGGAGAAATTAAGGTGTGGACACAATTGACTAGATTTCTGCACTAAGCTGACCTCTTTCCAGGGAGTCTAACCTTTTTGTGTTCCTTGTAACTTTTAGGGGAAACTGACTCTACTCTGTGATGCCAAGACAGATGGGAGTTTCCTTGTACACCACTTTCTCTCCTTCTATCTCAAAGGTATGGGACTCATTGATGCTGTAGAAAAGAAACCCAAGATGGGTGCAGAAATAATAAAAACCAAAACTATTTAAGGAAGCAATAACAGCATTTACAAGCCAAGCCTTGGTGTTGGGATACCTAGGGGGGCTATTTTATTAGGATAACAGGTTACTAGGCCATCTCGTTCCTTCCCCAGCCCTGCCAAAGAGTGGCATGTGCTCACTGTTTCTGTGTCCTACCTTCCCCTTCTCCACCCACTGTGTGGACATTGCCTCACTGAGGTCCTATGTGGCCTCCTGATTTTGTTGCTCCTTGGTCTTTGTGTATCTCGAGGTCTCTGGGCACTCGACCCCATTGACACTTTGTCCTGGCAGTAGATGCTTCCTAAAGAACATGGCTGCTGCATGGCTGGGCGTAATGGCTCATTATCTATAATCCCAGCATTCGGGAGGCCCAGGTGGGAGGATGAGCTGCGGCCAGGGATTCGAGACCAGCCTGGGCAATATAGGGAGACCCTGTTTCTACAAAAAATGCAAAAATTAGCTGGGCATGCCTATAGTTCCAGCTACTCGGGAGGCTGAGGTGGTCAGATCACTTGAGGCCAGAGAGGTTTAGGCTGCAGTGAGCCATGATTGTGCCACTCTAGCCTGGACAACAGAGCGAGACCATCTCAAATGATAATAATAAGTACCTAGTACTACATCTAACAGAAGTATATCTTAGAACCAGTAAAATAAGATATAACTGTTAAATAAGAAAAAAAGTACATCTTAGAATCAAATTGCGTATGTCAGGTTGCAAAGCCTCTGGGTCTCTAGATTTGCCTCAGTGCTTTTTTTTCCAGAGGTATGAAATCAGTGAGTCTGGTTGTAACCAGAGGATTTATTTAAAATAATTGTTTTGTTTTCTAGCTAATTGTAAAGTCTGCTTTGTGGCACTCATCCAGTCCTTCAGCCACTACAGTATCGTGGGACAGAAGCTGGTAAATATTTTGGAGCTCCATGATGAGGTCCCTGAGTGAGTGTGTGTGTCACACATGGTCTAAAGCTTGGCTTTCCTGTTTGCATTGTACAGAACTTAGCAAAAGAGGGACTAAAGAAATATTGGGCCGGGCGTGGTGGCTCACGCCTGTAATCCCAGCACTTTGGGAGGCCAAGATGGGCAGATCACGAGGTCAAGAGCTGGAGACCATTCTGGCCAACATGGTGAAACCCCATCTCTACTAAAAATACAAAAATTAGCTGGGCGTGGTGGTGCATACCCATAGTCCCAGCTATTTAGGAGGCTGAGGCAGGAAAATCGCTTGAACCCGGGAGCCAGAGGTTGCAGTGAGCTGAGATCGCACTCCAGCTTGGCGACAGAACAAGACTCTGTCTCAAAAAAAAAAAAAAAGAAATCTTGGGATCCTGAACCCCTTACTCGAAGGGCTAAGGTAGCATCTCAGCATGTCTTATTCGAGACTTCGTAGAACCAGACCTGCTGTTTGTAGATGTTAATTAATCAAACCTTTCTCTACTCATTCTGGACCAGTTAAGGTTTTCTCCTTCTCCGTATGAGTTTTGATTTTCGTCCTCCTTGGTTGGAGATCACACTTTGGTCTGCTGCTAAGTTGGATGCCTCCCACTGTCTTTCCCTAAGTCTAGGGCTTCAGACCCCAGTGTGGGGAGAGGGACTTTCGTTTCCTGCCCCTCACCACATCAGACACAGGCAGGCAAGAATAAGATGGCCAAAAGGCCGATGAACTTCTTGACCTAGCCTGGGACATTACCTGTTACTAGGTGGACTTCACTGCCTGTGAATGGAAGCTGAAGGGCTGTTTTTTGGTTTGTATTTGGACAGGCCAGGCTTAGAGAGGGAGAGAACTGGGCTACTCTTCAGCAGTGATCTTTAAAATGCCAGTCTTGGGCCAGGCGTGGTGGCTCATGCCTGTAATCCCAGCACTTTGGGAGGCCGAGGTGGGCAGATCACCTGAGGTCAGGAGTTGGAGACCAGCCTGGCCAGCATAGCAAAACCCCATCTCTACTAAAAATACAAAAATTAGCCAGGTGGTTGGCATGCTCCTATAGAGTGACACAGCGTTTCAATAAAAAAAGGAAAAAAAAGGCTGGGCACGGTGGCTCACACCTGTAATCCCAGCACTTTGAGAGGCTGAGGTGGGCAGATCACGAGGTCAGGAGATGGAGACCATCCTGGCTAACACGGTGAAACCCTGTCTCTACTAAACATACGAAAAATTAGCTGGGCATGGTGGCAGGCGCCTGTAGTCCCAGGTACTTGGGAGACTGAGGCAGGAGAATTGAGTGAACCCAGGAGGCGGAGCTTGCAGTGAGCTGAGATCACGCCACTGCACTCCAGCCTGGGAGACAGAGCAAGACTCCATCTCAAAAAAAAAAAAAAAAAGGAAAAAAAAAATCTCCCAGAGATGCAACTCCCCCACCCCTGCCCCCGCAAGATATAAGCAAATCAAGTCCAGAAATGTATAAGAAGAACTATACACCACACTTGGGTTTATTAGAGTTTTGCAAAGCCGGTTCAACATTTGAAAATCAGCTATTGTAATCCACCATGTCAATAGGCTAAAGAAACAAATTCATATGATCATGTCACTTAATGCAAAAAAAGCATTTGATAAAACCCAAGGCCTAGTCATTATAAAAATTCTTGGCTGCCAGGGGTGGTGGCTTATACCTTTAATCCTAACACTTTGGGATCATCTCACTCATGGGGCGTGCATTCTACTCATTTATTTCTCAGAGGATCCAGGCATGGTGGCTCACGCCTATAATCCCAGCTACTTGGGAGGCTGAGGCATGAGAAGCACTTGAACCTGGGAGGCAGAAAGTGCAGTGAGCCAAGATCGTGCCACTGCACTCCAGCCTTGGCGAAAGAGCAAGACTCCATCTCAATAAATACATACATACATACATAAAAATAAAAAATAAAATAAAATCCAGTCTTACTATTGGACCAAGTCACTGCCTCTTCTCTGTTGGGCAGAAGCAAATGAGGAGGTGAGAGAATGGTAGATTCTTTCTTTCCCATCCTTTGCAGAGAAGGGAGAACTTCCTGTGTTAGACATCGGGGCAGGAGCCCAGGGAGAACAGTCAGGATGTAAAGAAAATAATGTTGCATTCCAGGGCTCTGCAGCATGGCTTTATGGCCACTGGATCTGTTTCAGGATGAGATAGCTGTGTGTTCGCATATCTAAACTGGCTACTTTTTCTTTTACCTTTGAATGATGATCAGCACAGCAGGAATGGCATGCACAGTACTTGGCACGTGAAGTACTGGAGCGTGAGCTTCTATACTCGTGGCATATTGTTGCACTTACATAAATAGAGTGGTAGTGAGCAAGAGCAAGGGTGATGATCAGGAGTCTTTTTCCCTGTCAGCTGCAGCTATTGGAACAAATGGTGTTGGACGTTGGAAGACCCTGGGCATTTTGTGTGTGAATGAGCAATTGAGACCTGATGTAGGGGCATGGAAAGTCTAAAGAGTTACATGTTGCCTCTTTCTCTTTTTTTTTTTTTTTTTTGGAGAATGGGTCTCCCTATGTTGCCCAGGCTGGTCTTAAACTCCTAAGCTCAAGGGATCCTCCTGCCTCAGCCTCCCAAAGTGCTGGGATTACAGGTGTGAGGCACCATGCCGAGCCCCATGTGACCTATTTCTGCACAGGTGGAGCAGTGGGTTGCACATTTAGAATGTATCACCATTCCTGGTGTTTGTTGAGATGTAGATCCTGAGTTCTGCCCTCATTCTGGAATTAGACCCAGGGGTCTGCTTTTGTTTTTTTTTTTTTTTTTTGAGACAGAGTTTCACTCTTGTTGCCCAGGCTGGAGTGCAATGGTGTGATCTCAGCTCACCATAACCTCCGCTTCCCAGGTTCAAGTGATTCTCCTGCCTCAGTTTCCCAGGTAGCTGAGATTACAGGCATGTGCCACCATACCCGGCTAATTTTGTATTTTCATAGAGACAGGGTTTTACCATGTTGTCCAGGCTGGTCTCAAACTCCTGACCTCAGGTGATCCACCTGCCTCAGCCTCCCAAAGTGCTGGGATTATAGGCGTGAACCACCATGCCCAGCCAGGAATCTACATTTTAATCAGGTATCTTAAAGGGTTTCTTAATTGGATGGTGGTTCATGAACCATATTTAAGAAGTCCTTGAGGCCAGGTGCAGTGGCTCACACCTGTAATCCCAGCACTTTTGGAGGCCGAGGCATGTTGCAGGAAGTCAGGGACTCCAAACGGAGGGACCGGCTGAAGCCATGGCAGAAGAACGTGGATTGTGAAGATTTCATGGACGTTTATTAGTTCCCCAAATTAATACTTTTATAATTTCCTGTGCCTGTCTTTACTTAATCTCTTAATCCTGTCATCTCGCAAGCCGAGGAGGATGTATGTCACCTCAGGACCCTGTGATAATTGCATTAACTGCACAAATTGTAGAGCATGTGTGTTTGAACAATATGAAATCTGGGCACCTTGAAAAAAGAACAGGATAACAGCAATGTTTAGGAAACAAGAGAGATAACCTTAAACTCTGACCGCTGGTGAGCCGGGCGGAACAGAGCCATATTTCTCTTCTTTCAAAAGCAAATGGGAGAAATATCGCTGAATTCTTTTTCTCAGCAAGGAACATCCCTGGGAAAGAGAATACGCGCTTGGGGGTGGGTCTCTGAACTGGCCCCCCTGGGCATGGCCGTCTTCTATGGTCGAGGCTGTAGGGATGAAATAGACCCCAGTCTCCCATAGCGCTCCCAGGCTTATTAGGAAGAGGAAATTCCCGCCTAATAAATTTTGGTCAGACCAGTTGCTCTCAAAACCCTGTCTCCTGATAAGATGTTATCAATGACAATGGTGCCCAAAACTTCATTAGCAATTTTAATTTCGCCCCGGTCCTGCAGTCCTGTGATCTCGCCCTGCCTCCATTTGCCTTGTGATATTCTATTACCTTGTGAAATACGTGATCTCTGTGACCCACACCTATTCGCACACTCCGTCCCCTTTTGAAAGTCCCTAATAAAAACTTGCTGGTTTTGCGGCTTGTGGGGCATCACGGAACCTACCAACATGTGATGTCTCCCCCGGATGCCCAGCTTTAAAATTTCTCTCTTTTGTACTCTGTCCCTTTATTTCTCAAGCCGGCCAACGCTTAGGGAAAATAGAAAAGAACCTACGTGACTATCGGGGCAGGTTTCCTGATATCGGCAGGTGGATCACTTGAGGCCAGGAGTTCGAGACCAGCCTGGTCAGTATGGTGAAACCCTGTTTCTACTAAAAATAAAAAAATTAGGCCGGGCACGGTGGCTCACGCCTGTAATCCCAGCACTTTGGGAGGCCAAGGCGGGTGGATCACCTGAGGTCAGGAGTTCAAGACCAGGCTGACCAACATGGAGAAACCCCATCTCTACTAAAAATACAAAAATTAGCTGGGCGTGGTGGCACATGCTTGTAATCCCAGCTACTCAGGAGGCTGAGGCAGGAGAATCGCTTGAACCCAGGAGGCGGAGGTTGCAGTGAGCCAAGATCGCACCATTGCACTCCAGTCTGGGCGACAAGAGCGAAACTCCATCTCTAAATAAATAAATAAATAAATATTAGCCTGGTGGTGCATACCTGTAATCCCAGCTACTCAAGAGGTTGAGGCACAAGAATCGCTTGAACCTAGGAGGCAGAGGTTGCAGTGAGCTGAGATTGCGTCACTGCACTCCAGCCTAGGCAATAGAGTGAGAGACTGTCTCAAAAACAAAAAAAGTTATTGAGCTTCAAGTCAGTGACAAGTAAAAAATGAAAAGAAAAAAAAAAGTCCTAGTCTGAGCAGGGATAGGCATACTAAATTTCTGCATCCCATTTTTTGTGGGGGTTTTTTTGTTGTTTGTTTGTTTGTTTGTTTGTTTTTGAGACAGTTTCACTCTTGTCACCCAGGCTGGAGGGCACTGGTGAGATCTCGGCTCAATGCAACCTCCACCTCCCAGTTCAAGCAATTCTCCTGCCTCAGTCTCCTGAGTAGCTGGGATTGCAGGCGCCCGCCACCACGCCTGGCTAATTTTTGTATTTTTAGTAGAGATGGGGTTTCACCAGGTTGGCCAGGCTAGTCTTGAACTCCTGACCTCAGGTGATCTGCCCACTTTGGCCTCCCAAAGTGCTGGGATTATAGGCGTGAGCCACCAAGCCTGGCCTAGGTTTTTGTTTTTTTGTCTTTTTGAGACAGGGTTTCGCTCTGTTGCTCAGGCTGGAGTGCAGCAGCATGATCATGGCTCACTGCAGCCTTGACCTCCTGGGCGCACGTGATCCTCCTACCTCAGCCTCCTGAGTTGCTGAGACTACAGGTGCAAACTACCACACTTGGCTAATTTTTTTAAATTTTTTTTGTAGAGACGAGGTCTTGCCATGTTGCCCAGGCTTGTCTCAAACTTCTGGGCTCAAATGATCCACCTGCCTCAGCCTCCCAAGTAGCTGGGACTCCAGGCATGTGCCACCATGCCTGGCTAGTTTTTCTTTTAATGTAACAATTAAATGGAAATACACATCTGAAAACAGTTGGGGCATTATGGGTTTGGGAGCACCCAGGGGAATGAAGACAGGCCTGTACATTGGGTGATCAGATACACTTCTGCCAAGTTTGGAAGGTGTCTTATGCCCTCTTGCAAGCTGGCATCTAGTCTGATGGGTTCCCCTACAAGGCATAGTAACTCACTCTCTTTTTCATGTTTAGGGTGTCAGCCTGACCATGGCGCGGGAGCGTGGGCAGCTTGTGTTCCTTGAGGGACTCAAGTCTGCAGTGGACGTCGTCTTCCAGGCTCAAAAGGAGCCACACCCCCTGCAGTTTCTCAGGTCAGTCAGCCTACAGCCCAGCCCGGAAGCAACACGTGGCAGGTGGGCCCAGGCAGGGTTCCTGGTTGCTGTGTGATTCCTTCTTATTGTGCAGGAGGATGGAACTGGCTTCAGGAGTCAGACACTTCATCTGGTGTTGCAGCATCATCAAATGCTGGCTCTTATCATGGGGCTGAGGGTGGACATTTGTCCCAAAAGCTATAGAGAGGATCATTTGCTGGAAGGATGGCAGAACTATATGCTTTGCTGTGTTTTCCAGCCCTGGCTTAGAGCCCTAGTATACACCTGTGCTCTGCAACAGTGGAGACTGCAATGGCAAACTATGGGCTATGGGTCAGCTGCCTGTTTTTGTAAATACATTTGTTTTGTTTGTTTTGTTTCATATTTTTTAAACTGTTTGTCTTTTTTAAAATTCCTTTTTTTTGTTGTTGTTGTTGTTGAGATGGAGTCTCGCTCTGTCACCCAGGCTGGAGTGCAGTAGCGTGATCTCGGCTCACTGCAAGCTCTGCCTCCCAGGTTCACGCCATTCTCCTGCCTCAGCCTCTCTGAGTAGCTGGGACTACAGGCGCCCGCCACCATGCCCGGCTAATTTTTTGTATTTTTAGTAGAGACGGGGTTTCACCATGGTCTCGATCTCCTGACCTCGTGATCCGCCCGCCTCGGCCTCCCAAAGTGCTGGGATTACAAGAGTGAGCCACCGCGCCCGGCCAAAATTCCTTTTTTTAAATTTATTTTTTGTAAGTAAAATTTTATTGGAATACAGCCACGTTCATTTGTTTGCATGTTGTCCTTGGCTGTTTTTGCACTACAGCAACAAATAGAGTTGAGTAGTTGGGACAGAGACCATATGACCTGCAAGCCTAAAATATTTACTTTTCAGACATTTAAGAAAAAATTTTTCCCCTGGTTTGGTATTCAACATCACAGGCCTGAGACTGGTTTTCCTGCTTTTCCTCCTTTCTGAACATTGGCCACAAACATAGCTCTGTGAAGACTCCCCGCTTGGCTGCTGTTCTTCGTCCACTACAAAGTGGTCCACACAGGAACTTCCCCCACTGCCTTATCTCTCAGACACACACACCCTTATGCAGTGGGTGTGAGGCCATGTTTCCTGACCCTGTGTGTGACTTCACACACATCCCTTAGCATCTCTGACTTGGGGTTTCCTCATTTGAAGGCAGGGGCTGGTTATACCTCATCCCAAGGTATGGGGAGATGTCTTCATTGTTAGTGAAGATAACCCAATGCCAGGGGCTCATCCCTGGAGCATAAGGCAGTAGGCCAGTTGCCCTGGGCCCTGGGCTCTGTTCCTCCACTCATTGCTGAGAAATGATGGCCAGGGGTAGTCACTGGAGAAGACGGAGATAGGCAAGCTGGCTTGTGTCAGAAACAGGTCAAATCTGTTACGTATACAGAAGCCTTAGGCCACTGCCACTCACCATCAGGGCAACTGAGTTGCTGTTTAACTTCTTCTTTTCATTTTTTTTTTTGAGACAGGGTCTTGCTCTGTTTTCCAAGCTGGAGTGCAGTGGTGCAAACATGGCTCACTGCAAACTCAACTTCCTCGGCTCAAGCACTCCTCTCTTCTCAGCCTCCCAAGTAGCTGGGACTACAGGGGCGTACCACCATGCCTGGCTAATTTAAAAAAATTTTTTTTTGTAGAGGTATAGTCCCACTCTGTTGCCTAGGCTGTTCTTGAACTCCTGGGCTCAAATGATCCTCCCCCGCTGGCCCCCCAAAGTGCTGGGATTACAGGTGTGAGCTACTGTGCCCAGCCTGTTTAACTTTTTCCAGCTGTGTATAACCTCCTGGGAAGGTTTCCGCCTGCCCAATCCAAGCTGATCTTCCAGATTCCTTAAGCTCTTGGGTTGAGAGGCTGTATGGTGTCTCTTTTTTTTTTTTTTTTTTTTTTTTGAGACAGAGTCTCATTTTGTTGCCCAGGTTGGAGTGCAGTGGGATGATCTCAGTCGTGGCTCACTGCAACTTCCGTCTCCCAGGTTCAAGCAATTCTCCTGCCTCAGCCTCCTGAGTGGCTGGTATTACAGGTGTGCGCCACCACACCTGGCTAATTTTTGTATTTTTAGTAGAGACGGGGTTTCACCATTGTTGGCCAGGCTGGTCTCGAACTCCTCACCTCAAGTGATCCACCCGCCTCAGCCTCACAAAGTGCTGGGATTACAGGTTTGAGCCACTGCACCCAGCTACGTATGGTGTCTCTTAAGGGCGCTAGGAGCTGTTTATTTTTGTGTCTTCCAGTTTCTAACACAGTGCTTTATACCTAGTAGGCCTCAGGAAATATTTGAATTACTCCTGTACATGTGCATGCCTTTTCTTTCTAACCAGATCATGAAGTCTTTGTTGCCAAGAATTGTGATACAGTTCTTTGTCCCCCTTAGCCCTCTCCTGTCGTGCTACTTGGTCCTTGATAAACATCTGTAGAGAGAGTGAAGTCTGGTAACTTTTGTCCTGTCTCTCCAGGGAGGCTAATGCTGGGAACTTGAAACCATTGTTTGAGTTTGTACGGGAGGCCCTGAAGCCAGTAGACAGTGGAGAGGCTCGGTGGACGTACCCGGTGCTGTTGGTGGACGACCTCAGTGTGCTCCTGAGCCTGGGCATGGGGGCGGTGGCTGTGCTAGACTTCATTCACTACTGCAGAGCCACCGTGTGCTGGGAACTAAAGGTACTCATGGAACTGCCTTCTCTGCGCCCACCTGTGACCTCCAAGAACTCAGACAGGTCCAGACCTCACTTGCTTGCTGTGATCTTTTTATTTGCTTGGGGTTTTGGCTTTACTCTGGCAGGCCCAGAAAGCTTTTGCAGCCACCCTGTTTTCCCTTACCTGCCATTGCTGAAAAGTAAAGCCCCCCAAAATAAAGGGATGATCAACATTGCATTCAGTGGGGCTGGTTATGTGTGGCACCGCTGCAGTCCCAGGTCTGTCAGAATAGCCTGTGTGTCCTGGGGCAAGTTATTATCATCCCTGAGTGTATTTTATAGATCAGCTAAAATAATGAGTATGAACTACTTTAAAATTGTAAAGGGCAATACAAGTATAGGATATACAATATTACCTTGATTACCAAGTTATGAGGGACAAATAGAGATTTTTGCCATAATAGAGGTTTTAGAGTTTTTGTTTTTGTTTTCTTTTGGTTAGTCAAATACAGCAGTGGGAACAGAGAAGGAACAAAGAAATCTGTAACTGGTTGTGATCATTTAGATGTAAATACTACTGCACTTAATAGCCATAATAGGGTTTTTAACAATAATAATAGGCCAATCAATAAAATAGGAATGGCTGTGGTGCCTACCTCACAGGTACCTGACTGCAAGAGTGAAGTGAGATGAAGCTTGTAACATGCCAGCACTGTGTCTGGCCCACAGTAGCCACTTGTCAGTGTGTGATGGTGTAGCTGGCAGGAACGTGTGGACAGTGGTATGGTGCGGTCAGACTGAGCGTACAGAGCAATGGGAGAGATAAGCTAACTGAGTTAGCCAGGTGTGTGGGTATCCAGCAGTGTGTGTTGAACACCTGTATGCAAAGTCCTGCCTGGAAGCTCTGTTCAGGGAACTTCTGAGGCCGTCCTGGCTACAGTTGCAGAGCCAGGAACCAGGGTAATGCAGAAAGAATGGGAGGAGGAGGAACTGTTAGGGGTGTGGAAGGCACAGTTAGGATTAGGGGGTGACAGTAAGTAGCCAAAGCCACCTTCTGCAGCCCAGCTGGGTCTGTGACCTGCTACCACCCTCTTTTTGTAAGAATACTTCTTTTAGTTGAAAAAGTAAAACTTGGGCATTGTTTAAAAAAAGAGAAAAAGAAGGAAGAGTATAAAGGGTACTTTAGCAAAAAGTGCTCTTGCCTCTCTCCCTCCCTCCAACGTGCATCCTTCCAGCCAGTCTGTACAATTATGCACATATTTGTTTTTTTTCTATATTTTTACTTTTTGTAGAGACTTGGTCTCACTATGTTGCCCAAGCTGATCTTGAACTCCTGGGCTCAGGTGATTCTACTGCCTCGGCCTCTCAAAGTATATGCACATATTTGTCTCCCTGCATTTTTCTTCACATTACTGGTAACCTGCCATCCACACTGTTCGCTACTTCTTTTTTTCATTTATTAATACACGGTATATTTTGTTGTCCATTGCCCAAAAATAACACATGGATCTGCTTCATTCTTTTCCCTTTTTTCTGGTCCTGATTTATAATTTAATGGCTGTGCAGATGCCAGTCCCTCCTTTCTGCCGTTCACAAGCCCACTGCTCTGGGATGAGGGTTTTCTGCTCAAAAGCATGGATGTGCGAGAGCCTCCAGCTAGCCACATATTTACCCGCCAGTGTGTCTGAAGCAGCAGCTTCCCCTCAAACTTGGCCGACACCACCAGGACTCGGAAGCTGCAGGCACGACGGTTGAGGGTCACGTCCTCCACCTCCATATGCTTCGCCTCCGGGTCCCACTGCAGCTTCTCCTGGAGTTATTTGGTGCTGAGTTCTGTGGCAGCAGTCCAGCTGGGGCCACAGCCCAGCAGGGACAGAACCCCAACTCAGACCCCGGCCTGGCCATGCTGCTTTGCACCCCTACAGGAGCCACTTATTCTTTTTCTTTTTTATTACTATTCTTTTTTTTTTTTTTTTTTTTTGAGACGGAGTTTTGCTCTTGTTGCCCAGGCTAGAGTGCAGTGGTGCGACCTCAGTGACCTTGGCTCACTGCAACCTCCACCTCCCAGGTTCAAGTGATTCTCCTGCCTCAGCCTCCCAAGTAGCTGGGATTACAGGTGCCTGCCACCACGCCTGGCTTTTTTTTTTTTTTTTTTTGAGATGGACTCTTGCTCTTTTGCCCAGGCTGGAGTGCAGTGGCACGATCTCGGCTCACTGCAACATCTGCCTCCTGGGTTCAAGCAATTCTCCTGCCACAGCCTCCCGAGTAGCTGGGATTACAGGCACATGCCACCATGCCCGGCTAAATTTTGTGTTTTTTTAGTAGAGACGGGGTTTCACCATGTTGGCTAGGCTGGTCTTGATCTCCTGACCTCAGGTGATCCACCCACCTCGGCCTTCCAAAGTGCTGGGATTACAGGCGTAAGCCACCGTGCCCAGCCTTTTATTACTATTCTTTAAAAATAGAGACAGGGTCTCACTATGTTGCCTGGGCTGGCATTGAACTCCTTGGCTCAATGATCCTCCCGCCTTGGCCTCCCAAAGTGTTGGGATTACAGGCATGCACCACTGTCCCCGGCCAGCTTTATTCTTTTTAACAACTGAACAGTATTCCTTTGAAAGCTCTCATTATTCAAGCTGTCACTTTTTGGCAGGGTTGACCTTCCCCTCCATTTTGGCTTGGCTAACTCCTACTTGCCCTCTGAGATTCAGCTCACATGAGCTCACCTCCTGACCTGCTCCTCCGGGTTACAGGGGATGCCTCTTCGTTGTGCTCCCATACACCTCATGCTTCCCTCTCCCTTGGTCTTATCATTCTGTATTGTCAGCATCTGTCTGTCTCCTGGGCCCATATCTCTCACTTGTTATTCCTACTGTGGGATCTGGTACACTCTTAAGTATTCAGGAACTGTTGACTGAATGAATGGTTGCCTGGCAGGATGGTGACACTTTTAGTAACATTCAGGAATTCAGGAGATTGAGCTAATTTTGAAGACTGTTGGTTTAGATGAAGTGAGCTGAAAATATGGGTTGGCTCATTATGGGTGAAATATGGGTGAAGTTGTCCAGTAGGTGACTGGAATTAGGGTCTGGGAGCACAGGTAGGGGCTGGCTGTAGCAGCAGCAGGGAGGGTGATCTGTGAGAGGATGTACAGGGGAGTGGAGGCAACGAGAGGCTGGCACTCCCTGACTCTGGGTGTCCTTTCCAGTAAGGAGCAGGCTTCCATCTTGTATCTGATGCAGGGAAACATGGTGGTCCTTGTGCACGACAGTGGAGATGCGGAGGATGAGGAGAATGACATCCTGCTGAATGGCCTCAGTCATCAGAGCCATCTGATACTGCGGGCTGAGGGCCTGGCCACTGGCTTCTGCAGGGATGTGCACGGGCAGGTATGCAGGGGCCTCCTGGGCAACAGGCTTCTTGCCCGTGTACCTGTGATTCTTGACTACATAGGGGAGAGTCAGGCCTGAGGGACTGTCTGGTTGGGACATGACTTCAGGTGGAAGGGAAACACTGGAAATTGTGAGACTTCAGGTAATAGACCTGCTCCAGATTGCGCTTAGCCTCATGGACCAGCCCACGTTTTCCATGGGGGTCCCATTTGTGACCAAAGTGGGGCACTCTTAAAGAGGAGACAGCTGTCTAGAGTGGAATGCAGGGGCATGCCATCAAATAACAGCAAAATTCCTCCGCAGTACTGCAGCAGGCGTCGTCTATTCAGGTCAACACTGTTCCTTTTTTTTTTAGACGGAGTCTTGCTCTGTCACCTAGGCTAGAGTGCAGTGGCGCGATCTTGGCTCACTGCAACCTCCGCCTCCTGGGTTCAAGCAATTCTCTGCCTCAGCCTTCCTAGTACTTGGGATTATAGGCACCCACTGCCATGCCCGGCTAATTTTTAAAATATTTTTAGTAGAGACGGGGTTTCACCATGTTGGCCAGGCTGGTCTTGAATTCCTGACCTCGTGATCCACCCCCACCCCCCTTTGCTTCCCAAAGTGCTGGGATTACAGGTGTGAGCCACCGTGCCCAGCCTGTTCCTTTTACAGGTGGAGACTCACACCTGTAATCCCAGCACTTTGGGAGGCTGAGGCGGGCTGGTCACTTGAGGTCAGGAATTCGAGACCAGCCTGGCCAACATGGTGAAATCCCATCTCTAATAGAAATACAAAAATTAGCCAGGCATGGTGGTGTGGGCCTGTAGTCCCAGCTACTCGGGAGGCTGAGGCAGGAGAATCGCTTGAACCCAGGAGGCGGAGGTTGCAGTGAGCCAAGATCGCGCCACTGCACTCCAGCCTGGGCGACAGAGTGAGACTCTGTCTCAAAAAAAGAAAAAAGAAAAACGACTTGGGGAGGCCGTACCCGTGGACCAGGGTTGCTGCCCCAACTGCTGCCACTCACCAGAACAATTGGAGTACTTGGGCAGAAACTGAGAGTCCTGCCCTGGGAGGGAAGCTGGATTCTACCCCTCTAAATGGGCTGCCATGTGGCTCTGTGCCTTCTCAAACTTCTCTTCTGGAACCACTCCCAAGCCTCCACCACAGCTTCCTGGTTAACTTCAAGTTGAGCACTCCTGACCCAATAAGAGTGGCTAGGAGTCTTGGCCCAGAGTCCTTCAGAGGCAAGTCTGGTAGGTCACACAGAGGACCAAGCCCAGCAGTACTATGTGTGTAGTGCTGCAGCAGGGCCTGAGGAGAAGGTGCTGCTGGGCAGCTGTGGCCTCTCTTCAGCCAGACCCCCAGAGCATTGTAGTCAGCAGTAACACCATCAAAACAGGTATCTAGCCTTCCTGGGCCTCTGTAGTGAATGTACAAATTCTAATGTGATTTTCAAAATTAGTCTAGCCCGCAAGTACAAAACCATGCTTAGAAGAAAGAACAAAGGGACCGGGCACAGTGGCTCACGCCTGTAATCCCAGCACTTTGGGAGGCCGAGGTGGGCGGATCACCTGAGGTCAGAGTTCCAGACCAGCCTGGCCAACATAGTGAAACCCCGCCTCTACTAAAAATACAAAAATTGCCCAGGCATGGTGATGCGCACCCATAATCCAGCTACTTGGGAGGCTGAAGCAGGAGAATTGCCTGAACCTAGGAGGCAGAGGTTGCAGTAAGCCAAGATTGCGCCACTGCACTCCAGCCTGGGCAACAGAGTGAGACTCTGCTTCAAAAAAAAAAAAAAAAAACATAAAAATACTTTAAGGGTCTTCCTCTGAAAGACTTTTTCCTTCTGTTTCCTTTTTTTTTCCTCTTTCACATTTTCTGTATTGAGCCAATATGACTACTGTAATGGAGGGGAACCCTTTATTTGTAGTTAGCTGGTGATAGGCTTTATTTTACAAGTTGGCCCCATTACCAGATGGCACATCTGACTATCATCTCATAGAGGCCTCAGCTGAAGGGCACAGAGAAGGTAGGGTGGGGTTCCCAGTGGAGCAGGTCCTGGGGTGGCTGCTCCTCTTTCATTCTTCTCTGTCTCTGTAGCTGAGGATCCTGTGGAGGAGACCATCGCAGCCCGCAGTCCACCGGGATCAGAGCTTCACTTACCAGTATAAGATACAGGACAAAAGCGTGTCCTTTTTTGCCAAAGGAATGTCTCCTGCTGTTCTGTGACCTGATTTCGGAGCAGCTGAAGCTACATAGGACTGTTTTTGGACGTGGAAGATAGAGCAACATAGCAAGAATGGGTCTTTCTCCTCTGTAGTAATATTTCAGGCTGGACCGGCGACTCCACTGTGACCAGAGGGTTGAGTGCTGCAGTGATGGCATGCCTTGGCTGCCCTGGGCCCTGTTCAGAAAACACAAGGGACCACAATCCTGCCTTTGCTGAGAGAGAGGCTGGATGCTAGACCCAAGTGAAAGGGGTCCTTTGGAGCCTTTGTTTAAATATGCCTTAGCCCCAGCTGCCCATTTTTGGTTGACAAGCCTTTCAGAGCCAGAGTGGGTATAGATGTGCCAGCCAGGAGATGGCACCGGATGGCAGGTGTGCAAGGTGACAACTAGGATAATCATGGCTGGAATAAAGTAAGTTTCCACACTGGAGCTTCCTGTGGGTTGTCTTGTTCAATTTCCATCCTGGAAAGGTACTTTCCCTTTCCCTATGAGTTCAGCGAGGAAACAGACCTAGAGAGGTTTGGAAGCACACAGGCTGCACAGCAGGCTGTAAGTAACTGTGCCTCACTCCACAGTCCACACTTGCTGACTGACAGTCATGGAACCCAGAGGCCAGCTCCCCACCCAAAGGTGGGGACCTTTGGCTTCTCCAGTTTCTGTGGTGCCTTGCCTTTATGCCAACAAATCCTAGCCATCAAGGGCCTGGCACCAGGGCCTTGGCCACATGAGGCCCTGTGTAGGCGCAGGTGTGTATGGTCTTGGTGAGAGGGGTAAGGGATGTTCTTGCTGCCAGGCGGATCAGGCCTTGGCGAGTTGCTGGTGCCTCCCTCACCTGTGAAGACTGCAGGAGGTGGGCTCTTGCCCCGCATCCTGTAGATGACAACTAGTCCCACTCAGCCCCTCAGTTGAGGTCACCTCAGAGTAGACACCAGGTGTATTCTCTTAAAATGGCTGCTTTTTTGGTATATAAATTATATTACAATGAATTTTATCTTAAAGAAAATGAAAAAATAATACTATTTTGCTGTATACTAAGGAACTTACATAGCTGTTATTTTCTTTTCTTTTCTTTTCTTTTTTTGAGACAGTCTTGCTCTGTCACCCAGGCTGGAGTGCAGTGGCCCGATCTCGGCTCACTGCAAGCTCCGCCTCCCGGGTTCATGCCATTCTCCTGCCTCAGCCTCCTAAGTAGCTGGGACTACAGGCACCTGCCACCATGCCCGGCTAATTTTTTGTATTTTTAGTAGAGACGGGGTTTCACCGTGCTAGCCAGGATGGTCTTGATCTCCTGACCTCATGATCCGCCTGCCTTGGCCTCCCAAAGTGCTAGGATTACAGGCATGTGAGCCACCATGCCTGGCCTTTTTTTTTTTTTTTTTTTTTTTTTTTTTGAGATGGAGTCTTGCTTTGTCACCCAGGCTGGAGTGCAGTGGTGGCATGATCTTGGCTCACCACAACCTCCGCCTCCCGGGTTCAAGCTATTCTCCTGCCTCACCCTCCCAAGTAGCTGGGATTACAGGCACGTGCCACTGTGCCCAGCTAATTTTTGTATTTTTAGTAGAGATGGGGTTTTGCCATATTGGCTAGGCTCGTCTTGAACTCCTGACCTCAGGTGATCTGCCTGCCTTGGCCTCCCAAAGTGCTGGGATTACAGGCATGAGTCACCATGCCCAGCCTCTTTTCTTTGTTTTGAGACATGGTCTCTCTCTGTTGCTCAGGCTGGACTGCAGTGGTGTGGTTATAGCTCACTGCAGCCTCGACTCTCTGGGCTCAAGGGCTCTTCCCACTTCAGTCTCCCAAGTAGCTGGGATTACAGGTGCGTGTCACCACGCCCAGCTCATATCTGTTGTTTAATTTTAACTTTTTGGATTTTTAGTCTTTAGGAAAAATTTATCACACTTCTCTTCAAATCATACCATTGTGTATGTTATCCGTCTGAAACAGTAAGCTGCTTTTATTCTCAAAATACTGTAGACCTGATAGAATATTTGAAAGTTATGAGTGCAATTAAGAGAAAGTAGTTATTAAAGAATCTAATGATTCTTTGACTAAGACTTCATTATTTATGCAAACTTCGTTTGAGCTACGATTTTGAATGGGCAAGGCACCATTTTTTACATGACATAAATGTTGCTATCATGTTTCTTCACTTAGTTTATAGATGTTTTCACTATTTTTTTTGAGACAGGTTCTCTCTGTTGCCTAGGCTGGAGTGCAGTGTGGCACTTCTTAGTTCACGTGAATTCCAAGTGATCCTCCCCTACCTCAGCATTCTGAGTAGCTGGTACTACAGGTGCCCACCACCATGCCTGGCTGTTTTTAATTTTTTTGTAGAAACGGGGTGTCACTTTGCTGCCCAGGGTAGTCTTGAACTCCTGGGCTCAAGAGATCCTCCCGTCTCAGCCTCCCCTTAAATATTTTATGTTTAATAGCTATTGAGGGCGGGGCACAGTGGCTCACGCCTGTAATCCCAGTACTTTGGGAAGCCAAGGCGGGTGGATCACCTGAGGTCAGGAGTTCAAGAGCAGCCTGGCCAATATGGTGAAACCCTATCTCTACTAAAAATACAAAAATTAGCTGGGCGTGGTGGTGGGCACCTGTAATCCCAGCTACTTGGGAGGCTGAGGCAGGAGAATCACTTGAACCCAGGAGGCGGAGGTTGCAGTGAGCCGAGAATGCACCATTGTGCTCTAGCCTGGGCAACAAGAGCAAAACTCAGTCTCAAAAAAAAAAGCTATTCAGCATTTTATGCTATCATTATATTCTAGTTTGTTTAGTTATCCTCTGGGCATGTAGATTCTGGTTTTTACAGTTATCAATTATGCTGTTATAAATTTTATATACTCTACCTATTGCGGGTGGGGATAAGTACTTGTTTGTTTAGAACCTGACAAACCAGGTCACTGGCAGAGCTCATAGAACTTACGTTCTGGAAGAGAAGACAGGCAATCAACAGAATCGACAAAGGACATATTTAACTTAGACCACAATAAGTGCTATAAATAAACCAGCACAGGGGCCTGTGAGAAGTGAGGGGTGATGACATTTTAGTCCATACCCTCTAATGGAATTATTGAATTACAGCAGAAACTGGCCCTGGCACATTATCAGGTTGTTCTTCAGAATGATGGAGCCAGTTGACAATGATGCAGAGATTTTGCTCTGTCAACTTTGGGTTTAACTTATTTTTAATTAATTTAATAGTGGTGGTTGTGTGAGAATGGACTAATACAGGGGTAGAAAAACAGGATCATAAGGTGTGATATGGTCCATAAAAATGATTCTAGTGTGAAATGGACATTTCTTTAATCACTAGCATATAATTTTCTCTGTATTTTTCCGTGTGTACAGAATCTGTTCCTTATCCTTGCTTACTTATCAATTAAAACCTGGTGTTGGTCGGGCATGGTGGCTCATGCCTGTAATCCCAGCACTTTGGGAGGCTGAGGCAGGCAGATCACTTGAGTCCAGGATTTTATTTTTATTTATTTATTTATTTTGAGACAGAGTCTTGCCCTGTTGCCCAGGCTGGAGTGCAGTGGCGCAATCTTGGCTCACTGCAACCTCCACCTCCCGGGTTCAAGCGATTCTTCTACTTCAGCCTCCCGAGTAGCTGGGACTACAGGTGCCTGCCACCACGCCCAGCTAAGTTTTTGTATTTTTAGTAGAGACGGGGTTTCACCATGTTAGCCAGGATGGTCTTGATCTGCTGACCTCGTGATTCGCCTGCCTCGGCCTCCCAAAGTGCTGGGATTACAGGTGTGAGCCACCGTGCCCAGCCAGAAGATCTGTTTTATAAAAAGGGTTATAAAGATAAAAACAATCCTAAAGGCTGGGCATGGTAGCTCATACCTGTAACCTCAGCGCTTTGGGATGCTGAGGTGGGAGGATTGCTTGAGGCCAGGAGTTTGGAGGCCAGCCTGGGCAAAATAGCAAGACCCTGTCTTGAACAACAACAACAAAAAGCTGGGCATGGTGGTGTGGTCCCAGCCACTCGGAAGGCTATGGTGGGAGGACTGTTTGAGCTCAGGAGTTCAAGCCTGCAGTGAGCTATGATCAAGCCACTGCACTCGAAGCTGAATGGCAGAGCGAAACTGTCTCAAAAAAAACCCAAAACCGGCCGGGCGTGGTGGCTTACGCCTGTAATCCCAGCACTTCGGGGGGCCGAGGCAGGCAAATCACGAGGTCAGGAGATCAAGACCATTCTGGCTAACATGATGAAACCTCGTCTCTACTAAAAATACAAAAAATTAGCCAGGAGTGCTTGCAGGCGCCTGTAGTCCCAGCTACTCGGGATGCTGAGGTGGAGCTTGCAGTGAGCCGAGATCACACCACTGCACTCCAGCCTGGGCGACAGAGCTAGACTCCATCTCAAAAAAACAAACAAACAAACAAACAAAAACCCTGAAACCAAAAACCAAAACAATCCTAAAGACTGCTGTAGCCTAATGAGAGGTTGATATAGTTTGGGTCTGTGTCCCTGCCCAAATCTCATGTGGAAATTAATTCCCACTGTTGGAGATGGGGCCTGCTGAGAGCTGATTGGATCACAGGGGTGGATTTCCCTCTTGGTACTGTCCTGAGTTCTCATGAGATCTTTTGTTTAAAAGTGTGTAGCACTTACCCACCGCCACCCCAGACCCCATCTTGGTCCTGCTCCTGCCATATACGACACCTGCTCCTGCTTTGCCTTCCACCACGAGTGAAAGCTCCCTTGAGGCCTCCCCAGAAGCAGATGCTGCCATGCTTCCTATACAGCCTGCAGAACTGTGAGCAAATTCAACCTCTTTTCTTTATAAATTACCCAGCCTCAGGTATTTCTTTATAGCAGTGTGGGAATGGACTAATACAGGGGTAGAAAAACAGGATCATAAGGTGTGATATGGGCCATAAAAATATTCTACTAACATGAGGCTGATGTTCATAGGAAAGAACAATTATTTCCCCCTAATTTTTTTTTTCTTTTTTGTTGCGGGCACAGAAAATTGGGGAAGAATTTATGGGGGCAGTGCTATTTGAACAAGACCTTGTAATGTTCCTGTTTCATCTCTGATGGTGTCTTAATTCTTCAGGACTCAAAAATATGTTTTTCTTTCTCACTGGAATGAAGTTGCTATTCTGTGCTTTCTAGTGTAAAATAATTTTTAAAATATGGATAACATTTCAACTCATTTAAAATTTGTAGGCCAGGTGCAGTGGCTCATGACTGTAATCCCAGCACTTTGGGAGGGTAAGACAGGTGGATCACGTGAGGCCAGGAGTTCAAGACCAGCCTCATCAACATGGCAAAACCCTGTCTCTACTAAAAATACACGAATTATCTAGGTGTGGTAGTGCATGCCTGTCATCTCAGCCACTCAAAAAAAAAAAAAAAAAGAAAGTAACTTTTCTTTTTCTCTCCCCTCCCCCCACCTTTCTTTTCTCTTCTCTTCTCTTCTCTTCTCTTCTCTTCTCTTCTCTTCTCTTCTCTTCTCTTTCTTTTCTTTCTGACAGTGTCGCTCTGTCACCCAGGCTTGAGTGCAGTGGTGCGATCTCGGCTCACTGCAGGCTCTGCCTCCCGGGTTCATGCCATTCTCCTGCCTCAGCCTCCCGAGTAGCTGGGACTACAGGCGCCCGCCACCACGCCTGGCTAATTTTTTGTATTTTTAGTAGAGACGGGGTTTCACTGTGTTAGCCAGGATGGTCTCGATCTCCTGACCTCGTGATCCGCCCGCCTTGGCCTCCCAAAGTGCTGGGATTACAGGCGTGAGCCACCGCGCCCAGCCAAGAAAATAACATTTTTGGAGAGTATCTAAAATTTTTTTCTTTATTATTGGTCTTTATTTCCGGTCACTTCGTGATATCAGTTTTAATAGTCCTTTTCTGAAATAGTTATTCATTCTACTTGTTTTCCTGAAAAAAATTTTGCGTTCATATTTATAATAAGAGACTTGTATCCAGAATATGGAAGGAACTCTTAACAACTGAATAAGAAGAAGACACTTGCTGGATGTGGTGGCTCACGCCTATAATCCCAGCACTTTGAGAGGCCAAGATGGGTGGATCACAAGGTCACAAGCTTGAGACGAGCCTGGCCAACATAGTGAAACCCCGTCTCTACTAAAAATACAAAAGTTAGGGCATGGTGGCACACGCCTATAGTCCCAGCTACTCAGGAGGCTGAGGCAGGGGAATTGCTTGAACCCAGGAGATGCAGGTTGCTGTGAG
This sequence comes from Homo sapiens, assembly GCF_000001405.40. Taxonomy (NCBI): domain Eukaryota; kingdom Metazoa; phylum Chordata; class Mammalia; order Primates; family Hominidae; genus Homo; species Homo sapiens. The sequence continues at coordinate 47,489,861 of NC_000003.12, read as the reverse complement.
CCGAGACTGCCACTGCACTCTAGCCTGGGCAACAGAGCGAGACTCTGTCTCAAAAACAGAAAGAAAGAAAGAAAGGGGTGGGGGGAGGGGGGGAAGAGGAGGGCAGGGGGAAGAAAGAATAAAAGAAAGAAGACACTTGCCGGGCACAGTGGCTCATTTCTGTAATCCCAGCACTTTGGGAGGCTGAGACGGGTGGATCACTAGGTTAGGAGTTCAAGACCAGCCTGATCAACATGGTAAAACCCCATCTCTACTAAAAATACAAAAATTAGCTGGGTGTGGTGGTGCGCACCTATAATCCCAGCTACTTGGGAGGCTGAGGCAGGAGAATCACTTGAACCCAGGAGGTGGAGGTTGCAGTGAGCCGAGATCACGCCATTGCACTCCAGCCTAGGTGACAGAGTGAGACTCCATGTCAAAAAAAAGAAGAAGAAGAAGACACATAATCCAGTTAAAAAATGGGCAGCAAGCTGGGCATGGTGGCTCATGCCTGTAATCATAGCACTTTGGGAGGTCGAGGCAGGAGAATTCCTTGAGGCCAGGAGGTCAAGACCAGCATGGACAACATAGTGAAATCATGTCTCTACAAAAAATTTAAAAAAAAATACCTGTGTGTGGCCAGGCGCAGTGGCTCACGCCTGTAATCCCAACACTTTGGGAGGCCGAGGCAGGCAGACCACGAGGTCAGGAGATCGAGACCATCCTGGCTAACAAGGTGAAACCCCATCTCTACTAAAAAATACAAAAAAAATTGGCCGGGCTCGGTGGCGGGCGCCTGTAGTCCCAGCTACTCAGGAGGCCGAGGCAGGAGAATGGCATGAACCCAGGAGGCAGAGCTTGCAGTGAGCTGATATTGCGCCACTACACTCCAGCCTGGGCAACAGAGCAAGACTCCGTCTCAAAAAAAAAAAAAAAATACCTGGGTGTGGTGGTGCATGGCTATAGTCCAAGCTACTCAGGAGGCTAAAGTGGGAGGATTGCTTGCACCCAGGAAGTTAAGGCAACAGTCAGTGAGCAATTATTGCACTACTGCACTCCAGCCTGGGTGATGCAGTGAGATGCTGTCCTATTTTTTTGAGACAGTCTTGCTTTGTCACCCATGCTGAAGTGCAGCACAATCTCAGCTCACTGCAAGCTCTGCCCCCCAGGTTCAAGCAGGTCTCCTGCCTCAGCCTGCCACGTAGCTGGGACTACAGGCATGCACCACCATGCCCAGCTAATTTTCGTATTTTTAGTAGAGATGGGATTTCACCATGTTGGCCAGGCTGGTCTCGAACTCCCGGCCTCAAATGATCCACCTGCCTTGGCCTCCCAAAGTGTTGGGATTACAGGCATGAGTCACCGTGCTTGGCTGAGACCCTGTCTCTTTAAAAAAAAAAAAAAAGGCGGAATATTGGAATAGACATCAAAGCAGACATCGGAATGGCTAACATGCGTATATAAGTGCTCAACATTATTAGGGAAGTACAAATTAAAACCACAGTGAGGGCTGGGCACAGTGGCGTGTGCCTGTAATCCCAGCACTTTGGGAGGCCGAGGCGGGCAGATCACAAGATCAGGAGTTCGATACCAGCCTGGCCAATATGATGAAACTCTATCTCTACTAAAAATACAAAAATTAGACAGGCTTGGTGGTCCCAGCCTGTAGTCCCAGCTATTCGGGAGGCTGAGGCAGAAGAATCGCTTGAACCCAGGAGGCGGAGGTTGCAGTGAGCCAAGATCGCGCCACTGCACTCCAGCCTGGGTGACAGAGCGAGACACCATCTCAAAAAAAAAAAACCACCATGAGATACTACTACATAGCCACTAAAATGGCTATATCAAAAAGACTGACAGTAACAAGTGCTGACAAGGATGTGAGGAAATAGGAACCCTCATATCATACATTGCTAGTGGGAATGTAAAATGGGGCAGTCACTTTGGAAAATAGTTTGGCAGTTTCTTAAAATGTTAAACCTAGGCTGGGTGCAGTGACTCAAGCCTGTAATCCCAGCACTGGGAGGCCGAGGTAGGTGAATCACTTGAGCCCAGGAGTTTGAGACCAGCCTGGCCAGCATGGTGAAACCCCATCTCTACTAAAAATACAGAAAATTAGCTGGGCGTGGTGGTACACGCCTGTAATCCCAGCTACTCAGGAGGCTAAGGCACGAGAATTGCTTGAACCCAGGAGGTGGAAGTTGCTGTGAGCTGACATCGCGTCACTGCACTTCCAGTATGTGACAGAGAAGACCCTGTCTCAAAATAAATAAATAAATAAATGAATAAATAAATACTATATGACTCAACCCATTCAATTCATAGCTATCTACCCAAAAGAAATGAAAACAAAGTTCTACACAAACTCTTGTGTGGTGACAAAAGTGACTCCATCTTGGATGCTAATTTGCCATGTTGACCTCAGATTAACCGCAGTCCTGTGAATGCCTCCTGATTCCTTGTTTATTTACTGTCTTTAATGTAAGAATATGTACTCACAATATATCCTACCTTTAGGTCAAAGCAACCTTGATGTTATCACGCAACTCATTCTGGCCTGTTCTAGAGGGTTGCCTTTCATTGTCTCTATAGTGCACATACCCTTTTTCCTGTGGTATATAAGTCCCGGGTCTGGGGAATAATGGTGTGGAGATCTACCTGACTTGTTGCTGACCAAGACCATGCTTGTGTCCATAAGTTCCCTAATAAATTGCCCTCTGCTGATAAACTGGATTTGTCTGCCTTGTTCTTTGGTTTCTCAGCTCCTTCTGCATTTGGGGGTCATTTCGCATATATGGCCCTTTCATGGAATAACTTGCATGGGAATATTCACAGCTGTGTTTATTATAATAGCTGAAAAGTGGAAAAAATCCAAATGTCCATCAACTGATGATAAAAATCATCATGTAGTCTATCTGTGCAGTGGAATGTTAGCAGTAAAAAAAGGAATTAAAGTACTGATACATTCTGCAACATGGGTGAACCTCAAAAGCAGTATGCTAGTCGGGCACATACCGGTAGTCTCAGCTACTCAGGAGACTGAGGCAGGAGGATCACTTGAGCCCAGGAGTTCAATGCTGTAATGTGCTGTGATCATGTCTTGTGAATAGCCACTGTACTCCACCCTGGGCAACATAGTGAGACCAAAAACCATTAAGCCAGATACAAAAGATAGGCCAGGCGCAGTGGCTCACACCTGTAATCCCAGCACTTCAGGAGGCTGAGGCAGGCATATCACTTGAGGTCAGGAGTTCGAGACCAGCCTGGCCAACATGGTAAACTCTCATCTCTACTAAAAATACAAAACTTAGCCGGGTGTGTTGGTGGGCTCCTGTAATCCCAGCTACCCGGGAGGCTAAGGCAGGACAAATTGCTTGAACCCAGGAGGCGGAGGTTTACAGTGAGGCAAGATTGTGCCACTGCACTCCAGCCTGGGCGATAGAGCAATATATATATATATATATGTATATATGTGTGTATATATATATATATGTATATATGTGTATATATATATATATGTATATATGTGTATATATATATATGTGTATATATGTATATATAGTGTGTATATATATATATAGTGTGTGTGTGTGTATATTATATATATATAGTATGATTCCATGTATATGAAATGTCCAGAAAAGGCAAATCTATAGAGATAGATGATAAATTGGTAGTTGCCTGAGGCTGGGAGTGAGAATGGAAAGGGGGTGATGAAAATGTTCTAAAAGAAGATTGTGATGATAGTTTCACCATACATTTACTGAAAGTCACTGAAATATACACTGGACAATGGGTGAATTTTATGGTGTTTACATCTATTGAGGTTACGATCCTGACTCGTAACCACTTACAGCTCTCCTGTAGTAACAAACAGCCCTCAAATCCCAGTTGGCTTAAAACGGACAGCACATTCCTCACTCACATTACATATAGGGGACCATGGGTAATGTGCTGCAGTTCTGCTCCACATGGCTTCTCATCCTGGCACCTGGTCTGAAGGAACAGTTCCAACACAGGACTATGTTCTCCTGGCTAAGGGGAAGAACAAGAGGCACATTCACACAAGCAGTGGCTCTTAAAGCTTCTGCTAGACTTGGTGTAGGTCGTGTTCACTCACGCTTTATTGGCCAAGGCTGACAATGGAGAGGGGAGGTGCACTCATCCAGCCAGGAGGCTCTACAGCCACTGGACATTGGGCAAGGGGTGCATGTGTATGATTGATCAGCTTACAGAGAAGACAACAACGAAATAACTGACTATAGTGATCTTACTCAAGTGATTGGACATTTCTTATTTCTTTCTTTTTTTTTTTTTTTTTTTTTTGAGACAGAGTCTCGCTCTGTCGCCCAGGCTGGAGTGCAGTGGCGCGATCTCGGCTCACTGCAAGCTCCGCCTCCTGTGTTCACGCCACTCTTCTGCCTCAGCCTCCTGAGTAGCTGGGACTACAGGCACCCGCCACCACGCCCAGCTAATTTTTGGTATTCTCAGTAGAGAAGGGGTTTCTTTTCTTTTCTTCTTTTTTTTTTTTTGAGATGGAGTCTAGCTCTGTTGGCCAGGCTGGAGTGCAGTGGTGCGATCTCGGCTCACTGCAAGCTCCACCTCCCGGGTTCACGCCATTCTCCTGCCTCAGCCTCCCGAGTAGCTGGGACTACAGGTGCCCGCCACCACACCCGGCTAATTTTTGTATTTTTAGTAAAGACGGGGTTTCACCTTGTTAGCCAGGATGGTCTCGATCTCCTGACCTCATGATCTGACCACCTTGGCGTCTCAAAGTGTTGGGATTACAAGCGTGATCCACCTCGCCTGGCCGCGATTGGACATTTCTAGGCCCCAGTTTGTTTTAGTTATAAAATCGGGAGACAAGCTGGCCGTGGTGGCTCACACCTGTAATCCCAACACTGGGAGGCCAAGGCGGGCGGATCACGAGATCAGAAGATCGAGACCATCCTGGCTAACACGGTGAAAACCCGTCTCTACTAAAAATACAAAAAATTAGCCCGGCATGGTGGCGGGCGTCTGTAGTCCCAGCTACTCTGGAGGGTGAGGCAGGACAATGGCGTGAACCCGGGAGGCGGGGCTTGCAGTGAGCCGAGATTACGCCACTGCACTCCAGCCTGGGCGACAGAGCGAGACTCCGTCTCAAAAAAAAAAAAAAAAAAAATGGGGAGAAAAGAGTGCCCATTTCATGGGTTTTATTGGGGTTGTTAGGATAAGTAAGCAATGACATATAAAGTAGGCCTGGTAACTGGTTTAAGGATTAGCCACTGCTGCTGTTCTTTTTATTAATTATTATTATTATTTTTTGAGACTGAGTCTTGCTCTGTCACCCAGGCTGGAGTGCAGTGGCATGATCTCGGCTCACTGCAGCCTCTGCCTCCTGGGTTCAAGCAATTCTCCTGCCTCAGCCTCCCGAGTAGCTGAGACCACAGGCGTGCACCACCACGCCCAGCTAATTTTTGTATTTTTAGTAGAGATGGGGTTTCCATGTTGGCCAGGCTGGTCTCGAACTCCTGACCTCAGGTGATCTGCCCACCTCGGCCTCACAAAGTGCTAGGATTACAGGCATGAGCCACCACGCCTGGCTGACTGCTGTTGTTCTTATTGCCTGACAAGCTCTTACCCTATAAGGCCCTACCCAAAATCACATCAGCACCTTCTTCATGATTCCTGGTCTTTGGTTTCCAATTCCCTTTTCCTCATAGCATTTGGAAGCTCAGTGGCAGAAGTCCAGGGGCTTTGGGGATAGGTGGATCAACATGTGATGATGCCTCTGCAACACAGCAACTGTGGAACCTCAGAGAAGTTGTCAGAGCTCTGGATGCAATGGTTTTTACAACTTAAAATGGGGTTTATCGGCCAGGCGCGGTGGCTCATGCCTATAGTCCCAGCACTTTGGGAGGCCGAGGCGGGTGGATCACCTGAGGTCAGGAGTTAGAGACCAGCCTGGCCAACATGGCGGAACCCCGTCTCTACTGAGAAAACAAAAAACAAAAATTAACCAGGCATGGTGGCGTGTGCCTGTAATCCCAGCTACCGGGGGCGGCTGAAGCAGGAGGATCGCTTGAACCTGGGAGGCGGAGCTTGCAGTGAGCTGAGTTCCTGCCACTGCTCTCCAGCCTGGGCAGCAGAGCGAGACTCCGTCTCAAAAAAATAAAAATAAAAAAGAAGGGGTTTATCTTACCTGCCTCTAAAGGTCATCACAAGGATTATTTGAGATAAATATATTGTAAAACCTGCTTCTGGCAAGAACCCAACAATCAATAATTGGTTATTATTATGGGCTATTATGACCTCTGTAATAAACCTTATATTTCCTATAAGGTTTTGTTTAAAGGTTCAACACTAAGACAGTTAACTTCTTTAGTACAGGAAATTAACTTATTGTATTCCTGGTCTCTGACACATGGTAGGAATTTGATAGGTAATAAAGACATTGAATAAATGTATTCATTCAACTTTGACATTTTAAATATTTTTAAATGATTGTATCATGGTTATTGAAGCTACCATTGGGGCCAGGTGCGGTGGCTTATGCCTGTAATCCCAGCATTTTGGAAAGCCAAGGTGGGCGGATCACGAGGTCAAGAGATTGAGACCATCCATCCTGGCCAACATGGTGAAACCCTGTCTCTACTAAAAATACAAAAATTAGCTGGCTGTGGTGGCGCGTGCCTGCAGTCCCAGCTACTCAGGAGGCTGAGGCAGGAGACTTACTTGAATCCAGGAGGTGGAGGTTGCAATGAGCTGAGATCGCGCCACTGCACTCCAGCCTGGGCGACAGAGTGAGACTCTATCTCAAAAAAAAAAAAAAGCTGGGCGCGGTGGCTCACGCCTGTAATCCCAGCACTTTGGGAGGCCAAGGCAGGCGGATCACGAGGTCAGGAGATCGAGACCATCCTGGCTAACATGGTGAAAACCCGTCTCTACTAAAAATACAAAAAATTAGCTGGGCATGGTGGTGGGCGCCTGTAGTCCCAGCTACTCGGGAGGCTGAGGCAGGAGAATGGTGTGAACCCGGGAGGCGGAGCTTGCAGTGAGCTGAGATTACTCCACTGCACTTCAGCCTGGGCGACAGAGCGAGACTCCATCTCAAAAAAAAAAAAAAAAGCTACCGTTTATTTCAGTGTAGGCATTTTACATGTGTTCACCCTCCAATTTTATTGTTTTCAAAACCCACAGCTGTTGGTGTTGTTTGCATCTTGGAACCTGACTCCTAATTCGAGGTTCCCTGAGGTGAAGTTAATTCTCCCAGCCACAGAGGTACTGCTTGTGTCAGAGCCAGGATTTGAATAAAAGGAGTCTGGCCCTGAAGCAGCTCTTTCCACTTTAAGATGTTGCCAGCTGCTATCACTAATGGCTAATTCATGATAAGCATGATCCTCAGTGTGAGTGATTGCAAAGACACATCCACATAATCATGAAACTCCTTTATTGTGCTCATGACAGGGTGAGGCAGCTGGGCAGTGGGCTGGAACCTGGAGTCTTGGGTCCCAGAAGGCGGCCCTCTGTTCAGTTCTCAGAGTGACCTTGGACACATCATCTCCTCTCTGCAGAGAAATTTTCTACATTTGTAAAATAAACTTAGCCTCTATATTTCAAGATTGTTCTGAGGATTAATTGAGATCAGGTTTGAGAATTGGCCCAGGGTAGAAGCTCAAGTATTAGAAATTGTTATCATTTCTTGATTTCCATGCCACATTTAGTTTTTAAAGTTTTTGAATTTACCTTTCTTTTTTTTTTTTTTTTTTTTTTTTGAGACAGTGTGATACCTTACCTTGTTTTAATATGAATAGACTCTTCCTTAGCTGAGAAAGCCGGACAGACTCCATTTGGCTCCTTCATTTGCAAGACATCAAGGGCTCCTTACCCACCCCCTTCCTCAAGGACTTAACTTGTGCAAGCTGACTCCCAGCACATCAAAAAGTGCAATTAACTGATAAGGTACTGTGGCAAGCTCTGTCCACAGTTCCCAGAAATTCGCTCAGGTGATAGTATCCTAAGCCCCCGCATTTGTGTCCTGTAGATAGCACCCAGAGCCCACGCACCTATCACCTTGTGATGAATTTAAAGCCCCTGCACCTGGAACTGTTTTCCTGTAACCATTTGTCTTTTTAACTTTTTTTGCCTGTTTTTACTTCTGTGAGATTGCTTCAACTCGATTTCCCTTCCCCTTGCCAAACCAAAGTATAAAAGAAAATCTAGACCCTTCTTTGGGGCTGAGAGAATTTTGAGTGCTAGCCGTCTCTCGGTCACTGGCTAATAAAGGACTCCTCAATTCATCTCAAAGTGTGGTGTTTCTCTATAACTCACTCGGTTACAACAACAGAGTCTCACTCTGTTGCCCAGGCTGGAGTGCAGTGTCGTGATCTCAGATCATTGCAACCTCCGTCTCCCAGGTTCAAGGGATTCTCATCCCTCAGCCTCCCAAGTAGCTGGGATTACAGGCATGCATCACCATGCCTGGCTCATTTATGTATTTTTAGTAGAGATGGGGTTTCACCATGTTGGGAGGCTGGTCTCGAACTCCTGACCTTAAGTGATCCGCCCGCCTTGGCCTCCCGAAGTGCTGGGATTACAGGCGTGAGCCACCATGCCTGGCCTGAATTCAAATTCACCTTTCTTTTTTTTTTTTTTTTCGAGACGGAGTCTCGCTCTTTCTCCCAGGCTGGAGTGCAGTGGCGCAATCTTGGCTCACTGCAAGCTCTGCCTCCCAGGTTCACGCCATTCTTCTGCCTCAGCCTCCCCAGTAGCTGGGACTACAGGCGCCCGCCACCACGCCTGGCTAATTTTTTGTATTTTCTTTAGTAGAGACGGGGTTTCACCATGTTAGCCAGCATGGTCTCAATCTCCTGACCTCGTGATCCGCCTGCCTTGGCCTCCCAAAGTGCTGGGATTACAGGCATGAGCCATCGTGCCCGGCCTGAATTCACCTTTCTTATGGGGAACAATCTGAAGTAAAGTTGAGCTCTACCTAGTTAGGGCTAAATGGAACTGTTCCATTTGATTTACTATATATAAAAACTAAAATCAGGTTTCTGCAACTTAACTGGAAGTGCATCAAAAATAAGATAGGGGCTGGGTATGGTGGCTCACACCTATAATCCTAGCACTTGTGGAGGCCAAGATGGGAGAGTTGCCTGAGGCCAAGAGTTCAAGACCAGCCTGGGCAACAGAGAGACCCTCATCTCTATTTAAAAAACTCTGAAATTTAGCTGGGAGTGGTCATACCCACCTGTGGTCCCAGCTACTTGGGAAGCTTGCTTGAGCCCAGGAGGTCAAGGCTGCAGTGAGCTGTGATTGTGCCACCGCATTCCAGCCTGGACCATAGAGCAATACCCTATCTCTTAAAATAAAGGATTGATACGAAATCACCTTTGCAAAATTATGGCAGTAAGAAAAACCTGACATGGTTGACTCCATGTTGCTTCCTTTTCTTTTTCTTTTTTTTCTCTCAGCGTGTTGCTCTTGTTGCCCAGGCTGGAGTGCAATGGCACGATCTCGGCTCACCACAACTTCTGCCTCCCAGGTTCAAGCTATTCTCCTGCCTCAGTCTCCTGAGTAGCTGGGATTACAGGCATGCGCCACCACACCTGGCTAATTTTGTATTTTTAGTAGAGACAGGGTTTCTCCATGTTGGTCAGGCTGGTCTCGAACTCCTGCTCAGGTGATCTGCCTGCCTCGGCCTCCCAAAATGCTGGGATTACAGGAGTGAACCACCGTGCCCAGCTCTATCTTGCTTCTAACCTCCAACCTGGGGATAGGCGAAGGTAACTTTGGGAGGAATTTATAGTTCAACCTTAAAGCAAGGATGACATTAGCCCTCTCCAAAACTAAACCGCCTTTGTAAAACTAATGAAAAGCCACAAGTCTAGGATTTTTATAGGAGGGGCCTGAATTCTGCTAAGGTGTAGGTGTAGTTAAATGATAACCAGTCATTGCTCTGGAAGTCACAAGATTTGTAACTTCCTCAGTTACTCCTATAGATAACATCACTATTGTAGAACCTAAGACTTGCCTTTTGAGATGTTTCTTTTCTTTCTTTCTTTCTTTCTTTCTTTTTTTTTTTTTTTTTTTTTTGAGACAGAGTCTCGTTCTGTTGCCCAGGCTAGAGTGCAGCGGCATGATCTCGGCTCACTGCAAGCTCCGCCTCCTGGGTTCATGCTATTCTCCTGCCTCAGCCCCCAGAGTAGCTGGGACTACAGGTGCCCGCCACCACACCCGGCTAATTTTTTGTATATTTAGTAGAGGCGGGGTTTCACCGTGTTAGCTAGGAAGGTCTCGATCTCCTGATCTCGTGATCCACCTGCCTCAGCCTCCCAAAGTGCTGGGATTACAGGCGTGAGCCACCGCGCCCGGCCTTGAGGTGTTTCTTTTCAGACTTTTGCATTTCTGCTGACTCCACCCAGAGGCTGACTCAGCGCTTGAGGACTCCTCCTATGATTGCATCCCCAACCAATCAACATTTCCCATTCCCTAGCACCCTGCCTACCAAACTATCCTTGAAAAACCCTGACCTCTAAGCCTTTGGGGAGACTGATTTGAGTAACAGCTCCATCTTCTGCGTGGCCTTGTGCATCGCCAGCCTTGCGTCAGTGAAACTCTTTACTGCAATGCCAAGGCCTCAGTGAATTGATTTTGTCTGCGCAGTGGGCAAGAAGAACCCTTGGGCAATTACAGATAGATGAATAAAAGGATAGATTTTTTTAGATAGACATGAGATACTAAGCAAAACATTAATAGTTGAATCTAGGGTATATGAGTGTTCACTCTATGGTTCTTTCAACTTTTCTGTTATGTTTTCATATTAAATGTTGTAGGAGGCTGGGCATGGTGGGTCATACCTGTAATCCCGGGATTACAGCGGGTGGATCGATTGGGCCCAGGAGTTCGAGACCAGCCTGGGCAACATGGCAAAAACCTCGTCTCTACTAAAAATACAAAAATAAACCTGGCGCGATGGCGCAAGCCTGTAGTCCCAGCTACTCAAGAGGTTGAGGCACGGGAATCGCTGGAACCTGAGAGGTGGAGGTTGCAGTGAGCCAAGATTGTGCCACTGTGCTCCAGCCTGGGTGACAGAGACTTGGTCTCAAAAAAAAAAAAAAAAGGGCCAGGTGAGGTGGCTCACGCCCGTAATCCCAGCACTTTGAGAGGCTGAGGCGGGTGGATCCCACCTGAGATCAGGAGTTTGAGACAGCCTGGCCAACATGGCGAAACTCTGTCTCTACTAAAAATGCAAAAAAAAATTAGCCAGGCATGGTGGCGCACACCTATAATCCCAGCTACTCAGGAGGCTGAGGTGGGAGAATCACTTGAACCTGGGAGGGGGAGGTTGCTGTGAGCCAACACCTCACCACTGCACTCCAGCCTGGACAACAGAATGAGACTGTGTCTCAAAAAAAAAAAATGTTGTGGGAGAAGCCCAAAAATCATGTCCACTTCATTATATTCCATGGGGGGCATTCTGTAGCAGATTTACCAGGGCCCCATAAACCCCAGCTTCCCCAGAGGCTCCACAGGATTCTCAGTGGGTTCTCTTAGGGCAGTGGAGGATTGTTTGCCATGCTTCAAGGCACAAAGGTACTTAGCTAGGTGCTTGTCAGTTTTGGAGCCTCTTATTTTTTGTGGGGGAGTGTCCAGACTTCACTGAGGGTCAGTCCTCTGCAAACACAGCTTTGATGGAGTGGTTGGGTGGGAAGAGGTGGTGAGTGAGGAGAATGACAGCAGTTCCCAAGGCAGTCTGGCTAAGTCCTGCCATGGAGGTGGTTAAAAGACAGGCTCCTGACCCTCTCTGGAGAGAAGACTTTGGTACAGTGGGCCCAGGGCTCAGGAGGACTCCTTCATGCCCAAGGTTTCTGAGGGGACAAATGATGGTATTTCAAGGGATCAGACCTGGAGAGAGTGATGTCAGGATAGGTAAGGGGTGTAGGTAAGTTCCCCTGAATGCTCTCTATTGTTGCTTCTCTCTCATTTAATACAACAAACAGGATGGGCACGGTGGCTCATGCCTGTAATCCTAGCAGTTTGGGAGGCCAACATGGGAAGGCTGCTTGAGCCCAGGAGTTTGAGACCAGCCTGGGCAACACAGCAAAAGACCCCATCTTGATAAAAATAACAAAAACAAAAATGGCATGGTGGCGCTCATCTGTAGTCCTACCTTCTTGGGAGGATCACTTGAGCCCAGGAGGTTGAGGCTGCAGTGAGCTATGACCACACCACTGCACTCCAGCCTGGGTAAAGGAGTGAGACCTCAAATGTAAAAATAAAAATAACCTAAAAAATTCTTTCTTTCTTTTTTTTTTTCTTTTTTTTTTTGAGACGGAGTCTCGCTCTGTCGCCCAAGCTGGAGTGCAGTGGCATGATCTCGGCTCACTGCAAGCTCTGCCCCCCGGGTTCATGCCATTCTCCTGCTTCAGCCTCCCGAGTAGCTGGGACTACAGGCACCTGCCACCACGCCCGGCTAATTTTTTTTTTGTTTGTTTTGTATTTTTAGTAGAGATGGGGTTCCACCGTGTTAGCCAGGATGGTTTCGATCTCCTGACCTCATGATCTGCCCGTGTTGGCCTCCCAAAGTGCTGGGATTACAGGCGTGAGCCACCGCGCCCAGCGAATACTTTCTTTATAGGATCAAAATTCCCATATTAAGCCAAAAGACAATGCTGAAAATGTCATAACCCTGAAAGTCACTTTGGGCCAAGGCCCACTGTCCCCATTGTTACTTTCATTGTGACAATAGTGTGGTGGGCAAGGAGGGAGGCCAGAGTCCGGTGGGAACTGGGTTTTAGGAGGAGGTATCTGAAGAATGTGTAGTGGGTCGGGGGCTGGTGCGGTCAGAAGGGCCACCTCTAATTTCTGCCTTGCATTGGTGACTAGATCTGCACTTTCTGGAACTCCCAGAGAAGTTTGCTGGTGCCTTTGAGGGCAGGTACAGGGCCTGCCTTATCCAGGTAGCCCTGGGGTGGGTGCGGGTGTCTCGGGCAGTAGGCAGGGGCTGAGGGGAGGCTTACCTCTGACACAAGACCTGGGTACAGCAAGGGCATGCAGTAGCATGATCAAAGTCCCCCCAGAGTGGTCCGGGCAGCGTCTCTAGTTGGGCCAGAGCTGGGCAGGTGGGGACCTGTGTTTCCCTCGAGGGGAGGCAGCCTCCCCTTCCCCTTCTGTGAGGCCCTGTAACAAGACCTACCTCGGATTTTCAGGAGGGCCAAATGCGAGGACATGTACAATACCAGCTCCGCAACTGACACCTAGTAAACAGTGAACGTAGCTGTTGCTATTATAACAAATACCTGTTCCCTGTGGAAAATGGTTAAATGTCAACTTATGCTTTTAAATGTCTATAGGGAAACTAGTTTTATGGACATTATTTATTCTTCTCATCTGCATTTGCAGTGTATCTCGGCCCAGCTGCTTCTAATTTTTTGCCATTATAAAACAGGGAACATGAGCATCTTGTGCAGGGTGGGTTTTTTGTTTTTTGTCTCACTGTGGCCTCGACCTCCCGGGCTCAGGTGATCCTCCTACCTCAGCCTCCTGAGTAGCTGGGACCACAGGTGCGCGCCACCACAGCCGGCTAATTAATTTTACTTGTGGAGACGGAGGTCTCCTACGTTGCCCAAGTTGGTCTCTAACTCCTCGGCTCAAGCGATCTTCGCGCCTTGGACTCCCACAGTGTTGGGATTACAACCGCGAGCCACCGTGCCCGGCTTTCTGCAAGTTCTTGATGACCGATGAGAGCCGGTGGGCCCAAACCCGGCGGGCCCTAACCCGGCTTCACGCTCCGCCCGGCCCGGCCCGGCCCGGCCGTCCATACTTCCCTCCGGTGTCCACCAGAGGGCGAACGGGAGACGCGAATGTGGTTCGACTACGCATGCGCACGCCGCTGGGCGCACGTGCGGAGGGCGGCGGGGCGGGAGGGTAAAGGTAGGAGGTGAGAGGTGAAGGGGCGGGCACCCGGCGGCCAGGAGAGAGAGGGAGGGCGCCACGCACCGGACTGCGGGCCGAGAGCGCGCACGCCGCGCTCCGCCCCTGCTGCCGCCCCCGTCGCCGCCGCCGCCGCCGCCGCAGCTTGGGAGGTGCTGCCACCACAGGTACCGTCACGCGGGTGCTCAGGGCGCCTGCCCGCGGGCCCCAGCTCGACCCCAGCCGCGTGGAGCTGGGAGTTCCGGAATGGGGGCCGCTAGGTTCGGGGGTGCGTGGGCATGGCGCTGTCCAGCAGCCGTGCGGGCCGGCCCTGGAGACCGCAGGCCGGCAAGGAGGCAGGGCCGCGCGTCCCCACCCCCAACCCGGCCGTGTCCCTGCACCGGCCGGCCCCTGGAGCTCCGCGTCCCCACCAGACCTCCGCGGGCCCCTGGTGTGACGGGGGGAGATGCGCGGCGTCGCATCCCCTGGCCTAGTTGCTCCGGGAAGCTGTTGTAGAACCTGCTTTGGTGCTGTTTGGGTTTTCCGGAGTGCGGGGGAGAGCAGGTTCTCCACTTTGCCTCTTTTGGAAGATCTTATTGAGAGACAACGCTAGTTGCTTTGCTGGTTTTGCTTGGTTTCTAGTTTTCCGTATTGCTTAAACCTCAACTTTGCTCACTAATGTTGCTTCTGTTTACTTCTGAGTGGGTTTATGACCTCAGTATTTAACCGGCTTATAATGTCACGATAGCGTTAGTTGCAGGGAGCCCTGGCTCCGGACTGTTTGAATCACAGAAAGTTGTGCAGATGGGAATGCGGAGGGGGGGGCAGTGAGTCGCTGTGGGGGCTCTGGCAGGGGTCAGCCCCTGGTTCGGGTCACTCACTGCTCCACCTTGTATGGCGACAGTCGGAGCTAGGTGAATAAACTCTTTCTGGGGATTTTGTAATACTTATCGTGAAGCGGCCATAGAAAAGGTTTAATGTTAGCGTTGCGTGTGTTTCTTTTATTTGGCCAAAAATTTGTGGAGTTTGGTTATGCCGTGTCTTTATTGGTTTGCTGTCAGGTCAGGATATTGAGCAAAAGACTGACGCTTTTATTAGGGAGTCAGGGTCGAGGGTGTCTAGTTAGTGCTGTATCCATTTTAGGTGTTCCTCAGTGATGCCTAAAGACTTGTTTTTTGTTTGTTTGTTTGGAGACAGGGTCTCACTCTGTCTCCCAGGCTGGAGTGCAGTGGCGCGATCTCGGCTCACTGCAGCCTTGATTTCCTGGGCTCAGGTGATCCTCCCACCTCAGCCTCCCCAGTAGCTGGGACAGCAGGTGTGTGCCACCACGCCCGGCTAATTTTTGTATTTTTTTGTAGAGATGGGGGTCTTGCTGTGTTGCCCAGGCTGGTCTTTAACTCCTGGGCTCAAGCATTATACAAGCCTTGGCCTCCCAAAGTGTTGGTATTACAGGCGTGAACCACCGTGCCCGGCCAAGACCTGTATCTTTTAAAATGTGTGTTAATATAGTTTACATTTTAGGTGTTTTACACATTTGCAGTATTCCCACTGAGCACATGATGTAAAAAACACTATATAAATATATTTAACACTGTATAAATATATTTCCATATTTATTCTTTTGGTCATAAATTGAAATGGAAAGAATTAGGCTTTTTAAATTTATTATGAACTGATCTGATGTTTGAATGCTCTCTCTTTTCTTTCTTTCTTTTTTTTTTTGAGATGGAGTCTCGCTCTGTCGCCCAGGCTGGAGTGCAGTGGCGCCATCTCGGCTCACTGCACCCTCCGCCTGCCGGGTTCAAGCGATTCTCCTGCCTCAGCCTCCCAAGTAGCTGGGACTACAGGCGCCCGCCACCATGCCCGGCTACTTTTTTGTATTTTTAGTAGAGACGGGGTTTCACCGTGTTAGCCAGGATCGTCTCTATCTCCTGACCTCATGATCCGTCCGCTTCGGCCTCCCAAAGTGCTGGGATTACAGGCGTGAGCCACCGCGCCTGGCTTGAATGCTCTCTCTTTTCTTTTGCTGTTGCGGCAAAAACGCCCCCTCTCTAGAGATCTCCGTGGACTTTATAATCACTGGTTTGGGGCCCTTCCCCCGTTCCCTCAGTCACTGTCATTAGGTGGGTAAAAAGTTTACTACAAGTTTATTACTAGAAAAATGGAGGCATATGCGATTCAGGAATTAAATAAACTAAAAAAGGAAAGAAAAAGTGTGCCTGTGGGCTTCACTGCAGGTATGTATATTAACATTTGGTGGTAGACTTTAGGGATGTTTTCTCTCTCAGAATCTAGCCATGCATGTGAATGTGCCTCAGGGATCCTGGAATGACAGGTTCATGTGCTGTTTGCTTACTCTCACCATTGGTGGTTGCCAGTGTTTTACCGGCTCTGACAGGTACTTCATATACAGTTTGTGTCATCACCCCCGTTGAACAGATGAGAGGACTCCTCATAGAGAAGCTGGGTTCTTACAAGGTCACCCAGCTTGTCAAGGGTGGATCATCCTTCAAACCAGGTCTGCCACACCTCTGCCACCTGAGCTCCTTCCGTTAGAACTTGCTACCTTACTGAGTTGGCTAAAGAAACAAGGTTCAGGTGTCGTCTTTTGCCACTCAGAGTAATAATTCTGGGTGATATCGAGCACTTGTGCTGTTTAGGCAGTGTCCTAGGTACTGTAATATTAGCTTATCTCACTTAGTTTTCATAATAACCAGGTGAGATAACACTGTTATCACCCCCTTTACGGAGAGTTTTAGAAAAGTTATTTGACTGGCCCTGGGTCACCTAGCGAATTTGAGACGGAGTGTGTTGTGTGCAAACTGAGATTTGGCTGACAAAAGAGTCCATCCTTTTATGCTGTTCTTGTACCTGCTTCCACAGTCTGTTTTTTTTTTTTTTTTTTTGAGATGGAGTTTCGCTCTTCTTGCCCAGGCTGGAGTGCAATGGCGTGATCTCAGCTCACTGCAACCTCCGCCTCCCAGGTTCAAGCGATTCTCCTGCCTCAGCCTCCTGAGTAGCTGGGATTACAGGCATGCACTACCACGCCTGGCTAATTTTGTATTTTTAGTAGAGGCGAGGTTTCTCCCTATTGGTCAGGCTGGTCTCAGACTCCCGATCTCAGGTGATCCGCCCGCCTCGGCCTCCCAAAGTGCTGGGATTACAGGCGTGAGCCACTGCACGCAGCCCACAGTCTTTTCTGTTGCTCATTGGCAGGTAAGGGTAGTGGAAGAAGGTGGTAGGGGTGGTGGGAGGAAGCCAGCGTCACTGACTCTAGTGTGGGGATGGTGGAACTCAGCAAGAAGGTGACAGCAATTTGACCACTGCCATTTGACAGTTTCTGCTTAAGCAGTCAAGGGCACTAACCTAGAATGGTTGCAGGGATGCTAAATCATAAGGAAGCTTTGCAGTGGGGTCCAAAGTTGGTATGTAAGCATAAAGATGCACGTGGATCTCAGGAAAAAAATAAAACTAATTTTCCTGTTTATTTCAGCTTCATTTAATTATTATTATTATTATTATTATTTTATTTTATTTTTTTTTTTTGAGACGGAGTCTCGCTCTGTCGCCCAGGCCGGACTGCGGACTGCAGTGGCGCAATCTCGGCTCACTGCAAGCTCCGCTTCCCGGGTTTACGCCATTCTCCTGCCTCAGCCTCCCGAGTAGCTGGGACTACAGGCGCCCGCCACCGCGCCCGGCTAATTTTTTTGTATTTTTAGTAGAGACGGGGTTTCACCTTGTTAGCCAGGATGGTCTCGATCTCCTGACCTCATGATCCACTCGCCTCGGCCTCCCAAAGTGCTGGGATTACAGGCGTGAGCCACCGCGCCCGGCCCCATTTAATTATTATTATTATTTTTTTGAGATGGAGTCTCACTCAATCTGTTGCCCAGGCTGGAGTGCATTGATGCTATCTTGGTTTACTGCAATCTTGGTCTCCTGCCTCAGCCTCCCGAGTAGCTGGGATTACAGCTGTGCACCACCACACCTGGCTAATTTTGTATTTTTAGTAGAGATGGGGTTTCACCATATTGGTTAGGCTGGTCTCAAACTCCTGGCCTCAAGTGATCCACCCACCTTAACCTCCCAAAGTGCTGGGATTACAGGCATGAACCACCATAATAATTTTTATTATGTACTTTATAATGTACACTGTATTATCACTGTAGTACATATATAATTTATATGTAAGTGTACATGTATTGGGAGCATATACTTGAATTTTTGTTGTTGGGCATTCATGATCAAAACATTTGGGAACCAGTGGCTTATTTGATATTTAGCATTTTCAGAAAGCATAAAATATACAAGGTGTTGGCCAGGCACAGTGGCTCATGCCTGTAATCTCAGCACTTTGGGAGGCTGAGGAGGGTGGATCACCTGAGGTCAGGAGTTCGAGACCAGCCTGACCAACATGTGTGAAACCCCGTCTCCACTATAAATACAAAAGTTAGCCAGGTGTGGTGGCATGCGCCTGTAGTATACCTCTAAGTATACTAGAACTATGTTGATGTTTTCCTCTCTCTGCCTTGGCCACTAGGAAGCTCAGAGTCAAGTTTGTATCCAGGGTCTTCCAGCTTGTGCTTAAGTGTTTTAATCGTCTAGATTGTTTTTAATGGTTTCTGCTCTTTGTCTCAGGTTTTACTATAAAATACATAACACATTTCCTTCCCGTTCTAAATATTACTGTGATTGTATTCTTATAGCCAAATCTTTGTTCTTATTCTTATTTTATTTTATTTTTTATACTGTTGAATCCCTCTGAGCCTTGCCTTTCCCTGCCTCCTCTTCTGTACTCATTTTTGCTAAAATTTGTAAGGGGATAAATTCTTGAAAAGCTTTGCACATTTTGAAGACTTGTTTGTTTTTTAATATTTATTATAGTAAAACTCAAATATACATCCAAATAGAGAGCAATAAGCCCTTGTGTACCTATCACTCAGTTATGTCTGTCACTTAGTCATTAACTTGGGGACACTCTTGTTTCATCTATATCCTTTAATCCTCATTATACTTTTTTTTGGGGGGAGAAGTTTATTAATTGATAGGTGTTACTTTGGGGTAAATGAGGAGGGAGCCCACTAGTATGCTGGGGAACTGGTAAGGTTTTTTTGTTTTTTTCTTGAAACAGAGTCTTGCTCTTGTCGCCCAGGCTGGAGTGCAGTGGTGCGATCTCGGCTCACTGCAACCTTCGCCCCCCTGGGTTCAAGCGACTCTCCTGCCTCAGCCTCCCAAGTAGCTGGGATTACAGGCACCTGCCACCACACCTGGCTAGTTTTTGTACTTTTAGTAGATGGGATTTCACCATGTTGGCCAGGCTAGTCTTGAACTCCTGACCTCCGGTGATCTGCCTGCCTCGGCCTCCCAAAGTGTTGGGATTATAGGCGTGAGCCACTGCGCCCCGCAAAGGTTCTTTTCTTTGGGATCCTTTCCTGTCCTTAGAGAAGACCCTTTAGCTTTCTGCCTGAGGAGCTGATGCCTAGTTGTCAGGCTTTCTTCTTGCCCAGATAAGGGTGTTAACTCCTGTGTACAGATGTTCACTTAATCCTTTTTACCAGTCCCACATCTCACTATAGCCCTATGCTACACCTGGGTTTCTCCATCCCAAGCCCCTTTAGGGTCTCTAGTGCCAGTCTTCTTCCTCATTGGCTATGTCCCCTAGGTTCTTTTTTATTTTTCCCAACGGTGATGCACTTACTGAGCAGATGCAGTAATCTTCTTACCTGAGCCTACATATAACCATTGGCCTAAATGTATGATGGTTTGCCAGCATCAGCAATAAGACTGGTAATGGGGTAAAAAACAAGTTCTCTTAAGGCTAGCTCTTGATCCCCTGTTGTAAGCTGACCAACTTAATCTGAAAATAATTTGCAGCATGTAAATATTTTAGGATTAGAGCCATCTGTATACACACTTAAAAGTAGTTTTGCTACCATTACATTAGTCTAAAAGAGTTACCTAAGAATGCCAAACGATATTTTGTTCGAATGCCTTGGTTATTTTAATTTAAAAGCATTTCTTTCAAAACCGCTTCTCTCTTCACAATAGTAGAGCTGTGGCAGTGAACTAAGAGGTCAAGGATTCAGTGAATCTGTGGCTAATTTCTTGTTCCAATCTGAGAGCTCTCTTTGCACTATGATCAAAATGGAGTCTTGCCAACTGCCCAGGGTAATAGCCTTGCAAGTCTCTTCCTTGTTGAGCAATGAATATAAGTTCCACATGGCTGGGGAGGCCTCACAATCATGGCAGAAGGTGAAAGAGGAGCAAAGGCATGTCTTACATGGTGGCAGGCAAGCCTCTTCTCATTATACTTTTAAAATTATTTGGTGGCTGGGTGCAGTGGCTCATGCCTGTAATCCCAGCACTTTGGGAGGCCAAGGTGGGTGGATCACTTGAGGTCAGAAGTTCAAGACCAGCTTGGCCAACATGGTGAAACCTTGCCTGTACTAAAAATACAAAAATTAGCAGGGTCATGGTGGCACGCACCTGTAATTCTAGCTACTTGGGAAGCTGAGGAAGAATTGTTTGGACCCAGAGGTAAAGGTTGCAGTGAGCCAGGATCGTGTCACAGCACTCCAGCCTGGGTGACCGAACAAGACTCTCAAAACAAACAAACAAAAATTATTTGGTGATTTTTTTTTTGAGACGGAGTCTCCTTGTCACTCAAGCTGGAATGCAACGGCGTGGTCTCTGCTCACCGCAACCTTTGCCTCCCGGTTCAAGCGATTCTTCTGTCTCAGCTTACCAAGTAGCTGGGACTACAGGCATGTGCCACCACACCCGGCTAATTTTTGTATTTTTTGTAGAGATAGGGTTTCACCATGTTGGCCAGGCTGGTCTTGAACTCCTGACCTCAAGTGATCTGCCCACCTTGGCATCCCCAAGTGCTGGGATTGCAGGTGTGAGCCAACGTGCCTGGCCCATTTTAACCATTTTTAAGTGTACTATTTAGTGACATTAAATGTATTCACATTGTTATGCAACCATCATCACTATCCATTTCCAGAATGTTTTCATTATTCTACATAGAAACTATCGATCCAGGAGCCATATGTAGAAAGCTGAAACTGGATCCCTTCCTTACACCTTATACAAAAATCAATTCAAGATGGATTAAAGACTTAAATGTTAGACCTAAAACCATAAAAACCCTAGAAGAAAACCTAGGCAATACCATTCAGGCCATAGGCATGGGCAAGGACTTCATGACTAAAACACCAAAAGCAATGGCAACAAAAGCCAAAATTGACAAATGGGATCTAATTAAACTAAAGAGCTTCTACACAGCAAAAGAAACTACCATCAGACTGAACAGGCAACCTACAGAGTGGGAGAAAATTTTTACAATCTACCCATCTGACAAAGGGCTAATATCCAGAATCTACAAAGAACTTAAACAGATTTACAAGAAAAAAATCAAACAACCCTATCAAAAAGTGGGTGAAGCATATGAACAGACACTTCTCAAAAGAAGACATTTATGCAGCCAACAGACACATGAAAAAATGCTTGTCGTCACTGGCCATCAGAGAAATGCAAATCAAAACCACAATGAGATACCCTCACACCAGTTAGAATGGGGATCATTAAAAAGTCAGGAAACAACAGGTGCTGGAGAGGATGTGGAGAAATAGGAACCCTTTTACACTGTTGGTGGGACTGTAAACTAGTTCAACCATTGTGGAAGACAGTGTGGCGATTCCTCAAGGATCTAGAACTAGAAATACCATTTGACCCAGCCATCCCATTACTGGGCATATACCCAAAGGATTATAAATCATGCTGCTATAAAGGCACATGCACACGTATGTTTATTACGGCACTATTCACAATAGCAAAGACTTGGAACCAACCCAAATGTCCATCAATGATAGACTGGATTAAGAAAATGTGGCACATATACACCATGGAATACTATGCAGCCATAAAAAAAGGTGAGTTCATGTCCTTTATAGGTACATGGATGAAGCTGGAAACCATCATTCTGAGCAAACTATCGCAAGGACAGAAAACCAAACACCGCATGTTCTCACTCATAGGTGGGAATTGAACAATGAGAACACCTGGACATGGGAACATCACTCACCAGGGCCTGCCGGGGGATGGGGGGAGGGGGGAGGGATAGCATTAGGAGATAAACCTAATGTAAATGACGAGTTAACGGGTGCAGCACACCAACATGGCACATGTATGCATATGTAACAAACCTGTATGTTGTGCACATGTACCCAAGGGCCAGTGGGTGGGAATTGGTATCTCATTGTGATTTCAATTTGTATTTTCTAAGGAATATTGATGTTGAGCAATTTTTCATATGTTGATTGGCCATTTGTATATCTTCTTTTTTGTTGTTGTTTGGGTTTTTTTTTCTTTTTCTTTTTCTTGAGACGGGGTCTTCTTGCTCTGTTGCCCAGACTGCAGTGGCGCAATCACAGTTGACTGCAGCCTCAAGCCTCTGGTCCCAAGTGATCCTCCCACCTCAGTCTTCCAAGTAGCTGGGACTGCAGGCATGTGCCCCCATGCCTGGCTTATATTCATATTTTTTGTGGAGATGGGGTTTCACCATGTTGCCTAGGCTGGCCTTGAACTCCTGAGCTCAAGTGACCCATCCACCTCAGCCTTCCAAAGTGGTGGGATTACAGGCATGAGCCACCCCACCGAGCCTGTATATCTTCTTTAGAGAAATGTTCATTCAAGTCCTTTTCTCACTTTGAGTTATTAATTGTTATTTTGTTGTTATTGTTGAGTTGTAGGAATTCTTTACAAATTCTGGATATTAAACCCTTGTTAGATATATGATTTGTGAATAGTTTCTCCCATTCTGTTGGTTAGCATTTCACTCTCTTTATTGTGTGATTTGCACAATTTTTAACTTTTTTTTTTTTTTCTTTTTTAAGACAGAGTCTCCCTCAGTCACCCAGGGTGGAGTGCAGTGCTACAGTGTTGGCTCATTGCAGCCTCCACTTCCTGGACTCAAGCAGTCCTCCCACCTCAGCCTCTCAAGTAGCTGAAACTACAGGTGCACACCACCATGCCTGGCTAATTTTTTTTGTATTTATTTTTTTTTAAGATATGGGGTCTTGCCATGTTGTCCAGGCTGGTCTCAAACTTCTGAGCTCAAGCAGTCCGCTTGCCTTGGCTTCCCAAAGTGCTAGGATTAAGGCGTGAGCCACCACGCCCGGCCAAAAGTTTTTAATTTTTATGAATTCCAGTTTATCAATTTTTTTCTTTTGTTGCCTATACTTTTCAATCCTTGCTAAACTCAGCATCATGAAGATCTTTTTCTTATATTTTCTTCTAAGGGCTTTACAGTTTTAGCTCTTCTTTTTTCATTTATTTGATCTATTTTGAGTTAATTTTTGTGTATAAGAGTCCAACTTCACTTTTGCGTGTAACTATCCAGTTTTCCCAGTAGCATTTGTTGAAGAGACTGTCCTTTCCCCAGTGACTGGTCATGGCATCTTTGTCAAAAATCAGTTGATTATATTTGTGAGAGTTTATTTTTGGGTTCTTTTTTCTTCTTCTTTTCTTTTTTTCAGGTTAGATGGGTAGTGCTGACATCATAACAAGGTTCAAGAATGACTCATCTCACATGTGTGTGAAACACCCAGGTATCATACTGATGAACTACAGAAGATCTGGGCTCTCTATTGTTTTATATGTCTGACCTTATGCCAGTACCACATTGTTCTGCTTACTGTAGCTTTATAGTAAGTTTTGAAATCAGGAAGTGTGAGTCCTCAACTTAGTTCTTGTTTTTCAAGTTTGTTTTGGCTATTCAGGGTTCCCACTTTTTTCTTTGGACAAAGTAATGGGGAGAATTTCTTTCTTTTTTTTTTTTTTTTTTTTTGGTTTTTAAGACAGTCTCACTCTGTTGTCAGGCTGGAGTGCAGTGACGCAATCTTGGCTCACTGCAAACTCCACCTCCTGGGTTCAAGCGATTCTCCTGCCTCAGCCTCCTGAGTAGTTGATATTACAGGCACCTGCCACCACGCCCAGCTAATTTTTGTATTTTTAGTAGAGACGGGGTTTCACCATGTTGGCCAAGATGGTCTCGATCTCTTGACCTCATGACCCACCTGCCTTGGCCTCCCAAAGTGGTGGGATTACAGGCGTGGGCCACTGCACCCAGCTTTTTTTTTTTTGTTTTTTTAAACAAGTAAATGGAAAGAAATCCCACGTTCATGGATTGGAAGACAATATTCTTTTTTTTTTTTTGAGACGGAGTCTTGCTCTGTCACCTAGGCTGGAATGCATTGGCGCAGTCACTGCTCACTACAGCCTTGAGCTCCCAGGCTCAAGTGATCCTCCCACCTCAGCCTGCTAAGTAGGTGGGACTACAGGAATGTACTACTGTGCCTGGCTAATTAAAAAATTTTTTGTAGAGATGGAGTCTCACTGTGTTGCCCAGGCTGGTCTTGAGGACTCCAGGGCTCAAGCAGTCCTCCCCACTTGACCTCCCAAAGTGCTGGGTTTACAGGCATGGGCCACCGTGCCTGGCCAGCTGTTAGAATTTTGATAGGGATTGCATTGCATTTTGATATGGATTGCGTTTGTAGATAGCTTTGGATAACGTTGTCATTTAAAGAATATTGTCTTCCCAGCCTGGCCAACATGGTGAAACCCTGTCTCTACTAACAATACAAAAATTATCCAGGTGTGGTGGCATACACCTGTAATCCCAGTTACTCAGGAGGCTGATACAGGAGAATCGCTTGAACCTGGGAGGCGGAGATTGCAGTGAACCGAGATTGTGCCACTGCACTCCAGCCTGGGTGACAGAGCAAGACTCTGTCTAAAAAAAAGAAAAAAAAAAAAGAATATCATCTTCCAATCCATGAAAGTGGGAAAGTGGGATTTCTTTCCCTTTATTTTACGTCTTTAATTTGTTTCAGCAATGTTTCAGTTTATGTCTTTTGTCTCCCTTGCTTAAATTTATTCCTAAGTATTTTATTCTTTTTGATGCTATTATAAATGGAATGTTTTCCTAATTTTGTTTTTAGATTGTTCACTGTCAGTGAACAATAGAAATGCAACTGATTTTTGCATGTTCATTTTGCATCCTACAACTTTGTTGAATTCATTTATTAGCTGTGTGTGTGTGTAATCTTTAGGGTTTTCTACATGTAAGATCATGTCATCTAGGAACGGAAATAATTTTACTACTTCCTGTCCAGTTGAGATGCCTGGAGAGAAAGGGTAAATGAGGCAGTGAGAAGGTTCTTGCTTAATTTCTCTGGCTAAAACTTTTCAGTACTGGATTAAATAGAAGTGGCATCCTTGTCTTGTTCCTGATTTTAGGGGAAAAGCTTTTAGTCTTTCACCATCAAGTGTGATGTAAGCTGTGAGATTTTCATATATACCCCTTTATTATGTTGAGGATATTGCCTTCTATTCCTATTTCATTGAGTATTTTTTAATCAAAAAGTTATCTTGAATTTTGTTAAATGCTTTTTCTGCATCAGTTGGGATGATCATTGTTTTTCTCCTTCATTCTAGTAATGTGGCATATTACCTTAATTGATTTTTGTTAAACCATCCTTGCACTTTGGGAATAAATTCCACTTGTCATCTGAGATGTATGTTTAATATCTACTTTAAAAAAAAAAACACAAATCAGTCCCAGCCTGGGCAACATAGTGAGACCCTCATCTCTACAAAAAATAAAAAAAGCCTGGTGCAGTGGCTCACGCCTGTAATCCCAGCACTTTGAGAGGCCGAGGCAGGCGGATCACCTGAGATCAGGAGTTCAAGACCAGCCTGACTAACATGGTGAAACCCCGTCTCTACTAAAAATAGAAAAATTAGCCAGGCTTAGTGGGAAGCGCCTGTAATCCCAGCTACTCAGGAGGCTAAGGCAGGAGAATTGCTTGAACCTGGGAGGCGGAGGTTGCAGTGAGCTGAGATCATGCCACTGTACTCCAGCCTGGGTGACAGAGCGAGACTCTGTCTCAAATAAATAAATATTAAAAAATAAAATAAAATAAATTAGCCAGATGTGGTGGCTCATGCCTGTAGTCCCAGCAGTGTGAGAGGCTGAGATGGGAGGATCACTTGGGAGGTTGAGACCGCAGTGAGCCACGATTGTACAACTGTATCCAGCCTGGGTGACAGAGCAAGACCCTATCTCAAAAATAAAACAAAAAACCAAAAAACTTAGAAGTCAACAGATGCTTATTGAATTCTTCCTAGGTGTCAGACACTGTTAAAGTTCTGGGGATTCAGCAGTGAACAAGGCTAAGCCCCTGTTTTCTTTTAATTTTTAATTTTAGTTTTTTTTTTAGGGACAGTCTCACTTTGTCACTTAGGCTGCCAGGCTCGAGTGCAGTCATGCATTCTCAGCTCACTGCAACCTCTGACTCCTGGGTTCAAGTTATTCTCGTGCCTCAGTTTCCCATGTAGCTGGGATTACAGGCACTACCACACCCAGCTAATTTTTGTATTTTTAGTAGACACAAGGTTTCACTATGTTGGCCAGGCTGGTCTCAAACTCCTGACCTCAAGTGATCCGCCTGCCTCTGCCTCCCAAAGTGCTGGGATTACAGGCACGAGCCACCGCACCCCGGCCCACTGGAGTGTTTTGAGCAGGGTAGTGACATTAGTGATTTGTGCTTTAGAAAGATTTATCGAGGATGGAATGAGGCAGGAATGAATAGAGGCATTCCTGCTGTCCCCATGGTCAGTGATGGGAGAGTAGCCAGGGAGATGATGATTGTTGGTCAGGTTGGGGATCTGACTTGGAGGTAAAACTGTTGTAACCAGCTGTTTCAGATGTGGGCTTGTTGTAGGATGTTTCCTAAACTTTCCGCCGGAGGAATAAACAGGGTAGCTAGTGGTATAATTAACTGAGATGGCTGGGAAAGAACAGCTACTGTGGGGAAATCAAGAATTCTGTTTTTGGTCTTGTTAGATTTGAAGTGCTTATTAGGCATTTGAGTGGAGATACCAAGTGGAAATAGTGTAAATAAGGAGCTTAGGGGAGAGGCTTGAGAGGTGTGTATGTAAGAGACATCAGCAAACAGATGAGAATTGGAGCCAGGAGTCAGGCTGAGAAGCCCTGGGGAGAAAGGGTAGATGAGGAAAGCAGGCCAGGAACAAAGCCTATGGGGAAGCAGGAAGGGAGGCTGAGAAGCACAACCTTCTAGGACATCAGTAGGGACATGATGTCACTCACAACTAGGAAATAAGTAGGTGTTTTCCTTTCTTTCTTTCTTTTTTTTTTTTTTTTTTTTTGAGACGGAGTTTCGCTCTTATTGCCCAGTCTGGGGTGCAATGGCGCGATCTTGGCTCACTGCAACCTCCGCCTCTCAGGTTCAAGCGATTCTCCTGCCTCAGCCTCCTGAGTAGCTGGGATTACAGGCATGTGCCACCACGCCCGGCTAATTTTTTGTATTTTTAGTAGAGACGGGGTTTCACCGTGTTAGCCAGGATGGTTGTAGGCGTTTCTCATTTCAGCATAGTGTCTTTATGGTCAGCCCTTTCAGTGGCTGCCTCTGATGGTGTTTGATCATAAGTCATAACTCATCCATGAAGGTGTTTTACAGTCTGTCTTCAAGCAGGCAGGTCCTTAGATTGAAAGAATGGAGGCTTCACTGCGTGTGCCTTTACTACACAGATAGCCGATGGGGCAGAGGTTGTATAGCTGATGGGGCAGAGGCTGTCAGATGACTGTTTTACAGAAAAACCTTTGACAAGTTATATAGTAAACTTGTTAAAAGAAAAAGTTGATCTCCTAGCTAAGACAAAAGGTTTCAGTTTAGGAAGATAAAAAAGATGGATGGTGGTGATGGCTGCACAACAATATGAATGTACTTAATACCACTGAACTGTACACTTAAAAGGGGTTAAAATGATGTTTATGTTAATAATTTTTTTTTACCACAAAACGAAGTAGAATACTTTGTCACTGATTATAGTAAACATTTAAATCTGAATGCTAGATTGCTTTTTTTTGAGATGGAGTCTCACTCTGTCGCCCAGGCTGGAGTACAGCAGTGTGATCTCAGCTCACTGCAACCTTTGCCTCCTGGGTTTAAGTGATTCTCCTGTCTCAGCCTCCCAAGTAGCTGGGATTATAGGTGCCTGTCACCATGCTCGGCTAATTTTTGTATTTTTAGTAGAGATAGGGTTTCACCGTGTTGCTCACGCTGGTCTCAAACTCCTGACCTGAAGTGATCTGTTTGCCTCGGCCTCCGAGAGTCCTAGGATTATAAGAGTGAGCCACCGTGCCCGGCCTAGACTGCTCTTACATAGGTTAAAACACATTATTTTGTTGGGAGGTGCTGGGGAATCAACTCTGTCATGGAAATGTTCCCCGGGCTGGGAGTTGGAACCAGAGTGTTGATTGTTGTCATTTGCTACATGACCTGGGTCATCTGGCATGACCTTCCCTAAGCCTCAGTTTCTTCCTTACCAATAGGATATTGTGCTGGAGGATCCCATCTCTCCTAGCTCTGAAATCTGGTAGCTTTCTGTTCCTTTGTCTCTATAAATGTCTGGAAGGCAAGCAAGTTCCAGTCTGAGAAGTGACTGTGAACATTTGGAAGAATTGTGTGGTCCCAGTGCATATCACAGTCCACAGTTGTCCTGTTAGCTGGAAAGTTTTACTTAGTACCAGATTATAGATATGAAAAAGAAGCAATTAAAACTTACAGCAGGCCTTACAATTTGAGACAGAAACAAAATCTTTGTTTTTTAGACTTTGACCAAATATTTGGGAATGAGCACCATGTAGATGTGATTTGTTTATCTGTGAGGCTTCACACATTGTGACTTGACAAGAACCCATAGCACTTAGGTTTGTGAGCCCAGAGTACCACCCTTTGCCTTGAAGAGTGTGGAGGGAGTCTTAGGGCCAGCGGTGAGCAGGATGAAAGGTTCTTAGAAGCTGGTGGGCATGGAGGGGGTACAGAGGGGAGGCTCTCCTGGGAGATAAGGTGGTGGAAGGGGCCGGTGAAGTCTGGTGTGCTGGAGAGAGCTCTAGGGGCTCCTGGACCCTCACCCCAAGGAAAAGGGGCCCAGGTGAGCCTCATCTCTTGGCTTTCTTCTTTGCCACATTTCTCCTCACAAACTCCTCCCCTCTTTGCACTGTTTGGAACCCTCTTCCATGCAACGTTTATATTAAGAGTTCTTGCTGGGCGCAGTGGCTCACGCCTGTAATCCCAGCACTTTGGGAGGTCGAGGCGGGTGGATCACGAGGTCAGGAGTTCAAGACCAGCCTGGCCAGGATGGTGAAACCCCATATCTACTAAAAATAAGAAAATTAGCTGGGCACAGTGGCAGGCACCTGTAATCCCAGCTACTTGGGAGGCTGAGGCAGGAGAATCGCTTGAACCTGGGGGCGGGGGCAGAGGTTGCAGTGAGCCGAGATTGTGCCACTGCACTTCAGCCTGGGGGACAGAGTGAGACTCTGTCTCAAAAAGACAACAACAACAAAAAACCAAAAAACAGTTCTTGAAGTGTTGTGGGAAGTCAGGGACCCCGAACGGAGGGACTGGCTGGAGCCGCGGCAGAGGAACATAAATGGTGAAGATTTCATTTTAATATGGACATATATCAGTTCCCAAAATTAATACTTTTATAATTTCTTACACCTGTCTTTACTTCAATCTCTGAACATAAATCGTTAATATTTCCTTTTAATATGGACATTTATCAGTTCCCAAAATTAATACTTTATAATTTCTTATGCTTGTCTTACTTTAATCTCTTAATCCTGTTATCTTCGTAAGCTGAGGATGTACGTCACCTCAGGACCACTATTGTGTTAGCTGTACAAATTGATTGTAAAACGTGTGTTTGAACAATATGAAATCAGTGCATCTTGAAAACAGAATAACAGCTATTTTAGGGAACAAGGGAAGACAACCATAAGGTCTGACTGCCTGTGGGGTCTGGCAGAATAGAGCCATATTTTTCTTCTTGCAGAGAGCCTATAAATGGACATGCAAGTAGGGAAGATATCGCTAAATTCTTTTCCTAGCAAGGAATATTAATAATTAAGACCCTGGGAAAGGAATGCATTCCTGGTGGGAGGTCTATAAATGGCCGCTCTGGGAGTGTCTGTCTTATGCGGTTGAGATAAGGACTGAAATACGCCCTGGTCTCCTGCAGTACCCTCAGGCTTACTAGGATTGGGAAACTCCGCCCTGGTAAATTTGAGGTCAGACCGGTTCTCTGCTCTTGAACCCTATTTTCTGTTGTTTAAGATGTTTATCAAGACAATACGTGCACAGCTGAACATAGACCCTTATCAGTAGTTCTGAATTTGCCTTTGTCCTGTTTCCTCAGAAGCATGTGATCTTTGTTCTCCTTTTTGCCCTTTGAAGCATGTGATCTTGTGACCTACTCCCTGTTCTTGCACCCCCTCCCCTTTTGAAATCCTTAATAAAACTTGCTGGTTTTGCAGCTCGGGTGGGTATCACGGTCCTACTCATATGTGATGTCACCCCTGGAGGCCCAGCTGTAAAATTCCTCTCTTTGTACTGTTTCTCTTTATTTCTCAGCCGGCCGACACTTACGGAAAATAGAAAGAACCTATGTTGAAATATTGGGGGTGGGTTCCCCTAATATTGAAGTAGTAACGCAACGAGACTCGTCACATCTCCCATTTTGGGATTTGATTGTATAAAACTGTCAAGAGCTTTGATGCCCTCCAGCAAAGCACGCTTCTTGCAGGAAATCAGGCAAAGGGTGTTTAGCCTGTGTGGCCTGATATGCTCATGTGTAGCTGGTGGCAGGAGGCTGGTCCTGGCTGTGCTCCTACAAGTACCTGCTGGAGTGGAGGCTGAGGACACTCTGTCCATGGGCCAAGACATTGTGTGAAATGACAAGGCTGCCCCCATGGGCTCTCAAGTTGTTTCTAGCTTTAAAACAGATTCTTGGCTGGGTACGGTGGCTCACACCTGTAATCCCAGTACTTTGGGAGGCCAAGGCGGGCAGATCACCTGAGGTCAGGAGTTTGAAACCAGCCTGACCAACATGGTGAAACCCCATCTCTACTGAAAATAAAAAATTAGCCAGGCATGGTGGCACATACCTGTAATCCCAGCTACTTGCGAGGCTGAGGCAAGAGAATCGCTTGAACCCAGGAGGCTGAGGTTGCAGTGAGCCGAGATCACGCCGTTGCACGTCAGCCTGGGCAACAAGAGCAAAACTCTGTCTCAAATAAAGAAATAAATAAAAATAAAACTGATTCTTAGCAGCAGCAGTTCAGTCCCTTTGTTAGTCATTCCTGACCAGGTCAAGAGGGAGTAAGAATGTAGGTAACTGGCATTGTGGAAGAAAATCTTTAATAGGTTTGTTGGTGTTCTATTGTAAAGAGGGTTGACATTATGCACGTGGTTATTTGTGACAACCATTACAACCAACTAATATAATTTGGTCTTACTTCAATTTGGGTGTTGCTGTGCCATCCCAACAGTTACTCTAAAATGTGCCAGTACTCATCTTCTTGAATATGTGTGTTTTTAGGCTTTAAATTCTCTGAAATCAGCTTTCGTTCATTAACTGAAATTCCTTTATTTTTTCAATACTATTTAATTATTATTATTTTTTTGAGACAGAGTTTTGCCCCTGTTGCCCAGGCTGGAGTGCAGTGGTGCAATCTCAGCTCACTGCAACCTCTGCCTCCAGGGTTCAAGCGATTCTCCTGCCTCAGCCTCCTGAGTAGCTGGAATTACAGACGCATGCCACCACACCCAGCTAATTTTTGTTTTTGAGTAGAGACGGGGTTTCACTGTGTTGGCCAGCTGGTCTTGAACTCCTGACCTCGTGATCCACCCGCCTTGGCCTCCCAAAGTGCTGGGATTACAGGCATGAGCCACTGCGCCTGGCCACGCCCTGCTAATTTTTGTATTTTTAGTAGAGACGGGGTTTCACCATGTTGCCCAGGCTGGTCTTGAACTCCAGACCTCAGGTGATCTGCCCACCTCAGCCTCCCAAAGTTCTGGGATTACAGGCGTGAGCCACCGTGCCCGACCTTTTTTCAATACTATTAACTTGATCTGCTGAAAATTCTCCCAGGTTACTGGCTAATTTTGAAGCTTAGAGAAGCAATTTTCTTTTTATTTATTTATTTTGAGACGGAGTCTCGCTCCATTGCCCAGGCTGGAGTGCAGTGGCGCCATCTCAGCTCACTGCAAGCTCCGCCTCCCGGGTTCATGCCATTCTCCTGCCTCAGCCTCCTGAGTAGCTGGGACTACAGGCACCCGCCACCAGGCCCAGCTAATTTTTTGTATTTTTAGTAGAGACGGGGTTTCACTATGTTAGCCAGGATGGTCTCGATCTCCTGACCTCGTGACCCACCCACCTCGGCCTCCCAAAGTGCTGGGATTATAGACGTGAGCCACCGTGCCCGGCCCAGAGAAGTAATTTTCTGCCCTTAGCATTGGTCCGCTTGACAACTTTCAGAAAAACATTATCCCAAAGGGATGAATTGTTTGCACCAGTGGACTAGTTTAGCTCAGTGAGCAGACCTATAGTGACTTTCTGCTCAGCACCAGGTGAGGTGCTGGGTGCTCTAGGGAACACAAGGTGATTCAGTTATTCCCTTCTCCTGAAGGGGAACGCAGTCAATCCAGGAGGCTGAGAGAGTCAGAATGAGCAAGGTGGAAGTTCACAGTTAGAGAAGCTCAGAGAAGAGGGCTGCTGCTTCCACAGGAAACTTTGCTCATTATTTTTTAATTTCAGCTTTTCAATGTAGAAATACATTTACATGACACAAAATTGGAAAGGTAAACTACATGGGAAAGTTTCCCTTCCATCTTGCACCTGGCTACCAGATCCTCTCCCCAGAGGCTGCTGGTGCTGCCACTTCTCATGTGTCCATTCCCAGGTGTTTTGTGCATTTATAGACAAATAAGCAGAGACTTCTGTTCTCTTACATGAAAGTAGGACACTGCTCCCTTGCTTTTTTCTCTGAATGTTTCTTTATGATAGTTTATCATTAATTTTTGTATTTTTAGTAGAGACAGGGTTTCACCATGTTGGCCAGGCTGGTCTGAACTCCTGACCTCAGGTGATCCACCCGCCTCAGCCTCCCAAAGTGCTGGGATTGTAGGTGTGAGCCATTGTGCCTAGCTGGGCTTTGGTATTTTTAAATTGATTTTGTCAAAATTGCTTATATACGCGGGAATTTAGCACCTTGTCAGCGATATGAATTGCAGTTGTATTTTTCCAGATCTTATTTATCTTTTTTTTTTGAGACGGAGTCTCGCTTTGTTGCCCAGACTAGAGTACAGTGGCACGATCTCACACGATCTCGGATGATCTCGGCTCACTGCAACCTCCGCCTCCCAGGTTCAAGTGATTCTCCTGTCTCAGCCTCCTGAGTAGCTGAGACTACAGGCGTGTACCACCACACTGGCTAATTTTTGTATTTTTAGTAGAGACAGGGTTTTGCCATATTGGTCAGACTGGTCTCAAACTCCTGACCTCAGGTGATCCACCTGTCTCGGCCTCCCAAAGTGCTGGGATTACAGGCATGAGCCACTGCACCTGGCCTAAAGTAATTTTTATATTTCATATTTTACCTTTAAATCTTTTCTCTATTTGGAATTTATTTTTATTTTTTATTTTTATGTTGAGGCAGGGTCTTATTCTGTTGCCCATACTGGAGCACAGTAGTGTGATCATGGCTCACTACAGCCTGGACCTTGCCAGGCTCAGGTAATCCACCCGCTTCAGCCTCCTGAATAGCTGGGACTACAGGTGTGCATCACCATGCCCAGCTAATTTTTGTACTTTTGGTAGAGAAGGGTTTTGCCATGTTGCCCAGGCTGGTCTTGAACTCCTGGGTTCAAGTGATCTGTCTGCCTTGACTTCCCAAAGTGCTGGGATTGTAGGCCTGAGCCACTGTGCTTTTTGGAATTTATTTTGATGTGAAGTGTTAGATCCAGCTTAATTTTTTTCCGTGGCTACCCATTTGTTGCAACACCTTTTGTTGCGCAATTAATCTTTCTCCTACTTGTTTATCATTTACTGTATATAGTATACTTTGCCATATGTGTACATTTTGGTCTATTCCTGGACATTCTGTTCTGTTACATTAATCTGTGTATTTATGTGTTAGGACCACACTGTTTTAATTACTCTAGCATGTTTTGTTATTTGGTGAAGTTAGTTCCCTTTCATCATCTTTATTTTCCAGAACTTTCTTGGTTATATTTGTTTTTCTGTATAAACTTGAAGTTTGTTTAGTTAAAGAAGTCCTGTTTTTATTGGGACTGTTACATTTCTAGATGAATGTAGGAAGAGTGACACTTTGGTTACGTTATATTGACTTTTCCTCATTAAGAATGTGGCATGTTTTTCTTTTTGTTGAAGTCATCTTTTCTGTCTTTCGGAGTTTCAGAGATTTCTTTTGGTTTCTTTTTTTTTTTTTTTTTTTTTTGAGGTGGAGTCTTGCTCTGTCACCCAGGCTGGAGTGCAGTGGTGCAATCCCGGCTCACTGCAACCTCCACCTCCCAGGTTCAAGTGATTCTCCTGCCTCAGTTTCCTGAGTAGCTAGGATTACAGGAACGTGCCACAATGCCCAGCTAATTTTTGTATTTTTAGTAGAGACGGGGTTTCACCATGTTGGCTAGGCTGGTCTTTAACTCCTGACTTCAGGTGATCTGCCCATCTCGGCCTCCCAAGTTGCTGAGATTACAGGCGTGAGCCACTGTGTCCTGCTGGGAGTTTCAGAGATTTCTTACATTTCTTTTTAAGTTTATTTTCAAGTTTTTGGTTTTGTTATTTATTTTAGTGTTAATGAATCATTATTATAATCAATATTATCATTATTTTACTTCTGCCTGCTTGTTGTTGATGTATGTGAAGGCATTGATATATATTAGTTTTCACTACCTTATGGTGATTCTTTTATCAACTGTAAAAGGTTTTCAGTTGATTATATATATATATATATATATATATATATATATGTAATTTTTTTGTATATATATTTGGATTTTGTACATAATATCATTTGCAAATAATGATAATTTAACTTTTTCCTTTCCAGTTGTATACCTATGTTTTCTTTGTCTTGACTGATTGTGATAACTAGTAGTTCCACAATAGTAATAAATAATGATGGTTAAATGCATAGCCTGTATGGCCCCTGACGTTAGTGAGAACACTTCTAGTGTGTTCCCATTGGGCTTGATTTTAGCTTTGAGATTGAGAAAGATGTAAACATTTAGTTGAAGTCTGTATTTATTTTTTATATATATATGTGTATTTTTTTTATTATTATTTTTTGAGACAGAGTCTCTGTCATCTGGGCTGGAGTGCAGTGGCACAATCTTGGCTCACTGTAACTTCTGCCTCCTGGGTTCAAGCGATTCTCCTGCGTTCAAGCGATTCTCCTGCCTCAGCCACCCAAATAGTTGGGATTACAGGTGCCCGCCACCATGCCTGACTAATTTTTGTATTTTTTAGTGGAGACGGGGGTTTCACCTTGTTGGCCAGGCTGGTCTCGAACTCCTGACCTCAAACGATCCACCAGCCTTGGTCTCCCAAAGTGCTAGGATTACAGGTGTGAGCCACCGTGCCTGGCCTAATATGTATGTATTTATGTATGTATGTAAATCAACGTACACATATCTACTAAGCATCTGTCTATTCTTTTTTTTTTGTGACGGAGTCTCACTCTTTCGCCCAGATGGGAGTGCAGTGGCGTGATCTCTGCTCACTGCAGGCTCCGTCCCCCGGGGTTCACACCATTCTCCTGCCTCAGCCTCCCGAGTAGCTGGGACTACAGGTGCCCGCCACCTCGCCCGGCTAATTTTTTGTATTTTTAGTAGAGACAGGGTTTCACTGTGTTAGCCAGGATGGTCTCAATCTCCTGACCTTGTGATCCGCCCGCCTCGGCCACCCAAAGTGCTGGGATTACAGGCATGAGCCACCGCACCCGGCCTGTCTATTCTTATCTTAAAAGGATGAGGGTTGAATTTTATCAGATGTCTTCAGCATTGGCAGAGATGATCTCTGTTAATATGTTGAACATAACATTGTTTTAACATTAGTACTTACATGTTTCTGGTACAAAATGAATAGGATGATGTTTAGAGAAGGCTTATGGAGGAAATAGCATTTTATCTAGTGCCTGAAGGCTGAATGGAGAAAATTAGAGGTGGGAAATTAGAGTGGGAAGATAGGAAAAGGGCATTCAGTAAAGAGAGAGCCTTGACTGCAAAGGTGTGGAAAGTGGGAATGTAGGTTATTTTGGGGAAGAATGCCAGCATCCCAACATTACTGTGATATTCATGAGGGCCTTCTAGATGGGTAACATGGGGGCGTATTACACCTCTGGACTTCAGATTCTTCCTTTGTGGAACTGAAATAGTAAAAGTAGTTATTAGTTTAAGGGTTGTTACAAGGATTCAGGAGATAATGTAGGCAAAAGTCTTAGGCCAGAGGCTGACACATGGTTTATAAATACTAGTTATTTTTATTTGACAAGAGAATAAAGCTGGAAAGAGGTTTCAGTATATTTTGAGTGTACCTGTATAATAAGCAAAGAAGTATGGCCTCAGATATGCAGGCACTGGAGAGCCATTCAGAACTTTTGTGCAAGGGGTGACATAAGCAGGTCTTTTTTTTTTCCATTAAAAATTTTTTTTAAAGAGATGGGGTCTCACTATGTTGCCCAGACTGGTCTCGAACTTCTGGGCTCAAGCAATCCTCCCATCTCAGCCTCCCAAAGTGCCGGGATTACAGGTGTGAGCCACTGTGCCTGGCCATAAGCAGGTCTTTATTTTAGGAAGCTGTCCATGCTGACCATGTGGGAAGACAAACCAGAAGTGAAGTGCAAATGCAGGTAGCAAAATCAGGTAGGAGACTATTAGAATTTTTCAGGCTGGTGGTTTTGGATATCTATCACTAGTCCAGTTCATTTTTTATTTTTTGAGATAGGCCTTGCTCTTCTGCCCAGGCTAGAGTGCAGTGGCGGAATCACAGCTTACTGTAGCCTTGACCTCCTGGGCTCAAGCAGTCCTTCCCACTCAGGCTTCCAAGTAGCCAGGACTACAGTCATGAGCCACCACAATTGGCTAATTTAAATTTTTTTTTTTTTTGTAGAGACAGGATCTCTGTATGTTGCCCAGGCTGGTCTTGAACTTTCCTGGCCTCAAGCAGTCTTCCTGCCTCAGTGTCCCAAACTGCTGGGATTACAGACATTAGTTAGCTACGATGCCTGCCCTGCTCGTCCAGTTTAGACATATGTTCAAGATGTGGGCACCATAGAGTTGACTTAGGCAACTCTTGGGCTCCAGGTTTGGTAGGGCAGTGTTTCTCAAATTTGAGCATATCACTGTCAGCTGGAGGGTGTGTTAAATAGAGATTTCTGGGCCTCACCGCCAGATTTTCTGATTCACCAGGTCTGGGATAGGCCCAATAATTTGCATTTCTAACAAGGATTTAGATTGGGACATTTGTGAAGAACAGGATGGATGAAGTGTTCCTTGTTTATGATTTCATTCAGAGAGAGGGGATTATTAGCTCTCTTTCTTCCAGAATGCCTGAGGTGCTTTGTATCACAGTTAGAAGTTGAGAAGATATGTACTGAGCACTGTCCTAATAATATCTGATCCTGGTTGGGTTGGTTGGTTTGTTCATCACTTATTCAACAAGTGGTTTGTTTTCAGAGACAGGGTCTCACTGTGTTGCCCAGGCTGGCATCAAACTCCTGGGCTCAAGGGATTGTCCCACCTCAGTCTCCTGAGTAGCCGGGATTATAGGTGCATTTAATAAAAATTTAACATGCCAAGTGCTATTAAAGACCCTGAAGAACAGACAGGGAGTTTATTTATAGTCTTGACAGAGGACAGATAGTAAACCAGGGAATAAGTCATTTGTACAATTACAGAGTTTTAAATGCACTGAAAAAGAAGAAATAGGCTCTGTAAGGAACAATAAAGAGAACTACTGGAAAATATATGGTCAAGGGAGGTCTTTTTGTAGAAGTGATATTTCAGCTGAGACTTGAAGAATGAAAAGGAACCAGCCTATAAAGAGAAGAGGGAATAGAGGATGGAACAGTATGTGCCAGGCCCCTGAGATGGGAATGAGGTTGGCACACATAAGGCATTGGAAGAAACCAGAACAGGGAGAGGTGACACGAAGTGAAGTTGCAGAGGACCGGGGTGGGTTGTGCAGAGCCCTGAGAGCTAGGGGGAGGCATTTGGGCTTTGTTCTAAGTGCAGAAGGGTATCCAGCTCACAGCATTAGTAGAATCTGTGTCCACTCTGACCTCTGAGATAAAGTGAATTGTAAAGGGATAGGTAGGAAGGGGTCTATGAGGGCCAGGCATGGTGGGTGGCTCAGCCTGTAATCCCAACTCTTTGGGAGGCTGAGGCAGGAGGATTGCTGGAGTCTAAGAGTTTAAGACCAGCCTGGGCAACATGGTAAAACCCCATCTCTATTAAAAATACAAACATTTCGTTGGGTGTGGTGGTGCACGCCTATAGTCCTAGCTACTTGGGAGGCTGAAGTGGGAGAATTGATTGAGCCTGGGAGGTGGAGGCTGCAGTGAGCCATGATCGTGCCACTGCACTCCAGCCTGGGTGACAGAGTGAGACCCTGTCTCAAAAAAAAAAAAAAAAAAAAAGGCATTCCAGGACTGTTTGAATATTTGAATATAAACATGTATATTTTTACTTTTATAATTGAAAAATAGTCAGCATTGGGGCTCATAAAGGGGACCTTTGGGGTAATGTTCTGTTTCTTGATGGAATGGTGTTTAGGTTACATGGCTTTGTTTACTTGGTGGTAATTCATGGAGCTGTGTGCTTATAATTTGTGTGCTTTTCTGTGATATGTTATACTAAACTTCAAAAGTTTATTTAAAATAGTCTTGCACGGTGGCTCATGTCTGTAATCCCAACACTTTGGGAGGCTGAGGCAGGAGGATTGCTTGAAACCAGGAGTTCAAGACCAACCTGGGCAACATATTGAGACCCTGTCTCCCCACAACATTTTTTTTTTTTAATTAGCTGGCCATGGTGGCACATGCCTGTAATCCTAGCTACACGGGAAGCTGAGCTGGGAGGACTGCGTCCAGGAATTCAAGGCTACAGTAAGACATGATAGTGCCACTGTACCCCAGCCTGGGTGACAGAGTGAGACCCCATCTCTAAAAAAAGAAAAATAAATAAATGCTTATAGTGAAAAATGTAAAGATACTGAGATTTGAGTTTAAAAATTTCTCTGCTGGGTGTGGTGGCTCACACCTATAATCAGTTTGGGAAATTGAGGCAGGAGGATTGCTTGAGCCCAGGAGTTTGAGACCAGCCTGGGCAACGTGGCAAAACCCTGTCTCTACTAAAATTACCAAAAATTATCTCTCATGGTGGTACGTGCCTATAGGCAGGCTAAAGTGGGAGGATCACCTGAGCCTGGGAGATTGAGGCTGCAGTGAGCTGTGATCCTGCCACTGCATTCCAGCCTGGGTGACAGAGTGAGACTCTGTCTCAAGGAAAAAAAAAAAAAAACCCTGCATATAATCACATTACACAAAGACAAGCAACCACTACTAACGTTTCCCTCTATTCTCCTTTTGTGCACTTTTTGTATATAATTTTTATTTTTTCAAATTGTAAAAGTAATGTGTGCTTTTTGTAGAAAACTTTACTACATGCTTCTCACAATGAAATGATGTGATTGACAGAAAAATGCCAGTAGGCGTAGTGTGAAAAGTTTCCTTAGGGCCAGGAGCAGTGGCTCACACCTGTAATCCCAGCACTTTGGGAGGCTGAGGCAGGCAGATTCATTGAGGTCAGGAATTGGAGACCAGCCTGGCCAACATGGTGAAACCCCGTTTCTACCAAAAATATAAAAATTAGCTGGGTGGGGTGGCGCACGCCTGTAACTCCAGCTACTTGGGAGGCTGAGGCACAAGAATTGCTTGAGCCCAGGAGGCGGAGGTTGCGGTGAGCCGAGATCACGCCACTGCACTCCAGCCTGGGTGACAGAGCAAGACTCCATCTCAAAAAAAGAAAAAAAAGTTTCTTTGAAGGCAAAGAATCCTGAAATGTAGGAAGATTATCACATTAAAAAAATTTAAGAGTTCTGATGTGATAAAGATGGAGTAAACATACTCCACCCTTTATGTCTGAAGAGAGCAACTGAAATCCCTGGACAGAATGCATGGATCAGTGGAGTAACCCCAGAAAGATAAATGTTAGCATGCGAATTGGAGAAGGAAACCAGAACTCCAAATACCAGTGAACTGGTAGTGAGTTTCCCATAATTTTTTTTCCTCCATACAATATTTTCCAGCCTGCACTTAAAGTCAGCCCCAAACCTGGAAATGTGTGCTGGATGTGCACAGAAAGAGGTCTAACAGAAGCCATCTTTCTAGTTTGAGGAGCAGGAAAGGGGATCCTCATGGGTCAGGAATGGGGATGGAGGAAGAAATCTCGTGTGTTGTTTGCTTTGTCTTTTCTCCTTTTCTCTTGCTCTGGCCCTCCACGTAATTGTGTAGTGGTGGAGACAGCAGTGACATTGGCAAATGGATAGGAGAGGAAGTCTTCTATTTAAAGGGACTGTGGTCCCAGGAGCATGGAGGGAATCCTTGATTTTGTTCTTTCCTTTCTCTCATTGCTTTTCCTTGGAGGTAGTCACAGTTGTGGGAGGTACTCAGCAGGTTAGGGAAATTAAACCCCTGACTTTTAGCCAGAAGACCAGGAAAGGGGCCCTTGGGATCTGGAAAGTGTTAGGAAGATTGTGTAGAGGAAGGAGCTCAACAAATTGAACTCATAAAGTTGCATATGAACTCTTGGGCTGTTCCTCAGAACTAACATACGTGCATCTGACCCTAAACAGCATACCAAAGGCTTTGAGGACCAAACTGTGGAGTACATTACTGCTCAAGTAGTTCTGCACTGGCCCCTGGACGGTATGCTTGGGAAAAATCAAAATAATACTTAAAAGGCTTTGAAAACTGATATCATATTGGTACCACAGCCCACAGAAGGTGGGTAGGAACTTGTGGACTGGACCTAATTAGGTTGATTGCTGCAAAGACAAATTCAAAATTTTACGTGGGACTTAAACAAGAGCTAGAGTCACATAGCATAATATTCAAAATGTCCAGTAATTCAGAATTACTTCAGCTATGAAAAATCAGGAAAATCATAAGGGGAAAAGACAGCCAACAGATGGCAACCACAACATGACACAGATGTTGAAATTATCAAAAAATTAAAAGCCAAAGTATAATTAAAGTATTAATTAAAACCTTGCTATAACAAGTAAGGGTGAATGCTCTTGAAATGAACAGAAAATCAGAAATTTATTTACTGCAAAATATGACAACCTAAATGAAAAATTAATTGGGTGGGCTCAATAGCAGAATGGAGAAGACAGAAGAGTCAGTGAACATGAAGGTAGAATAATAGAAATTATCCAGTCTGACCAACAGAGATCGAAATAAAATGAAAAAAAAAAATGAACAGAGCTTCAGGGACCCATGGGACAATAACAGAAAGTTTATCTTTTATGTTTTTGAAGTCTCAAAAAGAGAGGAGAAAGAGTGGTGCAGAAAAAAATTTGAAGAAATTATGGAAAGGAATAAATATGTTTCTGTTCACAGATAACATGATAAGTCTACGTAGAAATTTCCAAAGAATCCACACACACACACACATGCAGAAAGACTCTGGCACTAATAAGTGATTTCAGGACAGTTGCAGGATAAAAGATTAACATAAAAAAATCAATGTACTAGCAATGAACATGTGAAAATCAAAATTGAAAACATAGTTGCTAAAAAGTGAAATGGTAGGTATAAATCTAACAAAACATGTACAGTCATGTATGCTGAAAACTATACAATGCTGATGAAAGAAATCAAAGATCTAAGTAGATGGAAAAATATACCATGTTCATGGATTGGAAGACTCAACATGCCAGTTCTTTGCAAATTTGATAAACAGGTTTAATGCAGTTTCTATCAAAATTCTATCAAGTTTTTTTTTTTTTTTTTTTTTTTTTTTTTTTGAGACGGAGTCTCCCTCTTGCCCAGGCTGGAGTGCAGTGGCACTATCTCAGCTTACTGCAACCTCTGCCTCCTGGGTTCAAGCGATTCTCCTGCCTCAGCCTCCAGAATAGCTGGGATTACAGGCACACGCCACCATGCCCGGCTATTTTGTATTTTTCATAGAGACGGGGTTTCACTGTGTTGGCCAGGCTGGTCTTGAACTCCTGACCTCAGGAGATCTGCCTGCCCTGGCCT
The DNA here is from genome assembly GCF_000001405.40 of Homo sapiens. Lineage (NCBI taxonomy): Eukaryota > Metazoa > Chordata > Mammalia > Primates > Hominidae > Homo > Homo sapiens. The sequence continues at coordinate 47,447,767 of NC_000003.12, read as the reverse complement.
CCCAAAGTGCTGGGATTACAGGCATGAACCACCACACCTGGCCTTTTTTTCTTTTTTCTTTTCTTTTCTTTTTTTTTTTGAGTCAGAGTCTCGCTGTATTGCCCAGGCTGGAGTGCAATGGCACAGTCTTTGGCTCACTGTGGCCTCCGCCTCCCGGGTTTAAGCAATTCTCCTGTCTCCGCCTCCCAAGTAGCTGGTATTACAGGCACTCGCCACCACACCCAGCCAATTTTGGTATTTTTAGTAGAGAAGAGGTTTCACCATATTGGCTAGGCTGGTCTTGAACTTCTGACCTTGTAATCCGCCCACCTTTGCCTCACCAAGTTCTAGGATTACAGGCGTGAGCCACCGCGCCTGGCCTTTTTCTCCTTTTTTGAGACGGAGTCACAGTCTGTCACCTAGGCTGGAGTGCAGTGGCGTGATCTTGGCTTGCTCAACCTCTGCTTTCTGGGTTCAGGTGATTCTCAGCGTACCAAGTAGCTGGGATTACAAGTGTGTGCCACCACACCCAGCTAATTTTTTCTGTTTTTAGTAGAGAAGGGGCTTCACTGTGTTAGCCAGGTCTCACACTCCTGGCCTCAAGCGATCCGCCCACCTCGGTCTCCCAAAGTGCTGGGACTATAGGCGTGAGCCACTGTGCCTGGTCCAGACAACTGCTTTTTGACAAAGATGCCAAGCAATTCAATGGAGGAAGGATAGTCTTTTCACCAAATGGTGCTGGAACAATTGGCTATCTTTAGACCAAAGGGGAAAAAAAGGAATTTATATCTCACACCTTATCTAAAAATTAACTCAAATGGATCACAGATTTTTATTTTTATTTTTTGACACAGTCTCGCTCTGTTGCCCAGGCTAGAGTGCAATGGTGTGGTCATAGCTCATTGCAGCCTCAAACTCTTTGGCTCAAGTGATCCTCCCACTTCAGCCTCCCAAGTAGCTAGGACTACAGGCATGTGCCACCCTGCCCTGCTAATTGTTAATGTTTTTTTTTTTGTAAAGACACGGTCTCACAGTGTCCAGGCTGGTCTCAAACTCCTGGTTTCAAGTGATTTCCCACCTCAGCCTCCCAAAGTGTTGGGATTACAGGCATGAGTCACTGCACCCAGCTGGATTACAGACTTAAACAAATGTGAAACTACAAATTTTTAGGAGAAGACATTGGGGAAAATTACCTTATGACCAAGCAATTCCACTCCTAAGAATGAATATACTCAAAAGAAAACAAAAAGAAAAAAAATACAAAAACCCCAACTGAAGAACAACAACAACAAAAAAAGTAAACATAAGAATTGAGGGGGGCCAGGCACGGTGGCTCACGCCTGTAATCCCAGCCCTTTGGGAGGCGAAGGAGGGCAGATCATGAGGTCAGTAGTTCAAGACAAGCCTGGCCAACATAGTGAAACTTCGTCTCTACTAAAAATAAAAAATTAGCCGGGTGTGGTGGTGAGTGCCTGTAGTCCCAGCTACTTGGTAGGCTGAGGCAGGAGAATCACTTGAACCCAGGAGGTGGAGGTTGCAGTAAGCTGAGACTGTGCCACTGCACTCCAGCCTGGGCGACAGAGCGAGACTCCATCTCAAAAAAAAAAAAAAAGGTTGGCCAGGTGCAGTGGCCATGCCTGTAATCTCAGCACTTTGGGAGGCTGAGGCGGTCAGATCACGAGGTCAAGAGATTGAGACCATCCTGGCCAAGATGGTGAAACCCCATCTCTTCTAAGAATGCAAAAATTAGCTGGGCGTGGTGGCGCGCATCTGTAATTCCAGCTACTCAGGAGGCTGAGACAGGTTAATTGCTTGAACCCAGGAGGTGGAGGTTGCAGTGAGCTGAGATCGCACCACCGCACTCCAGCCTGGTGACAGAGCAAGACTCTGTCTCAAAAAAAAAAAAAAAAAAAATTGAGACAGGGTGTGGTGGCTCACACCTGTAATCCCAGCACTTTGGGAGGCCAGGCTGGCAAATCATCTAAGGTCAGGAGTTCTAGACCAGTCTGGCCAACATGGTGAAACCCCATCTCTACTAAAAATACAAAAATTAGCCAAGTGTGGTGGTGTGCACCTGTGCTCCCAGCTACAAGGGAGGCTGAGGCACGAATTGTTTGAACCACCGGAAGGCGGAGTTTACAGTGAGCTGAGATCGCGCTGCTGCACTCCAGCCTGGGCGACAAAGCAAGATTCCGTTTCAAAAAAAAAAGTTGGAGTTCGAGACCAAGTAAACAAGAATAATGTGGCCTGGCGTGGTGGCTCATGCCTGTAATCCCAGCACTTTGGGAGGCCGAGGCGGTGGATCACCTGGTTAGGAGTTCGAGAGCAGCCTGGCCAACATGATGAAATCCCATTTCTACTAAAAATACGAAAAAATAGCTGGGCGTAGTGGCGGGCACTTGTAATCCCAGCTACTCAGGAAGCTGAGGCAAGAGAATCGCTTGAATCTGGGAGGCAGAGGTTGCATTGAGTGGAGATTGTGCCACAGCACTCCAGCCTGGGCAACAAGAGCAAAACTTTATCTCAAAAAAAAAAAAAAAAAAAAGAATTGAAAACAGGTATTCAAACAAATACAGGAATGTTAGAATGTTCATCACAGCACTATTCACAATAGGCAAAACATAGAAACTGCCCAAATGTTTATCAACTGATGAATGGACAAACAAAATGTGGCATACCCATTTGATGAAATATTCAGCCATAAAAAGTAATGAAGTGGCTGGGCTCGGTGCCTCATGCCTGTAATCCCAGCACTTTGGGAGGCTGAGGCTGGCGGATCACTTGAGGTCAGGAGTTTGAGACCAGCCTGGCCAACATGGTGAAACTTGGTCTCTATCAAAAATACAAAAATTAGCCAGGTGTGGTGGCGGGCACCTGTAATCCCAGCTACTTGGGAGGCTGAGTCAGGAGAATAGCTTAAACCCAGGAGACAGAGATTTCATTGAGCCAAGATTGTGCCACTGCACTCCAGCCTGGGCAACCCCATCTCAAAAAAAAAAAAGTAATGAAGTACTGGCCGGGTGTGGTGGTTCGTGCCTGTAATCCCAGCACTTTGAGAGGCTGAGGCAGCTGGATCATTTGAGCCCAGGAGTTTGAGACCAGCCTGGAAAACATAATGAGAACCTGTCTCTACAAAAAAATACAAAAATTAGCAGGGCATGGTGGTGCACACCTGTAATCCCAGCTACTTGGAAAACTAGGTGGGAGAATCACTTGAACCTGGGAGGCAGAGGTTGCAGTGAGCCAAGAGAGTGCCCACTGCACTCCAGCCTGGTCGATAGAGTGAGATTCTATGTCAAAAAAAATAAAGGGTTCCTGGATTGGAAACTTGCATGTGCGCTTAACGCTTCTGCTTTCGGAAAGGTAGAACGAGCAATAGGCATTCCTTTTGGCTTTTGAGTTGGCTGTGGTGTGACTCCTTTTGCTTCTTGTTTCTGATCTTGACACTTATGAGGAGTCATCTTTGAGTCTGGGTTTTCATCAGTGAGTACAGTCAAGCCAAGAAATGTGTCTGGGCAGGTTCCCTCTAGCACAGACCGAAGAAAACAGCAACATGGAACAAGAGAAGTAGGTTTAAACTTGGATTCCATCAGAGGGCTCAGTAGGGAAGATAATTCTAGATCCCTGGGCCTCCTAGAGTTTTCTATTCTGATTTTATTGGTTTAATGTTATTTGTTTGAAAGCACCAGAAATTAACTTTGGCCAACATAAGCAAAAAGATAATTTATTAGAAGGGTATAGAATAGCTTACAAAACGGAAAAAAAAGTTGATGAGCCAGTCCTCAGAAAGGATGGGAGCCAGAACAGCCTGGGGATCTTGGGAGCAGGAACCTCTGTGGGATGAATAAACATCATGAATATCCAAGTTCCTGTTTGTTTGTGTTTAGAAGTCAAAGTCCAGGGAGAGAGGCCCAATTTGTGTAGCTTGGGTCGGCACGGGGCACCTTGACTCATAGTTAATCCAGGTTAAATCCTGTGGAGCGAGGTGGTTCCCCTGAGCCATACCAGGCTGCTGTTAACTTATGGAAGGGGACGGGTACTGGGCAGGCAGGAACAGGAGCTGCTCTCTGCCTTTGCACTCCCAGGAACAACTATAGGACCAAGAGCAGAGAGTTCTACCAGAGTGAATTTTGCTTGGTGACCATTATGTCAGAGACCTAAGCTTTTTAGCGTTTTTATGTTGAGGGCTGACCTCGCTAGACCTTCTTCACGAGTGAATCACTATTTGTACAACAGTGTGTTTTGAGGAGGCCATCCCTATGTAAAGGGTTTCTCTGTATCCCTATGTAAAGGACTTTTCTCAGTGGGATTTGTGCATAGAGGAGGGGGGGGAAGAATGCCTGTTTGACAGAGAGCAGCTGAAGGTGACGTCTGTTACACAGGCATGGTTTCGTGTGCCACACATGAGAAAAATGCCCTTTGGGGAGTGGCCTTTTAGCATTGCCTAATATAGGAGGGAGGGAGTTGGGCGGGGAGGGAGAGAGAGAGAGAGAGAGAGAGAGAGAGAGAGAGTGTGTGTGTGTGTGTGTGTGTGTGTGTGTGTGTGTGTGTGTGTATTTTGGGATTGAGGTCACTAGACCTTGCATATAGGCATTCTGAAACCATTCCCCAGCCACATAACTATCGCCTCCCTCCAGCAGCCCTAGTGTGCAGAGCCAAGTACTCTTTGTTAACTGGCTTTTCTCCCTTCTTACCAGGTACCTGCACATGTTGTTCTTTGTCAGTGCTGTCAAGTGTGTGCCAGGGTGATCCATGGTCACTTTCCGGGATGGCAGCAAGGTGACTTCGGCTGAGGATGACCCTGACTGAAAGGCTGCGTGAGAAGATATCTCGGGCCTTCTACAACCATGGGCTCCTCTGTGCATCCTATCCCATCCCCATCATCCTCTTCACAGGGTTCTGCATCTTAGCCTGCTGGTATGTTTTTGGGTTGCCTTGGATATGGTGGGCCAGTGTCTTAGGACAGTAGGTTTTCTAACCCTAACCACTATGGAGCCCTTGGCCTCTGTATGCTTTTTACACAATGGGAGCTTGGGCTCCTTATAACTGTGAGTGGAGAACTCTAGTCCTGGCCTGGTTAGCTAATATAATAAAATAGTCCTGGCTGGCCCTGACCTACTGATTCACCAGATTTATTCATATCACTGGTACTCTATCTCAAAATAATGTTTAGATACTTCTAAGACACTGAAATAATTGAAAGATATGATACTTCAGTTTTCTTTCTCAATAGTAGTGGTTTCGTTTTAGTACCTGGTTAAGTGCAAGAGCCTTTTTTGTGTGTTGCGAGGCAAAGTCCATTAGAACAGTATCTTGGACAACCTGTGGCAGGCTAACCTCAGAGACTTGCTTCTTTGCTCTCTAGTCATTTTCTTGTGTTCACATGGAGCTTGCTTCAGACTTCTTGTTGATTCTTGTGGCCAGCTGCACTTGCCAAGGACAGTTGTGAGAGCTGTAGCTGCCCTTGTTCCTGTCTGTCTTTCTCAAGGCCTCATAGAAGCCTGAAGGCTATGGCTGACAATGACGTCGTAAAGGAGGAGTTTGATATGAGATGACATCTGATGACCCTTTTAACTCTAAAATGCTGACAGCTGTGAAAAGAGCCCATCTTATTCTTTTCTCTGGAAAGAATTCTGTTCTTCAGATTCATTGTCTAAAACATTTATAGATGTTTTCAGTGCTATGCTGAAGGGAGGATGAGAAGTCAGGAGGGAACTCCCTGTTCAGTTCAGTTGCTAATGATCTCAAGCTCTTCCCTGATTATCAGTAAGAAAGATGAACTTTGGCCAGGTGCAGTGCTCATACCTGTAATTCCAACACTGGGAGGCTGAGGTGAGAGAATCACTTGAGGCCAGGAGTTCAGGATCAGCCTGGGCAACATAGCAAGACCAAAAAAAAAAAAAAAAAAAAAAAAGAAAGATGAACATCACTGAGAGTTTCTTGCTGGGTGCTGTGTTGATGCTTCAGGTATAACATTAGGAAGTGGTCCAGTTATGTTTCCATTTAACAAAGAGGGGTAGGGACTTAGAGATTTGTCTGGTCCACATAACTAATAATTAGGGAAACTGGGGTTCAAATTCAAATCCAAGCCATAGGGACTCTGGTGCCCGCCTGCACCTGTGTTACTGTCACCTGGTTTCACTCTGGCTCAGTATGTTTGTATTGGTGTTTAAACTGCTAAATTGTGTTGTACAAGATAAAATACTTATAGCTGTGTCCCATAAGTGATGAATTTGGAGTGCTCTAAGAACTCAGCTCTTGGGTTTTTTTTTCCTTTAAGTTAATTGACCTTTCTTTTTTCTTCTTTAAAATAAGTTTTTTGAGACATGGTCTCACTCTGTCAGCCAGGCTGGAATGTAGTGGCACAATCACAGCTCACCTCAGCCTCAACCTCCTAGGCTCAAGCGACCCTCCCATCTCAGCCTCCTAAGAAGCCACAACCACAGGTGTGCGCCACCACACTTGGCTGTTTTTCGTCTTTTGTAGAGATGGGGTCTCATTATGTTGCCCTCCTTTGGTTTTACTCTCTGATGGTACTATGGTTTCCTCTTTTGTAGTCACCCTGTTTTTCTTTTAAGAGGAAAGACCTGGCCGGGCGTGGTGGCTCACGGCTGTAATCCCAGCACTTTGGGAGGCCGAGGCGGGCAGATCACGAGGTCAGGCGATCGAGACCATCCTGGCCAACATGGTGAAACCTCGTCTCTACTAAAAATGCAAAAATTAGCTAGGTGTGGTGGCCTGCACCTGTAGTCCCCGCCACTCGGGAGGCTGAGGCAGGAGAATCACTTGAACCCGGGAGACGGAGATTGCAGTGAGCTGAGATCGCGCCACTGCACTCTAGCCTGGCGAAAGAGTGAGACTCCATCTCAAAAAAAAAAAAGAGGAGGAAAGACCCTTCTGTATTATCCCATTCTTTTTTTTCTTCCTTGAGACAGGGTCTCGCTTCCGTTGCTCAGGCTGGAGTGCAGTGGTGCAATCACTGCTAATTGCAGTCTCGACTTCATGGGCTCAAGTGATTCTCCTACCTCAGCCCTCTGAGTAGTTGGGACTATAGGCGTGCACCACTAATTTTTTGTATTTTTAGTAGAGCTGGGGTTTCGCCATGTTGCCCAGGCTGGTCTCAAACTCCTGAGCTCGTGATCCCCTCGCCTTGGCTTCCCAAAGTGTCGGGATTACAGGTGTGAGCCACCAAACCTGGCCTTGTACTGTCACATTCTTAGTGCTGTGTACTTATTTTCCCAAATGAGTATCTTTGTCATGTGATCTTAAAGTTTTTTTTTTAATTTTGTTTTTTTCTTAAAACCTGATTGACTTGAGAAAATTTTTCCAAGGCTGGGTGAAGTCTCTCAGCCTCCAAAGACTAATAAAAGGTTGTATAAGAGAATCCATAGATTCTGGGACTTGGCCAGAAAACCAGAGATCATGGACCCAGGGACACAAGCCTCACCATTGTCTTCAACCCACTGAAGCTTTTCTGTCCAGAGCAGCAGAGCAGTGCCCCCTTCTTCCAGAGCCTGGGATTGCCTGCAGAAAATAAAGTATGGATATAGACTGCTTCTAGTAGTTTTGCTAGACATTCAGTTTCCATTTAATTGCTTACCTTTTATTGTTCCTGGGATGAAAGACTTGTACAGCCAAACCCAAAGGACTGCTGCACTTAATTTCCCTATTCAGATCTAACAGCCACCTGAGCTGCAGAAATACTTTTTGCACACCACTGGCTCACCACCACTGGGTCACCCCAGGGAAAGTACAGAGCAGTACTGGGGGGATGGTGATCAATGACAGCTTGGGAATGTGCCTGTCTCCATCAGGCAGAAGAATCCAGGGAGTGAGAGAGGGCATCTGTATATGCATCAGGCTCACCCCAAACAGCACTGAGGATGTGTGACTTTCTTCTCTGAGCTGCTGTTGAGGCTGCAGGTTTCAGTGACTGAGAGCCAAGGACACTACTTCAAATGAACCCAGTGCTGAGCCTTGCAGGTGAGCTAGAGTTAGCTGTTCTTCCTGCCTGGCCCCTGGGTGCAGTGACTGTTCTTTCCTCTGGGAAAATCTGATGAAATGTGTAGCAAATAGGCATTATGGCAAGAGGTGTCTGTTTATAACTCTTGGAGGTTAGACCACTGGGCCCAGGATATGTCCCAGCAGCAGCCCAGCAAGACAGAGGGTACTGTTAATCTGAACCTGCCCTGGTAAGCAGTGGGTGCGCCATGGGATAAAAAGAGCACCCAGATGCCATGTTAGTTGGACTGCCCTATGTGCAGGTCAGAGAGTGATGTGAATCATTGAGACATTTGATTCAACAAGCTGCTGCTCATGGTGAGAGGTGGATTTTAATTTGGAGAGGAAATTGGAATCACATTGTGTTGTTTTTGATTTTGAGACGGGGTCTCACTCTGTCGCCCAGGCTGGAGTGCAATGGCACAATCATGGCTTACTGCAACCTCTGCCTCCCAGGTTCAAGTGATTCTCTTGCCTCAGCCTCCCGAGTAGCTGGGATTACAGGTGTGAGCCACCACGTCCGGCTATTTTTTGTATTTTTAGTAGAGACGGGGTTTCACCATGTTGGCCAGACTGGTGTCAAACTCCTGACCTCAAGTAACCTGCCCACTTCAGCCTCCCAAAGTCCTGGGATTATAGGCATAAGCCACCTTGCTCAGCCTAGTCATGCATTTTTGACTTAGGATATTTTCAATTTACGACAGCGTTATCAGGACATAACCCCATCGTAAGTCAAGATGTATCTGTACATATCAAGTGCTTAGAATAGTGCCTGGCACATATTAAATATCATGTATGAGTTTTTCATTGTTATTATTCACTGTCTTCCTAGTCTTCTACCTTCACAGCCAGAAAGCACAAGCAGAATCCAAAAACATGTATAGTCTAAACATAGAACAAAAACTGACTATACTCTGTGATTACTATGCAAACGCTGTAGCCACAGCCTAAAATTTTTTTTTTTTTTTTGAGACAGGGTCTCCCTCTGTTGCCCAGGCTAGAGTGCACTGGCATGGCATGATCTTGGCTCACTGCAACCTCCACCTCCCGGGTTCAAGCGATTCTCCTGCCTCAGCTGCCCGAGTAGCTAGGATTACAGGCGTGTGCCACCGCGTCCGGCCAATTTTTGTTTTTTTAGTAAAGACGGGGTTTCACCATGTTGGCCAGGCTGGTCTTGAACTCCTGACCTCACGTGACCCACCCACCTCGGCCTCCCAAAGTGCTGGGATTACAGGCGTGAGCCACCGTGCCCAGCCTAAATTAACTTTTTTTTAAGTGAAAGCAAGTTTATTAGAAAAGTAAAGGAATAAAGAATGGCTGCTCCATAGGCAGAGCAGCCCTAAATGAATTCTGATCACTTGTAGTCGTTTCTCTCTTCCTACTTAGAGCATCTTGGAGGCAGACCGTAGTATTATCTTTTGTATTCTCAGTTCCCAGCATATAATACATACTTAATAAATGGTTTTTGAGTGTAGGTAAAGATGGAAAAGCCAGAGAAAAGTAAAAATTGATTTTTGTGAAGGTAAGGAGATTGTGTAATTGTTTTCTGTAATTAACATAATAAATGTATTTAAAATATTCAAAACATGGTATTGTCAAAAGACTTGAAGAGGCGTTTCACAAAAGTTGCTATATCCAAGTGGCCAGTAGTAAGTAAATGAAATAATTTTTTTAATTGTTTCTTATCAGGAAAATGTACATTAAAACCATGCTGAGATACCACTGTCTCTTCCTCTAAATGGTTAACATTAATTGGACTGACAGTATCAAGAGGTGACAAGGATTTGGAGAAACTGGAACTCCTATTACACTGGTGATAGTGGGAACATAAATTTGTACAACCGCTATGGAAAACTGTTTGGTATCATCTACTAAGCTCAATGTGCATATAACTCCATACCCAGCCATTTCATCCTAGGAATATACCCGACAGAAATAAGTGCTTATGAGGCCACCAAAAACCAATAAAGGATAATAGTTTTATTCTTTTTTTTTCTTTTTTTTAATTAAAAACAATTATCCAGCCCAAAATGTTTTGTTTTTTTGAGACGGGGGTCTCACTCTGTCACCTAGGCTGGAATGCAGTGGCATGATCATGGCTTATTGCAGCCTCAGCCTCCCGGCTCAAGCGATCCTCCCACTTAAGCCTCCCGAGCTGGGACTACAGGTGTGCACCAGCATGCCTGGCTAACTTTTGTATTTTTTTTTTTTTAGGGATGGCGTTTCACCATGTTGCCCAGGCTGGTCTCAAACTCCTGGGCTCAAGAAATCCTTCTGCCTTGGCCTCCCAAAGTGCTGGGATTACAGGCATGAGCCACCTCACCTGGCCAACTTTATTCTCCTTTTTTTTTTTTTTTTTTTTTTTGAGATTGAGTTTCACTCTTGTTGCCCAGGCTAGAGTGCAGTGGCGCCATCTCAGCTCACCGGTTCAAGTGATTTTCCTGCCTCAGCCTTCTGAGTAGCTGGGATTACAGGCATACGCCACCACGCCCGGCTAATTTTGAATTTTTAGTAGAGACAGGGTTTCTCCCTGTTGGTCAGGCTGGTCTCGATCTCCCGATCTCAGGTGATCCACCTGCCTCAGCCTCCCAAAGTGCTGGGATTACAGGCGTGAGCCACTGTGCCTGGCCCAACTTTATTCTTAATAGCTCAAACCAGAAACAGCCAAATGTTCCTCAACCAGTGGAATACACAAATGCACTATACTTTATTCATTAGTGGACTAGTATGTATCCAAAAAGCAATGATCTGCTATGTGCGCCAGTGTGGAGAATCTAGCAGATAGAATTTGAGTGAAAGCAGCCAGTCACAAAAGAGTATATAAGTAGAATGAATGGTTTCATTTATATGACATTCAAAAATAGGTAAAACTAATTTATGGTGATAGAGATTCTAACAGTTACCTTTGGTGGTGGGGAGTGGTATGCTGTTGACTGGGAGTGGGCACAAGGCTGCCTTCTGAGGCTCTGGAAATATTCTATAGCTTGATCTAGATAGTAGTTACACAGATATACACATGTAAAAACTTACTGCACTTTATACTTAAGATCTGTGCATTGTACTATATAGAAGTTATTTCTAAATTTTAAGAAAGTGAGATCTGAAACAAAATGTACATCTATTTGCCAACTTTTTCTTTTTTTTCTTTTTTTTTCACTTGAGATGGGGTCTCACTGTGTTGCCTAGGCTGGAGTACAGTGGCATGATCTCAGCTCACTGCAGCCTCTACCTCCCAGGGTTAGATGATCCTCCTGCCTCAGCCAGTAGCTGGGACCACAGGTGCACACCACCATGCCCAGCTAATTTTTTGTATTTTTGGTAGAGATGGGGTTTCACTGTGTTGCTCAGTCTGGTCTCAAACTCCTGAGCTCAAATGATCCGCCCGCTTGGCCTCTCCCAAAGTGTTGGGATTACAGGCTTGAGCCACCGCACCCAGCTTATTTGCCAACTTTTTGATGAAAGGTCAGGGCTTTTCCTTGCGTATATCGGGTCCATTAACTTAACTTTCCTCATGATCCTAGTATAAACCACATCCTTAGTTAATTATACATAATTTTCATGGTCTGTCCCTTTAAGTGGAATAGTTGCTTAGCTATCTGAATTGGAATCCTTCTGGATTTTTAAAGGTACCCCCACTTTTGTTTTTTATTGTTCCCTTATATCTAATTTGGCAAGGTGATTTTTTTTTGTTTGTTTTTAGCATCTTGCTTTTATTAAGTCTCTGAAAACTTTTTTCTTTCAGAGACAGGGGTCTTATGTTGCCCAGGCTGGAGTGCAGTGGTATAATCATGGCTCACTGCAGCCTCTACCTCTAGGCTTAAGCAGTCCTCCCACCTAAGCCTCCTGAGTAGCTGGGACCACAGGTTCACATGGCCATGCCTGGCTAATTTTTTTGATTTTCTGTAGAGATGAGGTCTCACTATGTTGTCCAGGCTGGTCTCAAACTTCTGGGCTCAAGCAGCCCTCCAGCCTGGGCCTCCCAAAGTGCTGGGGTTACAGGCATAACCCACTGCGCCCAGCCTGAAAATATTAATATAATGTTATATATTATAACATGTTGGTGTTTCCTTTCAGTAAAAGTTACTCATTAAATGTATAAACTAGCCAGGCACGGTTGCTTACGCCTGTAATCTCAGCACTTTGGGAGGCTGAGGTGGGTGGATCACCTGAGGTCAGGAGTTTTAAGACCAGCCTGGTCAACATGATGAAACCCCGTCTCCACTAAAAATACAAAAATTACCTGGATGTAGTGGCAGGCGCCTATCTATCTGTGTGTGTGTGTGTGTGTGTGTGTGTGTGTGTGTGTGTGTGTGTGTGTATGTTTATATTATATATGTTAATGTTATATATAATGTTATAACTAAGTATATTTATACATACTTAGCTTATACAGCCTGAAAACATTTAACAGAACAGTCTATTTTACCAGTTGGGCTTCTTCGTAAGGTTTATGTGACTAAAATAAGTTTGAAAAATTCTAATCTAGATGACTTCTGAGTTTCAGCTTTGCAATTTTGTGATTCTAATATTTTGCACATTTGTACAGTCCTGACAGAATTTAGTTATTAACTCCAGTGGCTCCTGTGTCAGTGCTGAGAGAGGACTGCCTCTCATAGTGTCTAATTCTTATCTCCTTTTTGTACATCCCAGCTACCCACTGCTGAAACTCCCCTTGCCAGGAACAGGACCTGTGGAATTCACCACCCCTGTGAAGGATTACTCGCCCCCACCTGTGGACTCTGACCGCAAACAAGGAGAGCCTACTGAGCAGCCTGAGTGGGTGGGTACTCGTCATGTTCCTGAGGCCAGCACAGAGCGTTGGGTGGAGACTGGCTGAGGCAGGGGTCTGCCAGTGAGATTGAGGTTGGTCAGCTTCTGATTTGTGAATTCATGTACTTTAACAGCTTTATCAGTGTACCATATAGATACTTAGTTTATACATTTTTTTTTGAGATGGAGTTTTGCTCCTGTTGTCCAGGCTGGAGTGCAATGGCACAATCTCGGCTCACTGCAACCTCCGCCTCCCGGGTTCAAGTGATTCTCCTGCCTCAGCCTCCCGATTAGCTGGGACTGTAGGTGTGCGCCACCACGCCCAACTAATTTTGTATTTTTATTAGAGATGGAGTTTCACTATGTTGGCCAAGCTGGTCTCGAACTCCTGACCTTGGGTGATCTACCCGCCTTGGCCTCCCAAAGTGCTGGGATTACAGGCGTGAGCCACCGCACCTGGCCAGTTATTTAGTTTGGAACTCTAGGTCTCCTGACCCCAGCCCACTCCTCCTTCTGGACTGTACTGTTTTCAGTTGACTGTCTCTGGGCCGAACACTGATATAAATGAGAAAAAAGGTCTTCAGTTGAGGGGCTCAGTCAAGGGACCTAACTCACCATCACACCGCACTCATTATTTGGAGCTCATTGAAGCTTGACTAGCTCATCTGTGTACCTTTTGCCTGTCAGGTGTGGACAAAGTGCCCTTTCTTCTGTGTTGTTCTGTGGTCCCTGGATTCGTGCTGGACTTGCTGAATCTGTTGTTGAGGAAAACCAAAGCTCAGCGAACAGAGCTCTCCTCCCCCTTCTCTCTGACAGTCATAGCATATTCCCATTTCCTTTTTGGTTAACGTAGTAGTCAGGTAACTTGTTATGAACTTGACTCTGCGGCTGAAATAGAGGCATATCTGGCAAGATAGGTCTGTGGCACAACTATACATGGTGTCAGTGGGGAGTGCACCACCCTGGCTTCATGAGGCTCTGCCTATGAAGGTCAAAGGATGCATGGTCTGATGCTGGCTGAAACCAGTTTTGTGGTGAAACCAGTTTTGTGGCTTTATGTCCCAGGTTGGCCATTGGCTCACTGGCTCATTGTGGGACCTTCTTGCTTAAACCTTTTACCTTCATTAACCATTTTTTTTTTATTGTTTTGAGATGGAGTCTCACTCTGTTGCCCAGGGTGGAGTACAGTGGCGTGATCTCAGCTCATTGCAACCTCTGTCTCCTGGGTTGAAAGCGATTCTCCTGCCTCAGCCTCCTGAGTACCTGGGACTACAGGCATGTTGCCACCACACCCGGCTAATTTTTGTATTTTTAGTAGGGGTGGGGTTTCACCATGTTGGCCAGGCTGGTCTCAAACTCCTGACCTCAGGTGATCCACCTGCCTCAGCCTCCCAAAGTGCTGGGATTACAGGCGTGAGCCATTGTGTCCGGACTTCATTAACCTTTTAATGCAATGTTAGCACATAAGGGAATATTTGTGTTTCCTGACTAGGAGAGTTCATTTGGCCCATTGGTGTGGAATAGATGTTTAATGATGAGGCCGTAAGGGGTGTGATGTGTTTGTGAGCTCTTTGAATGATGGGATGATGATAGAAAGTGTTGGTGCAGAATAACTAGAGGGCTCGGGAATCAGGAGCATTGTCCATTTCCTCTCTCTCTGATTGGAGCGCTCATCCCCTGCAGGATTGAGAAGGAGATGGGCCCAGGGCAGTCACCTGGTGTCACACAGCTCAGTGGTCAGTTATCTCACCTCCATTGGCTGTCCTTGATAAAGATACAGGCCAGCGATACTGAAGTGGGTGGTAAGGACTGTTTTAGTTATGAAGAACAGGAAATTCAACCCAAATCAGAGTAAGTGAAAGGGAATTTTTGGTTCATATAACTCAGCCAGGTGCAGGGCTGACTTAAGCACGATATAGTTTGAGCCTCAAAAGGAGTCCATCTCTTGACTTTGTCCTCTCTGGGTCAGCTTCACTTTTGGTCTTCCCAACAGTGGCCCTAGCAGCTTCAGCCCCATGTTTTTGCATCATCCAATCCAGTGGAGGATAAAAGGGAGCCCAGTTGGCTATGAATAGGGTTACCTGCCTGTCCCCTTCCCAAGCCCTATGGCTAAAGGCAGGTATTTCATTGTTGTTGTCAGCACCTTGCTGGGAATGAGAGAGGATGGTTTCCAAAGGGACAATAGGGCCGGGTGCAGTGGTGCATACCTGTAATCCCAGTACTGAGGCAGGAGGATCGCTTGAGCCCAGGAGTTTAAGGCTGCAGTGAGCCATGATCACACCATTGCAGTCCAGCTGGGGCAATAGAGTGAGACCTTGTCTCTAAAAAAATAAAAAATAAATAAATTTTAAAAAAGGGAAAATAGGAGACTCGGGCAGTAGACAGTACATTGCAGGCATCTGCTGCCTATACGAAGGAGCCAAAACTTCCTTCCCTACTCGACTCACTGCTGAGTTCAGCACTCGTTTATTGCATACGCGTGGTGTGGGATGATGTGGGGGACAGATAGAGGCTCACTGTCCTTGAGGAGATCCTATACTGTTTGGAAAGAGAAGACAAAGATTTTTCAAAGTTTAAAGTAAATATAGTGTATGTCAAAGAGACATAGGGGGGCAATCGAAAGAGCTCCCCAGTGGTCAGTGCTAGAGCAATTTTTTTTTCTTTTTTTTTTTCCTTTTTCTTTTCTTTTTTTTTTTTTTTTTTCAAGACGGAGTCTTGCTTTCGCTAGGCTGGAGTGCAGTGGCGCGATCTCAGCTCACTGGAACCTCCGCCTCCCGGGTTCAAGTGATTCCCCTGCCTCAGCCTCCCGAGTAGCTGGGACTACAGGCACGCACCACCACGCCTGGCTAATTTTTTGTATTTTAGTAGAGACGGGGTTTCACCATGTTGGCCAGGATGGTCTTGATCTCCTGATCTTGTGATTGATCCATCCGCCTCGGCCTCCCAAAGTGCTGGGATTACAGGCGTGAGCCACCATGCCTGGCCTAGAGCAATTTTTGCAACAAAATAAACTGGTATTGAATTAAGACCCAAAATATAAAATAATTCTCTGTGAGTCCATTCCTGAGTCCATATGCTTGAATAAATATAAATAAATGAATGGATGACAATAGACAAATCTCCTGGGCAAAAAAATTCTAAGTAATGTATCCTAAAGTGTGGACTATGCATGATGACTTTCTTCCAAAGAGGACAGTGTGACTGTGGGAAAAAGTAACTTTACAGTGAAGAAGCCTGACAGACACCTCCTACAGTAAGTGATTGGGGTTAAAGCAGCAGTGATAAATCACATTGATTGATTGTGCCCTTGATATGTGAGGAGGAGGAGGACATTTTACCGCTGATCTTCCTCTCCCAAACCCATAACCGCAGTATAATTAGAAGTAAAACATCAGACAAATCCTAGTTGAGGAACACCCTACAAAATGCCTGACCAGTACCCCTTGAAGCTGCCAAGATCATCAAAAGCAAGGGAAGTCTGAGAAACTGTCACAAGCTACAAGAAGCCTCAGACACTACAGCTAAACGTAACGTGGTTTCCTGGATGGGATCCTGGAAAAGAAAAAGGACATTAGGCAAAAACTTAGAAAACCTGAATATACTTTGGACTTTGGTTAAGAATTTCACTGTGGACTTTGGTTTTCAGAAGGAGGACTACAGAGATGAAATGTCCTTCTTTTTATATACCTCAGCCTCCTAAATTATTTAAAAATTCACGTACATTAAGATTCAGTCTTTGTGCTGTAAAGTAGGGATTGTGGGAGTTCACTCAGCACAGTGAGTGTGGGCCCTGCCCACATCTTCCTTACCAGGTTAGTGCTCCTTTCCTGCTCAGACCTGTGTGAGCTTCTGTTCTG
Organism: Homo sapiens; assembly: GCF_000001405.40. NCBI lineage: Eukaryota > Metazoa > Chordata > Mammalia > Primates > Hominidae > Homo > Homo sapiens. The sequence continues at coordinate 47,431,160 of NC_000003.12, read as the reverse complement.
GTCATAGCCTGTGGCAGCCAGCTCCATCCAGGTGCCTCTGTGCCTCCCAGCAGCTTCTAGTGGCTGAGCGTGATACAGAAGACAAAGTGGATGAGGCCTTCTGTCCCCAGAGCCCTCACTAAGGCACAGCCACATAAAGTTCACAAAGGCTCAGACGGTTGCCTCTGGTTGTTCCTTTGTGCCCAGGGTCCCAGGAGGCATTAACTTGCTGTGCTTGGTCAGCATCTTGGCCCTTGCCTATGCTGTAACCTGGAGTACTGCATTGGTGAGTGGCTCCATGGCCTCCCTTTCATCCACACGCATGCCCCTTGGAGTTCCCGACTGCAGCCCAGGCGTGGAGACAGCCCCTCATCCCTCAGCTGGGCTGGGCCCTGCCCCCTTCAGTCCACACCTCGCAGTACACCGCTGTCTAGGGCCATGTTTCCTTGTCTCCAGTTGTCACCAACTCCCGGGGAGTCTTTACAGAGCACTGCTTTCATCAGGTTGCCCCTTCACCTCAGAGACACTGGGCTTTGCTTTGTCAACTGATTAAAATCCTGACAGCTCAGTCAGGCTTCAGTCTAAGCCTGCTTGTCATCTTCCTCGTAATTTCTGTTATCCCCTGACAGGTTTCCTTGGTGCAGATGTCCAGGCCTTCTGTGCTCTCAGCATCCCTTGCAACTCACATTCCCTCCTGCTCCTCTCCTACCTGTTCTTTTCTAACCTTATGGCTCTACTCAGCTTCTCCTGGGCCATAACTCTGCTGTGGCTGACCCAGCATGTTTTGGGGTGCTCCGCGACATGCCTGTTACTGAGGGTTGCATATGTGAACACTCTTGTCATTTACATCCCTGTTAAGCTCTTGAAAGGTAGATGGCAGATTCTAGTGAGAAAAGTATGTGATATTTAGTGAGGAGACCTTGGTTTGAGTCCTTACACCACCCTGCCTGGAGTGTGAAGCTCTAGGCAGGCACAATGCCTGAGCCTCTCCTTGCTTCTCATCAGGCTGTTGTGAGGGTCAGATGAAGTGAAATGCCTGATTGTTCATTGTTAATATTTCTGCTAATCTTTCAGACACTGTTTGTATGCGTGTGTGGTGTGTGCATACATCTTGATGCTGCAGGGTGAATGTCGTTATTCCTGTTTCACAATGAGGAAATTGAAATCCAGAGATGTCAAAAGTGTTTTCAAGGCCATATGTTTGGAAAGCTGTGATTTAAAATTGGGTCCTTTGATCTTCAAAACCCGCTACTCTGCTGCAAGTGACAAAACCTGAATCAGTAAGACAGGTTACATGCTTTGGGGAGTGTAGAGTCTATAGTGCGGTCAGCAGACATGTTCCATAAAGGGCTAGATAGTAAACATTTAGGCTTTGCGGGCCAGACGGCCTCTGTTGCAGCCATTTGACCCTGCTGTTGTAGAGTGAAAGCAGCCATAGACAATAGTAATGGTAGGGGTGTGGCTGTGCTTCAGTAAAAATTGGAAGTGGAAAAACAGGCACTAACCAGCCTGGGCAACATAGTGAGACCCCATCTCTACAGAAAATAAAGAAGTTAGCCAGGTGTGGCACTTCGGGAGGCCAAAATGGGAGGATCACTTGAGCCCAGGAGTTCGAGACCAGCCTGGCAACATAGTGATACCCTGTCCCTACAAAACATTTTTGAAAATTAGGCGTGGTGGTGGTGCACACACCTCTAGTCTCAGCTACTTGGTGGGTGGGGGTGCTGAGGTGGGAGGATCTCTTGAGCCTGGGAGATTGAGGTTTCAGTGAGCCATGATTGGGCAATAGAGCAAGACCCTGTCTCAAAAAGAAAAACAGGCATGGGCCCTGATTTGGCCTACAGGCCATCGTTTGCCTACACCTGGTCCCACAGTGCTTTGCCCATAGTAGATGTGTTATTGAGCAAAAGAGGCTCGCTGCCCAATGTGCTAGAAGCCAATACTGTGACACCAGGATTTGGGGAAAAGAAAAGCTTTATATTGAAGGTTGACTCCCTAGGAGACCGGAGTCCAGCTCAAATCTGTCTCCCTGTGCTGGCTTTAAGGCAGTAATTTTATTAGGAAAGGTTTAGAGGGTGGATACTAGGATTAGCAGATGATTGATGGAAGGAAGGGTGATTTCTGGGAAGTCTTTGAGCATGCCCAGTTATCTCTTGATGCCACCTCACAGGTCCCATGTGCAAATTCCGGGGGGAGTTAGTATGAAACATGGCAGTGGAAATTCAGGCTGTGACATCGGCAAGCTCATTCTGCACAACTCCAGTCGGCCATCTTGGTTCCAGCTTATTTCAGCCAGTTCTTTTATCTCATAAGCGGAGGGAGTTTCTGGGTTTCAGCAAATTGTTTCTTTTCTTATCTGCCATCCTGCAAACTCAAGAACTTGTATTAGTCATTGGTTTCTTTAACTCTGTGGGGCACGGTTTCCAATGCCCATTAAATCCCTTGAATTGGACCGTCTTTCTTCTTCCTGTGCTCAGCTGCCCTTTCTGCCCTCCCTCATTTCTTCTGCAGTATGTGGGTGCCCCGGTGGCTTATGTCCAGCAGATATTTGTGAAGTCCTCAGTGTTTCCCTGGCACAAGAACCTCCTGGCAGTAGATGTATTTCGTTCACCTTTGTCCCGGGCATTCCAACTGGTGGAGGAGATCCGGAACCACGTGCTGAGAGACAGGTACCCCTCTCAGGGACCCTGGCCTCCCTGAATCCCATTCTGTACTGAAGGGAGAGTTACAGTCCTCAGTGTAACTGCAGTGAGCCAGTCAGCTCTGCAGAGATAGAACAAGCAAGAAGGATGGAGGGTGAGCTAGCCTTGAATTTCTCAGCATCCTTGTGGGTCTACGGTGGCTGCATTCCGCTTGGACCTATGCAGATGGCACACACATAGCCTTGAGTCTCATCCTTACATCTCAGATGGAGTCAGTGTCCACTGTGCTAACTCATGACCCACATGGCTTCCTGCCTGTGGGTTATGGTGTGAATGTAATGGTGGTGTCTCTGCCGACGAGAAGCAAGCTCTACCTGGGGGTACCTTCTGAAGCCCCAGCCCAAGTCGTGCTCCCCTGCCTATCAGTGGGTCCCTGGGTTATGCTGGCTTGGCATACAATGTGTGTAATTGGCAAGCTGCATCACTGCCAGGTTTTAGTTAGCTAGTGGCGTTGACAGATATTTTGGTGAACTAAATGAAGCCCCTAATTTACCCCGGTCCCTGCTCATCCACTGAACTGGCCAGGGTGTTTTAGTGGGTGGGGTTGTGCATGCTCTTATAGTACACTTGCCCGTCCTCAGAGCTGATGGGCTTTTGGGCTTCAGATGCACTTTGAAAGTCAGACAGCCACATGTTTAGGTTATTGGCCACCTGGAAGTACTTCCCCCTGCTGCCCTAGTGGTCAGGCTCTTTGGCGATACCAGAGAGCAAATATGGGGCATTGAAGAACAGACAGAGGATGTCCCCTAAGTACAGCAGGTCTGCCCTGTGGTGGCAGACACAGCAGGTGCCTTGTCCTGTCTCCTGTGCAGCTCTGGGATCAGGAGCTTGGAGGAGTTGTGTCTGCAAGTGACCGACCTGCTGCCAGGCCTTAGGAAGCTCAGGAACCTACTCCCTGAGCATGGATGCCTGCTGCTGTCCCCTGGGAACTTCTGGCAGAATGACTGGGAACGCTTCCATGCTGATCCTGACATCATTGGGACCATCCACCAGCACGAGCCTAAAACCCTGCAGACTTCAGCCACACTCAAAGGTAGCCCCAGTACAAGTTCCCTTCAGACCTGTAAAGGTGCCCATTGGTCACCGTCTTTTTGATGTGTGCTTAGGCAGATCAGGGTTTACCCTTTGTTTCCCAGGGTGGGGGTGAGAAAGGGGTCCTTGGTGGCTCTGCAGTAGCTGTCATTTCTGTGTCAGTACCTGCTGGTTTCTGCTTGCAGACTTGTTATTTGGTGTTCCTGGGAAGTACAGCGGGGTGAGCCTCTACACCAGGAAGAGGATGGTCTCCTACACCATCACCCTGGTCTTCCAGCACTACCATGCCAAGTAAGATTGACAGTACCCTGGGCTCTTGACTGGTCTGCTGGGTGACATGAGGCTTTGAGTAGTCCCTCTTCTGGTTAGAGTGTTCTGAATGCCCCCTGGAAACTTGGGAGAGTTTCCAGGCCTCCTGTTGAATGTTTACATCCCTCAGACTAGATGATGCTGTCTACCACATTTTAATGGGGATGACCTGACAGCTGGTTAAGCATAGGGGACTAAGGTAGGGCTGGCGGTCTCAGTGTCCTGGTGCCTCCTCTGGTCTCTCTTGAGCCTAGGGCAGGCATCCCCAGCTGGTTACTACTGAGCACCCTATATGGCCTGTGTCCTTCCCAGTGGGGCACTGCAGGCAGCTCCCCAATTGGCAAGGGCACTCGAGGTGCTTCTGATCGGCTCTCCTAGGCCTCTGGCAATCAAGAGTGTTGGAGGCCGGGCGCGGTGGCTCACGCCTGTAATCCCAGACTTTGGGAGGCCGAGGCAGGCGGATCATGAGGTCAGGAGATCGAGACCATCCTGGCTAACACGGTGAAACCCCGTCTCTACTAAAAATACAAAAAATTAGCCGGGCGTGGTGGTGGGCACCTGTAGTCCCAGCTACTCGGGAGGCTGAGGCAGGAGGATGGTGTGAACCCAGGAGGCGGAGCTTGCAGTGAGCCCAGATGGCGCCACTGCACTCCAGCCTGGGCGACAGCGAGACTCTTGTCTCAAAAAATAAAAAATAAAATAAATAAATAAATAAAAAAGAGAGTGTTGGAGTAGGTCCGGAAAGGGAGACAAAGAAAGGAGCAGGGGGAGCTCCTGAGAAAACTTTGTCCCCTTTGTGATTTTCCCAGTGCCCCTGGAGACTATAGAGAAGCTCAGGCACCATAGAGAAGTTCCCTTTCAACACAGGGGCAGGAGGGAGGTCCTGATGGACCCTCTGTCCGGGGATTGTCTTTGTCCCCAGAACCAAGAGCAACACTTCCATTTACCCCCACCCTGCTCCTTGACCAGGTTCCTGGGCAGCCTGCGTGCCCGCCTGATGCTTCTGCACCCCAGCCCCAACTGCAGCCTTCGGGCGGAGAGCCTGGTCCACGTGCACTTCAAGGAGGAGATTGGTGTCGCTGAGCTCATCCCCCTTGTGACCACCTACATCATCTTGTTTGCCTACATCTACTTCTCCACGCGTAGGTTCATGGCAGGGAGGCTGAGGGCTTTCTCCAAGCTAAACGGGCATTTCCATGTCACCTGCTTCCCTGGCTCTGGAGGTGGCTTGGGGTAGAGAGATAGAACACACCTGGTGGTCATCAGAGCTAGGGCTTTGTCCCCCAGCAGGGTCTTAGGAGCTTGGGTGGGGCCGGGGCTCTTCCCACTTTCAGCCCCTTCCTGGGTTAGGGTTCCTAAAAGGTGTACTGTGTCCATGACACTGGGAAGTGCTTGTGCCTGTCCCTTTCCTTTGGTGAAACCAGGAGTTTTCCCTTCCTCGACTGTCAGGGCAACCTACTCCCGGGAGCCCCAGTGGGCCGGGGGCTGGGGGAGGGGCCGCCCTGATACGCCCTCTCTGCCCTCCAGGGAAGATCGACATGGTCAAGTCCAAGTGGGGGCTGGCCCTGGCTGCCGTGGTCACAGTGCTCAGCTCGCTGCTCATGTCTGTGGGACTCTGCACACTCTTCGGCCTGACGCCCACCCTCAATGGCGGGTAGGTCCCTAGCAGGCTCCACTGGGCCACAGGGTGGGCTCAGGCCAGAGAGCCTTGCACTTCTGGGTTCTTGGCCTTCCCTGGACTTTGCTGTGACCTCACGTCTTCACATTGTTGTTTTTGACATTTAAGAGGTACATTTTCTTCCTCTTCTTTGTCTGGCTTGTATTCATACTTGTGTTTGTATATAGCATATCTAGCTATAGTGAGTGTCCATATGTACAAAAGTGCATATTTGTGGGCTGGGTGTGTATATAAGGGGTGTGTGTTGGTATGTTTGTGTATACATGAGTATGTATTGCATGTGTGTAGTCGGATTTGTGTGTCTGTGTTTATGTATTCTATATACACACACCACACACACACTGCAGCTTGATGGCTTAAGCCACTGGAGGTGTGAGATAGAGAAGAGAACATTTTTTTTTTCATGATTAGAACATTTAAATGCCTAATGAAATAGGTCATTTTAGAGGAAGCTCTTTGGAAGATATGAGCACACTGTAATTTGTCGCCTTTTTCACTGATGTTTACTTTCCCCTTGCCACTCCTCTCTGAACCTTAGTCTGGAAGCCCTTCCCTCGGCTTGTCCTCAGGCTTTGATCTTGGCTCTGGCTAGGCCCGCCTGCCTGTCTATTAATGGTTATTAATGGATTATGGATTGGCCTGTCCACCACTTTGGCCCATCAGGCTGGTCGTATGAAAAGCGACGTCGTATTTTGTTTCTGGTAGTTTCGTTGCTCTTAGATACCTGCTCCCTTTCCTGAGCTTGACACTGTTAAACACCACCCTCCCCCATACCGTCTGCCATACCCTTCACAGGGCCCTCCCTTCCTTCGGCTCCAAAGCAGAGGTCCTGCAAGGTATAACTTGGCTGGCGTTCCTCGCACATAGACTTTCTTAGGGTTTGCTGCGGGGAGTGTGGGACAGTGGGCTCAGATAGCTGGTAGAGCTTTGTGTAGGAACAGTCGTTCTTCTCCACACACAGCTTCTCAACAAAGGTGAGTGGGCCTTCAGGATGGTTTCATCTCCTTGCATTTAGCTGTGATGGGTCCACCCAGAGTTACTGGTGTGGGTCTTGGCAGCAGTCATTGTCTTTAGCCAGCAGTCTTCTCCTGGGAAGGGCCAGCAGAAGTGTGGTCTAGCAGTGGCGCTGCACAGCTCTCCCTGAGGGGCCTCTTCCAGCCCTCCTGTGCTGGATGGCTAGAGACAGGATGGCTGCTGGCCCCTCTGCAAGGCTCTGGAGCCTGCCTGAAAGCTGAGTGCTGTGTAGATGCAGGTCTTGTTGGGTGAGGTGGACAAGGGAGGGTTTCTGCCCAGCACCTGTGGGAGTCACTCAGCAGCCCCCATGACAGGCTGGAAACCCCACAGCCTTCCTGAGGGCCCCAGTCTGTTGGGAACCACCACAACACTGTCCTCACCTTCTCCTTCTCTGTCCCCAGCGAGATTTTCCCCTACCTTGTGGTGGTTATTGGGTTAGAGAATGTGTTGGTGCTCACCAAGTCTGTGGTCTCAACCCCGGTAGACCTGGAGGTGAAGCTGCGGATCGCCCAAGGTAACGCAGTGGGAGAGTTGGGCAGAGGGCTGCAGGAGGGGCTGGAATGGGGCCTGTTCCTCTTGCTGTTAACGCTCTGTGAGCAAACAGAGCCCTTGAAATGTCCCTTGCTCTTGCCTCCGGCATAATATGCAGTGGGCCACTGGGCCCTGGCAGCTCTTGAGTGTGTGCCCTGGGGAGCCATGGGGCCATTGGACTGTACTTCGTCCTGGTTCATGTGTCAGTAAGAAAGTAAACCAGGCTGGGTGCCATGGCTCACACCTGTAATCCCAGCACTTTGGGAGGCTGAGGCAGGTGGATCACTTGAGCCCAGGAGTTCAAGACCAGCCTGGGCAACATGGTGAAACCCCATGTCTACAAAAGATAGAAAAATTAGCAGGGCATATTGGCATGCACCTGTGGTCCCACCTACTCAAGAGGCTGAGGTGGGAGGATTGCTTGAGCCTGGGAGGTCAAAGCTGCAGTGAGCCGTGATCACACCACTGCACTTCAGTGTGGGTGGGGCTTGTGTTTGGTGGTGGCTTTCTGTCTGGGGAGTTTAGCGCCTAGTATTTTCTCTTACTGCCTCACTCCAGCACACTAGGCCCAAGCCCCGGGGGCTGGCCATTTCAGAGACGCTGCCTTCACGGCTGCCAGAAAAGCTCCCTCTGGCCCTGCTGGTAGAAACTGGGGATCTGGGGTTCTAGGGAAAATGAGAAAAGGGAGAGCCTGGCCTTGGAGGCCTGGTCACTTGAGCCTCTTCTTCCTCGTCACCCCATGTCTGTGAGGAATGGGGCTGTAGGCAGCCGTCCATTCATCCAGACCTCTGTGAGCCTCTGTGATAAGCCAGGCCCTGTGCTGGATATGGAGTTAGGAAGAGATGGGGCGAAATTGTCCTTACCCAGTAAGAGCACAGAGCCTTAGACATGCGACAGTGTGATAGCGTGGGATCAGGGCTCACTACAGGAAGGGGCTTGAGGAAGAACGCAGCCAGGTCCTCTACCCGCCGAGTGCTTCTGCCATGTGGTTGATGGGCACACTGTCATGCTGGCCCGTGCAGACCAGACAAGAACCACATGCGGAGGTTGGATGTGGTTGTTGTGGGTGGCACTTGGCTTTCCTTGTGGATTTTCTCATCTCCACACTCTGCTTCTTCCCTCTTTTGATGATTATAGCTCTCCTCTGCACCCTCCAGGCTGTGAACACCCGTTCCCCGTAGCAGCTGTGTGGTGGTGATGGCCCCTTAAAGTCTGGGCATTAGCAGGACCCTGAGGGTTGGGGTGCTTTGGTGGAATGGCTCCTTCAAAGGGCTGGGGGGCCTTGCCATGCCTCTGCCACTCCGAGGCCCATGAGGTTGTGTGAGTCATGTCGCAGAGTGGCCATGTGTTGCCCTGTGCCCTGTTGCTGCCCTCTGCAGGCCTAAGCAGCGAGAGCTGGTCCATCATGAAGAACATGGCCACGGAGCTGGGCATCATCCTCATCGGCTACTTCACCCTAGTGCCCGCCATCCAGGTAAGGCCCCAAGGCCTGCCACCTGGATGAGCATGGAAGCAACTGCTGTGCTCCCCAGCTGTGCAGCCATGGGCAGGGTGCTCCCCTCTTCAGCACAGGCATCCTTGCTTCTGAGGTGGGACCTCTTTGCCTGGCAAGCAGATCACTACAGCACCCAGATGGCCCCTGGCATGCCTGGCTCAGAAGTGCTCAGCAAACCCTGGCTGGGTTCCCAGATTGAGCACCTAGCCAGGCAGACTCTGCCCTTGACCCTGTCTTCCTACCCCTCCCTGCCTGCTTCCCTTTCAGCCAAGTGGCAGGAGGAGGCTGCAAGGGCATGGCAGGAGCTGGGGACTGGCTGTGCAGTTTGTCACACCTGTTTCCCATTTTTGAGGGAGAAGCACCGTGGGGTTCCTAGACCCTTCCTCCGGTCTCCTCCCTTGGCCCTGGCCTGTGCCGCAGTCGCCAGACGCATGGCCTTGCCTGGCCTGACCAGTGGGAGGGCCACCACCCATTGCCCAGAGTGACCCTGCTCTTGGCAAAGTGCCCTCACTCAGCTGTGGGCTGTGAGCAGAGGTGGAGGTGGCCCTGCACTGAGCTGGAACCCCAGACTGATGCCAGCCATTCCAGAAGGAGTTGCAGGAAGGGGAGGATGCCATCTTTTCTCGCCCGTCTTTCCCCCAGGGCTGGCAGGCCAGCTGAGGGATGGGGGTGAGCAGAGAACAGATGGGCTGTGGGCTGCTTCTCCTGGAAAAACAGTAGTATCTGCAGGATAGGGTACAGTCTTGGGACGTTAGAGCTGAGACAACCACTGTGCCACTATCTGCACTCCATGGTCTTACCCCAGATCGGAGTAGCACTGTGGTGATGTGCTAGAGGTCTCAACACCGACATCTCAGAAAATTTTGTCTGCTGACAGAGCTTGGGGAGCAGAGAGCTCACCCTTTTTCAGTTTTAGAGAATTAATCCCTCTCTCTCTCTCTTCATTGTTCCGGGGCAGTTGCTGGCTGGGAACCTTTCTGAGAGCCCCTGAATCAGGCCTGGGCTCTAGCTGGGTTGGTGATGCATGAGCAGGGCGGGGGCTCAGTGGGGAAGGACTTTTTGGGGAGCAGGCTGGTGGGGCTTAGAGGTTTCCGGGTTGGATCAGGCCTTCAGTCCCCTCTAGAGGGACCGGAAGATTCAGGGAAGGTACTTCCCCTTCCCTTTCAGCCCTTTCTGAAGAAAGTGTGAGGGTTTCTTCTGCCCCCTGGTGGAGACGGGGTGAGCTGCTGCTGGTATGTGAGCTGAGGACCAACCAGCATCTCTCATCTCTGCTGTGCCCTGCCTGCTGCTGCCCTGCCGGTTATGAGGTGGCTGCAGTCCGGGTACTGCTCCTCTTGGGCTGGGACAGTGAGGTCACGGCACCCCCCCATCCCCATGTGCTCTGATTCCAGGAGTTCTGTCTCTTTGCTGTCGTGGGGCTGGTGTCTGACTTCTTCCTTCAGATGCTGTTTTTCACCACTGTCCTGTCCATTGACATTCGCCGGATGGAGGTAGGAGTGGGCTGAGCCCTGCCCTGCCCGCCTCCTCAGCCCTGGCTGTACTGAGGGAGTCCTGGGTGAGAAGGGTGTAGACCTCGGGCAGGACAGCGGTCCTGTGCGAGCAGCCTCTGGATGGTGGACTCAGGCCCTGACCACTGTGCCCCCAACAGCTAGCAGACCTGAACAAGCGACTGCCCCCTGAGGCCTGCCTGCCCTCAGCCAAGCCAGTGGGACAGCCAACGCGCTACGAGCGGCAGCTGGCTGTGAGGCCGTCCACACCCCACACCATCACGTTGCAGCCGTCTTCCTTCCGAAACCTGCGGCTCCCCAAGAGGCTGCGTGTTGTCTACTTCCTGGCCCGCACCCGCCTGGCACAGCGCCTCATCATGGTACCTGCCACCCCTGCCCTGCCCTGCCCTCTTCTGGAGGGCCGGTGCTCCAGGCCCCTTGTGGTGCTGCACTTGGCCTTAGAGTGGCAAAGGGTATTCCTCAGGCCCTGGTGGCCCCTGGAAGCCTGGCTCTGGGGAGTTGCCCGTTGTGTCCTCCCTGCCCAGACCCTAGTGGCTTCTGAGGAGATAAGCCTGTGGGAGAAGCAGCTCCAGGGTTCTCAGGTACAGGAGCCATCCTCTCCCCAGAGTGGCCCAGGACAGGAGCCTGTTAGTTGAGTGCTCTGGGATGGACCCACTTGTGGCCACCACATTGCCCTGGGTCGGGTTCATCGGCCGCTGCATGGTGTGCAGACACTGGAAAGTGCTGGGCAAAATCATTCACCAGCCGGGCTGGGCTGGCCTTGGGGCAGCAGTGCCTCTTCCAGGGAGCTGAACTGAGATGGGAGGAAGGCTGAGGCCCCCTGGGACTAGGACCTCTGGGGGACTCTGGAGCAGGTCAGGTTGCTGGCCCTCTGACCGTAGGAATGGTAGCAGCTTTCTGGCTCCAGCTGAGGTGGAGCTTAGGGGTGGGGACATTCTGTGTCAAACCTCAGGGTGCTTCAGTGTATTTCCAGGCCAAGAAACTCAGCCCCTAACTGTGGAAAGGCAAGCAGGCCCCTCCAGCAGCAAGTGTTGGCAGGTGTTAGCAGGAGGACTTGGAGAGGCAGGAGAAAAGGACGCAGTGGGGCCTGTGTCCTCTCTCCATCCCCAGGCCTGAGGTCCCTGTGCTGCTTCCTCTCAGCATGAGGGCTGAAGCTGCTGGGGGTTGGGGCCCATTCCTCCCACTGAGTACCCCCTGCCCCACTGCAGGCTGGCACCGTTGTCTGGATTGGCATCCTGGTATACACAGACCCAGCAGGGCTGCGCAACTACCTCGCTGCCCAGGTGACGGAACAGAGCCCATTGGGTGAGGGAGCCCTGGCTCCCATGCCCGTGCCTAGTGGCATGCTGCCCCCCAGCCACCCGGACCCTGCCTTCTCCATCTTCCCACCTGATGCCCCTAAGCTACCTGAGAACCAGACGTCGCCAGGCGAGTCACCTGAGCGTGGAGGTCCAGCAGAGGTTGTCCATGACAGCCCAGTCCCAGAGGTAACCTGGGGGCCTGAGGATGAGGAACTTTGGAGGAAATTGTCCTTCCGCCACTGGCCGACGCTCTTCAGCTATTACAACATCACACTGGCCAAGAGGTGAGCTGGGCCGTGCCAGGTGCCACCTCACTCGATGGTGTCAACTCACCATCCCCTTTCCCCAATGCAGGAGGCCCACAGGTTTGAATTATGCAAATAATTAAAACAGTTCATAAGGTTGTGAGGTGGGAACTGGTGGTTTAGGCAGCTATAACCCAAGAGAGGAGTCCCAGGTTGCTCTGAGGAGTCACTGGTGGCTGCCAGCCCTCACCAGAATGAGACCCACCCACCTGTGCCAGGAGTGGGGAGGGAGATACCCCACACGGCCACCAGGGCTGTTTGGGTGCTGGTATCTGGGACAGCAAGTTGGCTGCTAAGCTGGGCTGGGGAGGGACCTACCTCTGTCCCCAACCCCCCATGCTGGGAGAGTCTGGCCGGTGGAGCTGAGGCCTGCCTGGGGAGGAGGGAGAGGACTGGCTGGCGAGCACAGCAGGAGGAAGCCCTGGGAGGCCCCCCGCTGAGGCTGCCCACTGTCCGAATCCAGGTACATCAGCCTGCTGCCCGTCATCCCAGTCACGCTCCGCCTGAACCCGAGGGAGGCTCTGGAGGGCCGGCACCCTCAGGACGGCCGCAGTGCCTGGCCCCCACCGGGGCCCATACCTGCTGGGCACTGGGAAGCAGGACCCAAGGGCCCAGGTGGGGTGCAGGCCCATGGAGACGTCACGCTGTACAAGTAAGGCTGCTGGGTGGGGTGGGGTGGGAAAGAGTGCGGGGAGGGGGACGGGTAGGCAAGAGTAGGGGAGAGGGAGGAGGGGAGGGGACAGGCTGTGAGGTGTGTCTCACAGCAGTCCGCCCTCCCGTGCAGGGTGGCGGCGCTGGGCCTGGCCACCGGCATCGTCTTGGTGCTGCTGCTGCTCTGCCTCTACCGCGTGCTATGCCCGCGCAACTACGGGCAGCTGGGTGGTGGGCCCGGGCGGCGGAGGCGCGGGGAGCTGCCCTGCGACGACTACGGCTATGCGCCACCCGAGACGGAGATCGTGCCGCTTGTGCTGCGCGGCCACCTCATGGTGAGCAGGGGCACAGTGGCCGGGTAGGGGAGGGCCGGAGCCTGGCCCATACCAACACCGGGCTTCTGCAGGACATCGAGTGCCTGGCCAGCGACGGCATGCTGCTGGTGAGCTGCTGCCTGGCAGGCCACGTCTGCGTGTGGGACGCGCAGACCGGGGATTGCCTAACGCGCATTCCGCGCCCAGGGTAGGTGCGGCTGCCCTTTCCTCCTTTGTGCCCCCACAACCCCCCTCACCCCACCCCCCGCCGCCACGTATCTCCCCTCCTTTCTTCCTCCGAGGTATCCCCCAACCCCTCCAGGCCCCCTCTCCCCCCACCCCCGCACCCCCTCCCACCACCCCGTACCCCCCTCTCCCCACCCCGCACCACCCTCTCCCCCCACCCCCTTTTCCCTTGCCCCTTCTCACTCCCACGCCCCCTCTCACCCCCGTCCCCCGCCCCCTCTCACCCCCCTCCCCCGTGCCCCCTCTCACTCCGCCCTCCTGGCCCCCAGCAGGCAGCGCCGGGACAGTGGCGTGGGCAGCGGGCTTGAGGCTCAGGAGAGCTGGGAACGACTTTCAGATGGTGGGAAGGCTGGTCCAGAGGAGCCTGGGGACAGCCCTCCCCTGAGACACCGCCCCCGGGGCCCTCCGCCGCCTTCCCTCTTCGGGGACCAGCCTGACCTCACCTGCTTAATTGACACCAACTTTTCAGCGCAGCCTCGGTCCTCACAGCCCACTCAGCCCGAGCCCCGGCACCGGGCGGTCTGTGGCCGCTCTCGGGACTCCCCAGGCTATGACTTCAGCTGCCTGGTGCAGCGGGTGTACCAGGAGGAGGGGCTGGCGGCCGTCTGCACACCAGCCCTGCGCCCACCCTCGCCTGGGCCGGTGCTGTCCCAGGCCCCTGAGGACGAGGGTGGCTCCCCCGAGAAAGGCTCCCCTTCCCTCGCCTGGGCCCCCAGTGCCGAGGGTTCCATCTGGAGCTTGGAGCTGCAGGGCAACCTCATCGTGGTGGGGCGGAGCAGCGGCCGGCTGGAGGTGGGCAGAGGGGCTAAAGGTGGGCAGAGCGGCTGTCCGCCCCGGGGATTGTGGGCCTTTCTGGCTGGCAGGTGCTCACAGCCTCTGGACTCGTAGGTGTGGGACGCCATTGAAGGGGTGCTGTGCTGCAGCAGCGAGGAGGTCTCCTCAGGCATTACCGCTCTGGTGTTCTTGGACAAAAGGTGAGCGTGGCCTGCCTCAGCCCCAGATGTCCCCAGCCTTTGTTGGCTAGGCCATACTCTCTTGAGTCTTGAGTTCTGGTTCTCTTCAACTGCTGTACTGTATGATTCGATTGACCTTCTTGGTGCCCAGCTCCACACCTGTGAGCAGAGGGCAGTCCACTTGGATGGGAAGGTAACAATTAAAAGCGTTAGGGGTGGCCGGGCGCGGTGGCTCACGCCTGTAATCCCAGCACTTTGGGAGGCCGAGGCGGGCGGATCACGAGGTCAGGAGATCGAGACCATCCCGGCTAAAACGGTGAAACCCCGTCTCTACTAAAAATACAAAAAATTAGCCGGGCGTAGTGGCGGGCGCCTGTAGTCCCAGCTACTTGGGAGGCTGAGGCAGGAGAATGGCGTGAACCCGGGAGGCGGAGCTTGCAGTGAGCCGAGATCCCGCCACTGCACTCCAGCCTGGGCGACAGAGCGAGACTCCGTCTCAAAAAAAAAAAAAAAAAAAAAAAAAAAAAGCGTTAGGGGTGTGACGTGCTTGGAATAGGGCATGGCACATGGTGACCTCCCAGGGCCTTAAGCAGTGACAGTGGGGAGTGATATACTCCTATCCTTTCTCGCCCTTCTCAATGAAGCCAGTTTCTCTGATTAGCTTGTCAATATTGAGCCTTTGGGGTATCTTGGTTGCATTTTTAGTTACAGAGTGCGCTTGCAGAACCCTCTCTTCTCCTTGGCCGCTGGCAGCTGTTCTCTGCTCTCCCTGCCTCTGTCGTGCTTGGCCTCCTCAGCAAGCCTGTTGGCTGTGGGCGTCCCCAGTACTCCGTCTGCATGCACACTCCTTGGGGAGTCTCAGCCACCTGGGTTCTGGCCCCACCTCCAAGCTGGTGAACCTGGGTCTCCACCCAGTGGCCAGGTGCCTTCTGCCGGACGCCTTTGCCTGCCTGTCCCACACTGGCTCCTCCTCCAAGGCTCCTTGACTGTTGGTGGCAGCACCATCTGACCTAGAGCTGGAGTCTTTTTCCTTGGGGAGGGGGCGTCCCTTGCCCTTAGTGATGTTGATTTCTGCCAGTGGGCTGCTGCCGTCATTCCTGTCACCACAGGTTCTGCATGGGCTTTGGCTGACATCCTCCCCTCCAGCCTGGCCAATTTCACCAGGCCCCTCCATGCTTCTTGGAAATTCTCCTTTGCTGCTTGTTTTAGCTTTAAGGAAAGCCCCGATGTCTCAACCTGACCATCAGGGTTCCTGGTGACTGTGGTCTCTCCTTGTCCACCCACTTCCAATCATAAAACTGGCTTCCCCAGCTCTGGTGCAGGCCCTTCAAATTCATGGGCAGAGGTTGTAGGCAGACATGCATTGCCTTTCCCTGCAGTAAGATTTTGAACCCCATCTGCTTTGAGGCTTTGGGGTTACTGGGCAAATATACCCATCCCTGCCTGTCAGACTGTACCTAGGAATTTTGGAGAGCAAAGAAAATCCTTGTTTCTTTATGGAAAAAGGAATTGATGTGAGCTGTGCTTGGGTTGAAGCTGCTTTTATGTGGAGAATGCAGGCTTCCGCAACACCCAACATAGCCCACCCTGCATCCTGTTTCCCCTCAGCAGCCCTCCCTTCAGCTCCAGGCTACATGGAGCCCTCTGCTTGTTTTTAATTTACAAACTTACGTGATATTCACCAGGTACCACCTTACACGTTAGCTCACTTGATTCTCATGACCACCCTGTGAGGTGGGTACTCTTATCCCCATTTTACGGATGAAGAAACTGAGGCACAAGGTGGTTAATATTTGGAGTTGCCCTCTGGCTCCAGCATCTGTTCTGGCACCATGTGCTTTCCTCTTGGCCATGTCCCTCCTGTGCCTTCTTGAACTGGCCCTTAACTCTCATGTCCACATGCTCAGCCCCAGGGCTGGGGCTCTAAGGGAGAGGCCCCTGGCAGCTGTTCTTCTCTTCCAGGATTGTGGCTGCACGGCTCAACGGTTCCCTTGATTTCTTCTCCTTGGAGACCCACACTGCCCTCAGCCCCCTGCAGTTTAGAGGTCGGAGGGCCTGGGGTGGGCAGGTGTTCACACTTGGTGGGACGGGCAGGGGCCGTCTACCCATTGCTTTCTCAGAGATTCTTCACTTGGCCTTTTGTCCTCAGGGACCCCAGGGCGGGGCAGTTCCCCTGCCTCTCCAGTGTACAGCAGCAGCGACACAGTGGCCTGTCACCTGACCCACACAGTGCCCTGTGCACACCAAAAACCCATCACAGCCCTGAAAGCCGCTGCTGGGCGCTTGGTGACTGGGAGCCAAGACCACACACTGAGAGTGAGTATTGTCTTGTCTCTTGGGTGCTGGAGTGGCCCGGCACGGGGTGGGAGCCTGATGCATTCGTCAGGGAGAGGCTGGAAGAGTCCTGATGAAGAACAGAGGGCATTTCCCAGCCAAAGTATAACTTGGAAAATCCCAGAGACCAGAACCTGAGGCCCATCCCTGTCCCAGGTGTTCCGTCTGGAGGACTCGTGCTGCCTCTTCACCCTTCAGGGCCACTCAGGGGCCATCACGACCGTGTACATTGACCAGGTAAGCGGCCTGCAGGTGGGGTAGGGGGTACAGAGTCTGTGGCCCATGTTTGCTGACTCCTGGGAGCTGGTCCCCAGGGGCCTTCCAGGAAGCAGTCAGGGCCCCACCCACTGGGGCACAGGGACACCACTGTTGACAGAGGTATTACACCATGGTGACCCCACTCCCCTGGCCTGTTTCCCCAGACCATGGTGCTGGCCAGTGGAGGACAAGATGGGGCCATCTGCCTGTGGGATGTACTGACTGGCAGCCGGGTCAGCCATGTGTTTGCTCACCGTGGGGATGTCACCTCCCTTACCTGTACCACCTCCTGTGTCATCAGCAGTGGCCTGGATGACCTCATCAGCATCTGGGACCGCAGCACAGGCATCAAGTTCTACTCCATTCAGCAGGTAGAGGGGATGGGGATCATAGGATTCTTGGGATTTTAGGGAAGGACTCAGGACTGAGCTTGTCATGTCCTTGCCTCCAGGACCTGGGCTGTGGTGCAAGCTTGGGTGTCATCTCAGACAACCTGCTGGTGACTGGCGGCCAGGGCTGTGTCTCCTTTTGGGACCTAAACTACGGGGACCTGTTACAGACAGTCTACCTGGGGAAGAACAGTGAGGCCCAGCCTGCCCGCCAGATCCTGGTGCTGGACAACGCTGCCATTGTCTGCAACTTTGGCAGTGAGCTCAGCCTGGTGTATGTGCCCTCTGTGCTGGAGAAGCTGGACTGAGCGCAGGGCCTCCTTGCCCAGGCAGGAGGCTGGGGTGCTGTGTGGGGGCCAATGCACTGAACCTGGACTTGGGGGAAAGAGCCGAGTATCTTCCAGCCGCTGCCTCCTGACTGTAATAATATTAAACTTTTTTAAAAAACCATATCATCATCTGTCAGGCACTTTGGGAGCTACTTGTGTCTCTTGGAATTGTTTGTGCACACACTCTGCCTGGACCCTCCTCAGAGCTGCTGAGGAAACATACATACAGTGTGGCACGGGGAGGATGAGCAAGCCAGAACTGCAGGGCCCTTAAAGAACTGTCCTGGTAGTGTGGCAGTTTGGTACCATCCTGTCATCCACAAAAGGTGCTAAGTAAGTTAAGTTCCTGGCAGTGCTACTGGAGCTGAGGCAGCAATGGGCAGACTCAGACACGGGCCACAGAACAGGGTGGTTTATTATTTCAATAGCAAAGAGCTGAAAAATGTCGGGTCCCATAAAGGAGCAGAACCTGACCCAGAGCCTGCAGTACATTTCCACCCCACAGGGGTGCAGGCTGGGCCAGGCAGGGCCAAAGGCAGCAGAAATGGGAGTAAGAGACTGTGCCCACTGAGAAGCTCTGCTGGGTGTGGGCAGGTGGGCATGAGATGATGATGATGTAGTGTAAGGACCAGGTAGGCAAAACCTGTTCAGGTCTTGTTGAGTGTCCAGAGTG
Organism: Homo sapiens; assembly: GCF_000001405.40. NCBI lineage: Eukaryota > Metazoa > Chordata > Mammalia > Primates > Hominidae > Homo > Homo sapiens. The sequence continues at coordinate 47,413,159 of NC_000003.12, read as the reverse complement.
GATCCAGAAGGCTGAGGGGGTCGTCAGAGGGCCGGGTGGCCCGCAGCCCTTGCCCGTTATGGGCCTGCAGAAAGTTATGCTTGCTCATCCGCTGTTTGCCCCGCAGGGAGCTGTCCAGGGAGAAGGCCTCTGGGGTCAAGGAGGCCAGCAATTCCAGGGAGGAGGAGGGGGGCCCCGAGCTGGGGGCTTCAGGCACTGGCGGCTCCTCCTTAGGCTGGGGAGCCTCAGGTAGTGGGGAGGAAAGGGGGGGCGGGGAGGAAGATGGGATTGGGGTAGACTCTGGGAGGCTGGCTGGCGGGAGGCCTGGGGGCTCTGCAGGGCCTGGCAAGCTGGCAACCGGGGACTCCAACCCCCCAGGAGGCCGAATGCTGAGCTTGGCAATGGTGGCCTGGATGGAGCTGATGGGCACATCCCCACCGAGGACCAGGTCCTGGGAGTCCTGAGGAAGGTGGTTCTGAGAAGACAGAGTGAGTGAGGAGAGGGAGTCCCAAGGCTGTGGCTCTCCCAGCAGCTTCCACGGAACCTTCCTCACCTTCTGGCTGATGCTTGCACTGGCCAAGGGTTTGCATGGAGGAGGCACACCATGGCGCTGCAGGACCTGCTCCACGTGTCTCACCACTGCCTCATAGCAGAACCTGAGGTGCAGCTGCACAGGTGCATTTGGCCAGGTCAGCTGGGCAGGGGCCCGTCACCCTGGGACAGAAGGCCCATCCCAGCCCCATCTGCCCAGATCCTCACCTTCTCCTGCAGCATGTGCTTTCTCTGCTGCCGCATGCGCCGCACCAGCTGAGGCAGCTCAGGGATTCCGTTCCCAGCCTCCACCTCCTGCACAGCTGCATAGAGCAGTGCAAAGGCTCCCGTGCGGCCCACACCAGAGCTGTGCCAAGAAGGGGTTATGAGGCCGGGGTATGAGGCTAGGCCAAGAGCCCATAGAGGAGAGACCCTCAGGCCCACCCTCTACCTGCAGTGCACAATGATGGGCGTGTGCAGCGGCCGCTGATGCAGGTAATGTGCGTGCACCTCCTGGATGAAGCGCAGCAAGTTGCTGGGGCTGTCGGGCAGGCCTCTGTGGGACAGGATGGGGCCAGGAAGAGCCTATGAGCCAGGCCTGACCTGAGGCTCTCATCCCTCCCAGCACCAAGGACTGGACAGCACTTAGACCCCCAACCACCATCCAGAGCAGTGGACTCACAACTCAGGCCAAGTGGGGAAGTGCAGGTGCACAAGAGAGCGCTTGAGGCTCTGGTCTCGGAACTGCAGGCTCAGCACGCGCTCCACATGGGTTTCGGTGCTGCGGACGCTGCTCAATGCCAGGCTCAGGGCACCGTGCACCATGGGCTGGCCCCTCTCGGTGGGGAAGTAGCGTGCCACTTTTTGCTGAGGGACAGATAAGCCAAGACAGACCTGGTTTTCCAGGATCCCCTGCCCTGCCACCCCACACTGCCCTCGTGGGCACCCACCCCCTCTTCTCACCTTCTCCATCTCAGCCTCAGAAACCAGCATGACAATGACTGACACTTTCTGCTCATGGACCATGAGCCAGAAGTCAGCAGCTGTGCCAGGCAGTGGGGCCTGGGTTGCCACTAGCGGGGGGCAGTATGGGGAGAGCCCCTCCACGCAGCTGGCATTGATGTAGTCATCCTTGCCTGAGCGCAGCACCACACGGTTACTGTCATAGGGCATGACATCCTGGTGCCGGTTCTTCAGTGAGTAGCAGCGGGCAATGGCGATGGAACGGCCTCGGGCATCATGTTCCTGCGCATCTTGCAGCTCTCGCCAGACAGTGTCCAGAGCTCCCACATCCCCCAGCTGACCCCGAAAGGCCTCCAGCTCCTGCTGCAACTGCCGCAGCCTCTCAGGATGCTCATAGGGGTCCCGCTCAATCAGCCGCAGGGCCTGCGGCCGACGACCCTCAGCTGCATCCACCTTGGTGGGCTGCAGCAGGGGCTGCCCACCCCCAGGAGACTGAGTGCCGCCATGCTGGCTCTCCGGGCTGGAGGAGAGCAGGTCTGCAGCTGCGGCGCCTCGGCGCAGGCAAGGGGGTGGTTCTGCTGCTGGGGGGCGAGGGGGTACCGGACCAGGCCCTGGAGATGGGGCAGGTGAAGGCACCAGGTGGGGACTAGGGGTGGACTGGCCAGCAGACGAGGGCCCTCGAATGGTAAGAGGGGCTGCCTGGGGGCCCATGGGTCTGGTAGAAGGGGCAGGACCATATGCCAGTGGGGGATGGGGAGGCTGAGGGGGCCCAGGGCTGGGGAAAGGCAGAGCCCCTGAGTGGGCTGGCAGAGGGTCTTGAGCGGGACCTGGGTAGAGCTGGGTGTGTAGGGGGGGTGGCGGCTGCCCCAGGACCCCAGGCTGAGGGGCATAGGGGTAGGGGGATTGTGGGGGTAGGAGTCCTGGGGCCTGGGGTGGGAAGAGATGTGGATGCTGGAGTGGAAGGGGCTGCTGTGGGGGCTGAGGCCCAAACGCTTGTGAAGGATGGGGCTGAGGATGGGGCTGGGGCTGGGGCCCAATCCTTGGGGCTGGAAAACCTGCGGGGATCCCAGAAGAGAAGTGGTGCTGTGCCGGGATGGGTTGCTTAGCCCCTGCAGGGTAGGTGTAAGGCGTGGGCAGTGGCTGCGGTGGGGGCACAGGGAAGCAGGGCGGGGGAGGAGCAGGGGTGGGGTTTGGCCGTGGGGCTGTGTGGCTGGGGATGGGCGCCTGGATGCTATCTACTGTGGTGGTGGCTGGCCGAACCGCCATGGCCAACTCGGGGCCTGAGAATTGAGGAGGTGGGGCCGAGGGGAGACCTGCAACTGGTGGGGCCGGCCCTACCCCCACATAGGGACTGCTCACCACGCCATGCTGTGGGGAGGATCGGGGCACAAGGCCCAGCTCCGGTGTGTAGGCAGGGGCTGGGTAGAGGGCAGGCCCAGGTGCTACGGGCATTGCATGGGGCCCTGGGGCCCTGGGCTGTATCAGCTGGGTGGGGCCCGAGTAGGTACCAGGGGGCAAGGGGCCTGAGAGATAGTGGGGTCCTGGGCCTGTGGAGCTGGGGAAGGGGCTGGGAGGAAAGTGGAGCGGGGTGGCACTTCCCAGGAAGGTGTCAGGCAGTCGTGGGCCAGCCACCATGTCAGGGGGGAGGCTGCGCAGCTCCTCAGGGGGGTCTCCTGCTTCCACTGCCTCACTCTCCTCCCTGCGGGGCAGCAGCGGCTTTGGGGCTGTGGGCCGTGGCGGCGGCTTCTTCTTCAGCTCCCTGTGCGACAGGCAAGGAAAAAGTGGGGCCAGGCTCCCATCACCCCAGCCTGTCTGGACCCGAGCCGCACCACAGCCCCAGGGCCACACAAACCTGTCCAGGAGCTGCTGGCGGGCAGCCTCGCGGGCCTGGCAGGTGGACTGCGTGCGCTCCAGCAGAGCAGCCACCTTGCTCTCCAGATCTGCGTAGAAGTCCCTGCCCTCCTGCGACTTCTTCATCAGGTCCTCATAGGCTTCATACGAGGCCACCAGGGTCTGCAGCGTGGAGTTCCACCTGGTGGGCAGAAGGGCCAGCTCCAGGTGAACCATGGGGCTGGGCTCCAGGTGGCTCCGGGAAAGAGCAGAGGACTGGGCACTGACTTTTGGTCCAAGTCGCTGAGTACCCGCCGCACGGCTGCGTACTGCACGTTGGCCTCTGTCAGTGCACAGAGGACACGGTCCTGGGCGGCCAGGTTCTGCTCCAGGTACACCTTCAGCTGGTCATACTTTTTCAGCTGCTCCTCGAACAACTTCTGAGGAAGGGGTGGGGGCCAGGGACGGACACTCAGGGCCTCGACTCCTAAGGGTGGGGCCCGGAGCCAGAGCCCCTCTACCCTGCTCACCCAGCCCACCTTCATCTCTGAGTGGTCTGTGGTGACCAGCGAGGCAGTGATGTCATCTTTCTGGATAAGCTCACGCAGCTGCTGCTCCAGGGACACGCGCTGGTCCCGCATCTCCTGCACCTTAGCCAGGATGCGCTTTAGGTTTTGCAGCACGGCCTTGTCCTCTGTGGGCAGCAGTGGTCAGTGAGGCCAGAGAAACCCCCAGCTCGAGTCTCCCAATGGGGTCTGGTGGGGCTCACCTGGGGAGAGGGCCGGTGTGGGCAGGGCAGCCCGGACCTGGTCAAGCGGCCCGCTGAGCAGGCGCAGGTTGCCGACGTGCAGGTTCATGGCACGGTGCAGCTCACTGTTGGTGAAGGAGGCCTTCTCATGGACTTCCATGTACTTGGCCCATTCTCGCCTCACCTCTGCCAGCTCAGCCTTGGAGGTGATGGAGATGGCCCCTGCCTGGCCCACCGCCTCCTGAAACTTCTGCTCTAGCAGCTCATCCTCCTCCAACAGATCTCTGATGTCCTTCAGGGAAGCCTCCACATCCGTGAACACACCTGACAGCACTGGGGTTGTGGATTGTACAGGCAGCCCCTGAGGCAGGCTGACCGGGCACCCATGGGCCCCTCCCCCAAGAGACAGAACCGCCCCCTCAGGTCAGGGCTTAAGTGAGGCCCAGCGCACACTGAGCAGGGTGCAAGAGGTATGCTGATTCAGAGGAGTGGGTGTGGATGCCCAAGCCAGGGCCTAGAGGGGTGCAGCCTCCATCCTCAGTGACCAGGGACACGGAGGAGGCCACAGCAGATGACCTCCACACTCCCTTCCACCTGCTTGCTCTGCCCCTTACTCACCTTGCATGGACTGTACAAGGTTCCTGACAGTGTCGGGCCGGACGCTGAGAGCCGCGCACTTCTCCATGAGCTGGGGTGGGATGTGGCTGTAGGCATCAAGGTTGTCCACCGTCTCGGGATCCAACTGCATTGAATCCATGAACTGGCTGTGGGGAGCAACAGGGCCAGGTGGGTGCTGGGTGCTGATCCAACTCTGACCATGTCAAAGGAGCCGCTAGGGCAAGCCTCACCACTCAATCTGAGGTCTCAGCAGAGAGCAAATTGTGACCTCGGACCCCTACTACCAGGTCTGGCCTGGTCTCACAGAACATGCCCAGGGCACTGCTGGAAACAGTGGAACAGAAGGCACCTCCTCCTCCCAAGACATGACTCCTGCCTTACACACTAGCCCCACCACCCCAGGCGGGAAGGCAGCATTGGGAAACCTGTTTGGAATGGACATTTCATTCCTCTCCCAGCATAGGCAGCCCTGGGGCCCCCAGAGGCCCGGGAAGTGCTGCCTGCCTCCGCCTCCCTGCCCAAGTCCCACACTCACTCCAGGACCTCATTCTTGTCCTCAATCTTGGCCATCATCTCCCGGAGCAGCTTGGCCTTCTCCTCACTGCAGAAGCGACAGAGCATTTGCTGAAGACCCACATCTCAAGACACCCCACCTCCCTCTGTGCCACCCTCCACCCACCTGTACAGTGACGAGGCCTCGTGGGCAGCCATGGGTACCAGTTTGGCAAAGATGTCAGGGCCTGTAACAGCTGGGTCTGTGGGGTTCACTGGCAAGGGCTTCACCAAGGGGGCTCCTGGGGGGGTGGGAATTGTGGAGATCAGGCCCACGCAGAGTCCTTGAGGCAGCCTCCTGTGTCCTGTCCCCACCCCACCGTCACCTCTGCCCCCACCTCTCAGCTCCCCGACCTTTTACAGGCTGAAGAGTGTCCAATGCTGGGACAGCCTCATGGTAAATGAAGTCGTTGTCCTTCTTGGCAGAATTGTACCTGGGGATCAGGAGCAGGGGGAGTGGGCAGTCACGGGGTGTCAGTGGGGATCCAGAACCTACTTCCCATGTAGATGCCAGCAGAGGGACAAGACCCTTCACAAAAAGAGGGAACCAGGGCCACCCCCACAGACTCACTTTCCCCCAATGACATCCATAGTGAAGCGAAGCGCGTCTTGCACAGTGTCAGGCTGGCCCTGTGGGGTTAGGGACAGGGGTGGGGCCTTAGCACTAACCAAGGCTGGCACCAGGACACCCCCTCAGTCCTACCGGGCTTGCTCCTATACCCTCAGGGCAGCCAGGCCTTCCTCAGCTTTACCTTGGCCAACTTGATGGCTTCATTGAGCTTGTCCAGGGCGCTCTGGAAGTATGCAACCTGTGGAGGGTGGCAGGAAAGCCTGCTCTGTCCTCCTCTGCTTGGACCCTTTCTCCTCCTGCCTCCCACCCGGCCCTGCCTGTCCATCAGATGACAAGCAGCTCAGGAGGCAGCCGGGCACCACCCCAGCCAACAGCAGCAAGGTGGCGCCACACCCTGCCCCAGCCACCTGCTCTGTAGGGAGCCTGCCCCACCTCCTCAGACCCCGAGGGACGAGGGCTGCACAGATGGGACAACACTTAAGACACCAGGCCTCCAGCAGGGTGATGGCCAGGGTGAGACAGAGAAGGCCACCCCCTGGTGTGTAAGGAGCGGGAGCACACCGGCATCTCACTGAAGGCTGCCATTGGTCCCCAGTCCCCTCCTCGCTGTAGCTCACCCGCTCCCCGAACTTCTGCTGCTCCTCGGCCTGCTTTCCCATGTGCAGCTGGGAAAGAAGAAGAGACGCCACGACTTGCTTCCTGAGCTGTGGCCACTCAGCCCCGCCCTGCCCCGCCCTGGGGCCCCAGGCCCTCACATGAGCCACGGCTGCGAAGTAGTAGATCTTCATCTGCACAAGTTTCTTCCAGTCCTTCTGGATCCGGCCCAGCAGTGAGGCAGTGTCGGGGTTCTCCAAGGCCCGGCATGCCTCCTTGTAGTAATCTACCACCTGAGAACAGGGTGGGGCCCAATGAGTGGGGGAGTCAGCAGTAAAGTGAAGGCCTCCCCTCAGCCCCGTCCCTACCTGTGCACTGATGCGGGCCACCAGAAAGCTCTTCCTGTTGTCCAACATCGACTTCTCCAGGAGGCACTCCTGAGCCTGGCCCTGGGGCGACACGTGAGGTGCACTCCCTCGCTCACCCAAGGCCTCCCGCTTCCCCTTCCCTTTATCCTTCCCCAGGGGCAGACTGAGGGATCCCTCTTCACTGCCCTCTCCCCCAGCTGCCCCCACTCCAAGCAGCACCACGGTGCTCCTGATTCAACAAAGCCAAGGCCCCTTGCTTGTCCCTCACTGCCTTGGTCCAGGATCCAGGCCCAACTGCCCCCTCCCTGGCCATCCCCTTCCCTGGATTCAACTCCACTCCAACCAGGGCGCCTCCTCACCAGCATGAGGTTGACGTTGAGCGTAAGGATCTGGCGGCTCATGTCGACGCTGTAGGCTTGAGGGAAGTGCTCCCGTAGGTAGGCGAAGGCGCCGGCTGCGCACTGGAAATGGGTACAGGAGACCTTCATGCCCTGGGAGGGAGTGGGAGGATGGCCTGTGTCCACTCCATGGGTCAGGATTCATCCATACTTGGGAGGCTGCCCCTCCCTGGTATGTCCACATGTTCCACTACTGCCCCTCTCCTCACCTCCTCAGACACCCGCTTGTCCATGGCCCCCAGCATGGAGTGCAGCGCTCCTGGGGAGGGAGGGGACAGTGTTAGGGGCCTGGGGCTGCTCACACCCATGTGAAGGTGAGACAGAGGGGGCACTGCTGTTATCCACAATCAGGACAACATGGCTCTGAGAACCAGGGCAACGAGTCCAAGGACACCCAAGCTGGAGGGAACAGGGAAACTCAGAAGTCCTGCCCAGCCCTCAGTCTCCTGCTCTGCATTTGGCAGAGGATGGAAGGGCTCCTGTCCAAGGGGTCCAATCTTGAAGCTTCAGGGATGTTTGCACAGAACTCTGGGGCTCCCCAAGCTTCTCCCTTGAGCCAGGCTAAGGCTGACTAGCAGGGTAAGCTGAGGCCAGCCACACTCTCCTCCTGCCTGAAGCAGCCCAAAACCACAGTGGGGAGGGGCTGTCCAGTCAAAGAAGAAAGGCCCTCTCTCCCAGACAGAGCACACAGTGGCAACTCTGTGTGGCAGCCAGCCCAGTAGAGCCTCGCCCCAGCAGAGGCTCCCCACGGGCCCAGCCCAGAAAACAGTGGAGGAGCTGGCAGGGCTGTGGGGAGGTCAGTGGAGGGGCGGGAATCCTGGAGTCCTCCCTTTATCAGCCCACTGCCTTTGTGGCCATCTGAAGAGCTGAAAGCTAGGCTGGCAGGACTGGGGAGTAGGGCCGGGGGAAGGGATCAGGCAGCTCACCAAGGTTGTAGAGAATACAGGCCTGCTCGTACTTGATGTCCTCATGGGCCACAGACTTGCCTGAGAAGATCTCTGTCCTGCAGACATGGCACCCCAGTTATCTCGAGGGCAGGAGCTAGCCAGGGCCCTGAGATTAGGTAAGGGGACTAAACACCCCATTGTGGGGATGTGGGGAGGCCTGGGGGGACCATATGAGGCCATTCCCCATCCTATGCAGCAAGGAGAAGGGGGAAGGGAGGGGAGGAGCACCCCCACCACCCAGACTCCCCGTGGGATCCTCCAGCCCTGCCTGCGGCTCTCACCAGGTGACAGGGACAGCGGCCTCCTGGCCCGAGCCCATGGGGACCCGACTCTGCAGGTAATGAAGCTGGCCGAGGTACTTGCGGAGGACACTACAGCCCTCAAAGTCTCGTGGGACACGGACAGCATTCTGGGGGGCAGGATGGGAGAAGCAGGCCTGTTGTCATATGGGGCAGTGGACACGCAGGCCAGCTAACTCACAAATGCCAGGAAAATGCATCACAGCTGGCCGACTGCACACACCAAGGGATCCCAAAAAGTCCATGGCTATACCTATAGTCGTTCAACAAAACATTCCACAAGCCAGGGCTGGCAGCTGGCCGACTGAATCTATCCCACATAGTTTTTCCTTTTTTAAAAAAAAAAAAAAAAAAGAGTCTCATTCTGTCACCCAGGCTGGAATGCAGTATTCACTGCAACCTCCTGGGTTCAAGCAATTCTCCTGCCTCAGCCTCCCAATTAGCTGAGACTACAGGCACACGCCACCATGCCTGGCTAATTTTGTATTTTTAGTAGAGGCGGGGTTTCCCCATTTTGGCCAGGCTGGTCTCGAACACTTGACCTTGTGATCCACCCGCCTCAGCCTCTCAAAGTGCTGGGATTACAGGCATGAGCCACTGTGCCCAGCCCATCTCAAACATCTGAAAAGCAGTTTGCAACATGTTTTAAGTTTTTTACTCTACTTAACTTTTGGCCCACAGTTTTTTGAATTTAATAGAGACAGGGTTTTGCCATGTTGCCCAGGCTGTTCTCAAACTCCTGGGCTCAAGTGATCCTCCCATCTCTACCTCCCAAAGTGATGGGATTAAAGGTGTGAGCTGCCACACTCAGCATGACCTACAGTTCTGTATCTAAAAGTTTACAGTAACAGACTTCCAGGAAAGCAAATGCTTGGATATGAACGCAAGGATATTCATCACAGCATTATTACCAGGGTCAAAAACTGGACTCCAGGTCAGGTGCAGGGGCTCACACATGTGGTCCCAGCATTTTGGGAGGCCAAGGTGGGAGGATCGCTTGAGGCCAGGAGTTAGATACCAGTCTGGGCAATGTAGCAAGACCCTGTCTCAACAAAAAAGAATTTTAAAAATTATCTAGGCGTGATGGTGCCTTTGGTCCCAGCTCCTTGGGAGGCCGACGGGAAAAGATCGATTGAGCCTGGGAGGTTAAGGCTGCAGTGAGCTATGGTTGTGCCACTGTTTTCCAGCCTGGGTGATGAAGCAAGACCCTGTCTCTCAAAAAAAGCAAAAGGTAAAACTGGATACCCACCAAAATTCCCACTAAAGGGGACTGTTTTAAATTAATTATGTCAAGGCGCCTCACAAGAGAATATGCTGCAGCCATGAAAACTAAAGACAAGAGTCTCTAGTTACTCATATGTTAAGATGCCTATGGCATGCTATTGGGGGAAAAAAAAAAGAAAAGAATGTGGCCAGGTGCAGTGGCTCACGCCTGTAATCCCAGCACTTTCGGAGGCCGAGGCGGGAGGATCACGAGGTCAGGAGATCGAGACCATCCTGGCTAACACGGTGAAACCCCGTCTCTACTAAAAATACAAAAAATTAGCCGGACGTGGTGGCAGGCACCTGTAGACCCAGCTACTAGGGAGGCTGAAGCAGGAGAATGGCGTGAACCCCCGGGGGGCGGAGCCTGCAGTGAGCCGAAATCGCGCCACTGCACTCCAGCCTGGGCGACAGCGAGACTCCGTCTCAAAAAAAAAAAAAAAGAATGTAACAAATGGGATCATACAAATACTGATATCCAAATGGGTACACAGGCCAGGCAAGGTGGCTCACGCCCATAATCCTAGCACTTTGGGAGGCCAAGGCGGATGGATCACCTAAGGTCAGGAGTTCGATGCCAGCCTGGCCAACATGGTGAAACCCCGTCTCTACTAAAAATACAAAAATTAGCTGGGTGTGGTGGTGTGTGCCTGTAATCCCAGCTACTCGGGAGGCTTAGGCAAGAGAATCGTTTGAATCTGGGAGGCGGAGGTTGCAGTGAGCTGAGATCATGCCATTGCACTCCAGGCTGGGCAACAAGAGAAAAACTCTGTCTCAAAAGAAAAAACAAAAAAACCCACAAATAGGTACATAAACAAAAAGAAAATTCAGAAGACTGTACACCATAATGTTAACCGTGATTATCGCTGAATGACAGGATTTAAGTAATTTATCTTATTCTATATAAATAGATAGATATGGCTGGGCGAGGTGGCTCACGCCTATAATCCCAACACTTTGGGAGGCTGAGGCGGGTGGATCGCTTGAGCCCAGGAATTCGAGACCAGCCTGGGCAACGTGGTGAAACCCCGTATCTACTAAAAACACAAAAAGTAGCCAGGCATGATGGTGCGCACCTGTAATTCCAGCTACTCAGGAGGCTGAGGCAGGAGAATCACTTGAATCCGGGGAGCAGAAGTTGCAGTGAGCTGAGGTTGCACCACTGCACTCCAGCCTGGGTGACAGAGTGAGACTCGGTCTCAAATAATAATAATAATAATAAATAAATAGATAAATATGTATACATCTGACAGACATGTATTTAATTCTTCATATTGTTTATGTATTTATATTAAACATTTTCAATATTTATGATAAACAACAGAGCTATTATTTTGGGGGGAAAACAACAAAAAAATGAACCCTCTGCTTAAACAAACAGAAAAGCAAACAATACACCCTCCAAGGAGCAGGTGCACAGTGAGGGGGATGGCTTGACACCTGTCTGCCCTCAGCCCCCTGCAGAGAGGACCAGAGCCTCTCACTAGGACTTAGCCAGAAGAAATCCTCCAGGACACTCCACTCTGGGAGCTCGGCTCTGAGCTGCCAGCAGGGATGCTCTCAGATGGGGTACATACACCCTGGGGACAGTGGAACAGAAAAGTCAGGCACCAGTTGTACTCTACACCACTTCCCAGCAGTGTCTTGGGAGACTCTGAAACTCAGTCTCTTCTTTAAACAGGGATGATAATCTCCCTGGTAGTGAGGCTTCTAGAATGCCCAGTGCAAGGATAAGGCATGTCACAGCTGCAGCTCACAGCATTAGGCCAATGCTTCTCAAATCTAGTCATTCTTATCATACCCCTCCATCATGACCTCTGCCATATCCAAATACCACTTGTACTTAACATTTTTCTTTAAACAATCCATTTTTAAAATTAAGAGCCACATCCTAAGCAATAACAGCTCTAAAATCACAGGTGTGATGCGCTAGCCACACAGTTTTTTTCAATACTCACTAAAATAGCACATATAAAAGTATTGAAAAATCTTGGCCGGGCATGGTGGCTCATGCCTATAATCCCAGCACTTTGGGAGGCCAAAGTGGGAGGATCACTTGAGCCCAGGATTTTGAGACCAGCCTGAAGAACATGGCGAGACTCCGCCTCTACAAAAAATACAAAAATTGGCCAGGTGCGGTGATGCATACCTGTAGTCCCAGCTACTCAGGACTACAGGCTTGGGAAGGGGGAGAAGTGATTGAGCCTGGGAGGTGGAGGCTGCAGTGAGCCATGATCATGCCACTGCACTTCAGCCTGGGCAACAGAGTGAGACCCTATCTCAAAAAATAAAATAAAAGGCCGGACGCAGTGGCTCACGCCTGTAATCCCAGCAGTTTGGGAGGCCGAGGCAGGCGGATCACGAGGTCAGGAGATCAAGACCACCCTGGCTAACAAGGTGAAACCCTGTCTCTACTAAAAATACAAAAATTAGCCAGGCATGGTGACGGGCACCTGTAGTCCCAGCTACTTGGGAGGCTGAGGCAGAAGAATGGCGTGAACCCGGGAGGCGGAGCTTGCAGTAAGCCGAGATTGCGCCACTGCACTCCAGCCTGGGCAACAGAGTGAGACTCCATCTCAAAAAATAAAATAATAAAACAAAATAAATAAAATAAAATAAAATAAAAGCCGGGTGCTGTGGCTCACACCTATAATCCCAGCACTTTGGGAGGCCAAGGCGGGTGGATCACCTGAGGTTGAGAGTTTGAGACCAGTCTGGCCAACATGGAGAAACCCTGTCTCTACTAAAAATACAAAATATAGCTGGGCGTGATGGCGAGTGCCTGTAATCCCAGCTACTCGGGAGGCTGAGGCAGGAGAATCGCTTGAACCCTGGAGGCAGAGGTTGTGGTGAGCCGAGGTTGTGCCATTGCACTCCACCCTGGGCAATAGGAGTGAAACTCTGTGTCAAAAATAAATAAATAATAAAATAAAATTTGTCTTGTACTTCCTAAAACCATCTTTGGGAAACAATGGAAGCAGTCTCCCCTCCAGATCCAAGAGATCACCTGTACCCTTTAATCCACCCAAGAATGCAGCCCCCTGTGGTTCTAGCCTGGTCTGTCAGACTCTCAGACGAGCTGCGCAGAGCCGCACAGAGGAGTCTGAGAGAGAGCTTGATGCTGTGATGCCCCCATAGCATCCCCTGCACCTGTCAGTTTTATTCCCTGTAATCACAGAGCCAAGAATTTATTTCAGAGTTTAAAAAGGAAAGTCTTCCTAGAAACAACTATTCAAACCCTGGTTTTACAGATGAGGAAACTGAGGCTCAGATCAGGGAAAGAGGACTGCCTAAAGCTTCCAATAACTTTTTCACTGAAAGATTATTATCAACGTCCTATGTAAGAAAATTTGTTCTGGGGTTTCACAAGTATAAGGAACAGTGATCTAGACTAGGCGTGGTGACTCACGCCTGTAATCCCAGCATTTTCGGAGGCTGAGGCAGAGGATTGCTTGAGGCCAGTAGTTTAAGACCAGCCTGGGGAATATACGAGACTCCATGTCTACAAAAAATACAAAAATTAGCCAGGCATGGTGGTGCATACTTGTCCCAGGTACTCAGGAGGCTGAGGTAGGAGGATCGCTTGAATCCAGGAGGCAGACGTTGCAATGAGCCAAGATAGACTGCACCCCAGCCTGGGTGACAGAGTGAGACTCTGTCTTTAAAAACAAAAACAAAAAAAACAGTGATCTAGTCCAACTCCCACATTGCTGGGATAAATTAAACCAAGTCCCAGGAAGGGGAAGTGGCTACCCCAGATGGCCATGTGTGAGCTTTTTTCGCACTGGAAAAGCACAGGTCTGAAGGCTGCTGGCTCACAGCTCTCTCAGGGGCTGCTCTACCCAGCCCATTGCTCTGTGCAGGTTGCCTGCCTTATGCTTTGGAGGATATGTCTCAGAGGATGCTTTGGAGATTGGTGGTAATGCTCCTTCTAGGGTGTGTTGCGTCCTTGTGTGTAGTGTGTGCCTGTGTGTGCAAAATGACGGTTGCCCCAGGGGCTAAGATTATCTCACTAGTTTTCAAACTTTGTTCAAATAAACCCTTTTTAAAGATTCAACTTATGAGGAGGGTTCTGAGAAGACAGCATAAGAAGAAGCTTGGTCTCCCCACCAAGACAAGCTGCACTGGCAGAATCTGACTTAACTCTGGAGTCTATTAAAGGCTTGCAACTTCTAGGCAAAGGCTTTGACAGTACAGCTCACTGCCATTAATTTTGGTCAATTTCAGCCCCTACCATAGTAGCAGCCACCCATCCCCCACCCCCAGCACCAGTTCCAGGAGCAGCTTGTGGGAGCCAGCATGGACAAAAAGGACTCTGTCCTCCAAATACAGGAGATCTTGCTGATTGCTGCTTCTGATCACAGAGGTACAGAGAAAGAGGCAGCTCCTCCACTATTGCACCTCCCTCCACGGCTGTAAGCTTCTTCACCTCTAGCTGAAGGAACTTCCAAGGGATCTAAAGGCCTGGCATCTTTTCCCTTCTTCATTTTTCTCTTTTTCCTCCTTTGGGAGGCAGACACTAAAGAGTAAGATGTTCAAAAGCAACCACATATATAGGGCAAATGAGAAAGTCTGCACATGTGCAGGGAATGGTACAGGCTCAGAAAAGACCTGTGAAGACCTTAAGTTTACAAGGCCGGGTGCTGCGGCTCATGCCTTTAATCCCAACACTTTGGGAGGCTGGGGCCAGAAGATCACTTGAGCCCAGGAGTTTGAGACCAGCCTGGGCAACACAGGGGAACCCCATCTCTACAAAAAATTTAAAAATTGGCTGGATGCGGTGGTGTGCACTTGTAGTCCCAGCTACTTGGGGGCTGCAGTGGGAGGATGGTTTGAACTGGGGAGATGGAGGCTGCAGTGAGCCGTGATTGTGCCACTGCACTCCTGCCTGGACGACAGAGCGAAACCCTGTCTCGGGAAAAAAAAAAAAAAAACTTTAAGTTTACATTTCAGGCTGATTCTTGGCACAGGGGTAGCCTACAACAATCAAAAACACACAAAAAAACCCAGCAAATCCCGGGGAAGGGGGAGAATCTGATATCCAGAGATATGACATCATTCGATTCTTTTTTAATTTCCTTCAAGAATTTTTTCTTTGCATTCCTAACTTGGTGATCTGGTGCAAGAGGCCTAGCTTTTGGCCTATCTCAGTTTTTCACGTGCCTTCCTTACTAAGTGTAATAATTTCTAGCTTTTCTTTTTTGAGACAGTCTCACTCTGTTGCCCAGGCTGGATGCAGGGGTGCGATCTTGGCTCACTGCAACCTCCACCTCCTGGGTTCAAGTAATTTTCCTGCCTTAGCCTCCCTAGTAGCTGGGATTACAGGCATGCGCTGCTACCATGCCCGACTAATTTTTGTATTTTTCGTAGAGAGGGGGTTTCGCCATGTTGGCCAGGCTGGTCTCGAACTCCTGATTTCAAGTGATCCACCTGCCTCAGCCTCCCAAAGTGATAGCATTACAGGCGTGAGCCACTGCACCTGGCCTTGTACTAATTTTGAATAACTGACATAGAAAATATCTTCACCAGGCGGGGCGCGGTGGCTCACACCTGTAATCCCAGCAATTTGGGAAGCCGAGACAGGTGGATTACCTGAGGTCAGGAGGTCGAGACCAGCCTGGCCAACATGTTGAAATCCTGTCTCTACTAAAAATACAAAAAATTAGCCGGGCGTGGTGGTGGGCGCCTGTAGTCCCAGCTACTTAGGAGGCTGAGACAGGAGAATCACTTGAACCTGGGAGGTAGAGGTTGCAGTGAGCTGAGATCGCGCCATTGCACTCCAGCCTGGGTGACAGAGTAAGACTAGGTCTCAGAAAAAGAAAAAAGAAAATATCTTCACTCAGTAGACTAAATGAAAATGTATCCAAAAATTTACTGATGGGTAGTATACTGGCAATAGTTGCTAGTACTGCTGGGTTATTGCAAGGATTGGTATGTGGTCCATGATAGACAAGAAAACACTAACAGCTACTGATTTCTATGGCATGTATCTACATTACTGGTACTCAAGTTCAGCCATGCCAGTGCAGACTCTTACCCTTCTAACAAAAACATAAGGGAAAACATGTTGTTATCCAATAGTACATACAATAATCAGGAAAAAAATACAGCATACCTCATTTTATTGCACTTCACAGGTGCTGTGTTTTTTACAGACTGAAGGTTTGTGACAATTCTGCATCACACAGGCCTGTCGGCACCATTTTTCCAGCAGCATGTGCTCATTTCATGACTCTGTGTCACATTTTAGTAATTCTCACAATATTTCAAACTTTTTTATTATATATCTGTTATGGTGATCAGTGATCAGTGATCTTTGATGTTACTATTATAATTGTTTTTGGTGCCATGAATTGCACCCATAGAAGACGGCAGACTTATAAATGTTCCGTGTGTTCTCACTGCTTCACTGGCTGGCCTTTTCCTGCCTCTCTCCCTCTCCTCAGGCTCCCTATTCCCTGAGACACAATAATATTGAAATTAGGCCAATTAATAACCTACAATGGCCTCTTAAGTGTTTAAGTGAAAGGAAGAGTCACACATCTTTCACTTTTGTTTTGTTTTCTAAACAGTCAGGGTCTCACTTTGTCACTCAGGCTGGAGTACAGTGGTATGAACATGGTTGGCTCACTGCAGTCCCAACCTCCTGGGCTCAAGTGATCTTCCCTCCTCAGACTCCTGCGTAGCTGGGGACATAGCTGTGCACCATCATGCCTGGCTAATTTTTTTTGTTTTCTATAGAGACAGGGCCTCACTATGTTGAGGCTGGTCTCAAACTCCTGGGCCTGAACTCCAGGAGGAACCAATCCTCCTGCCTTGGCCTCCCAAAGTGCTGGGATCATAGGCATGAGTCACACATCCAGCTGTCTTTCACTTTACATCAAAAGCTAGAAAGGGCCAGGTGGTTTCTTTTTTGTTGTTTTTGAGATGGAGTCTCGCTCTATCACCCAGGCTGGAGTGCAGTGGCATGATCTCAGCTCACTGCAACCTCCACCTCCTGGGTTGAAGCAATTATCCTGCTTCAGACTCCTGAGTAGCCGGAACTACAGGCACATGACACCACACCTGCCTAATTTTTGTATTTTTAGTAGAGATGGGGTTTCACCATGTTGGCCAGGCTGGTCTCAAACTCCTGACCTCAAATGATCTGCCCACCTCGGCCTCCCAAAGTGGTGGGATTATAGGCGTTGAGCCACCATGCCCAGCCTAGGCAGTTTCTTTATCTCCCTATCAAACCAATCCTGTCTACCCATGCATAAAAAGATAATACTATCCTCCTACCTGTCTGAGCAACTCCAGCTTCTTCAGTTCTTCATTGTAGGCTTCTGGGTTCTCTCCATAATTCTTCAGGACAAACTACAGAGAGAGAAGAACATAAGCCAGTGGCAGAGAAGACCCCCGCCTTGCCCTCTGAGTCCTGGGCAAGCACCAACCAGGACTCAGGATTAAGTGCAGACCTACAACCATAAGCGTGTCTCCTGGACCACCAGGAACTTCGCCTCCTGAACAGGCAGCACCAAAATGCTGACCACGAGAGCCGTGACCCTGCACCAACACTCTGGCAGGTCCTCCTAACGCTGCAGTCTCTCTACAAAGTCCAGGAGTCTGCCAGCTCAGGAAGCCAAGGAACTCAGCGGACTGAAATGGGGTCCTAATAAGGATTCCAGAAAGGGTCACGAACTCAAGCCTCCCTAGAAGATTGGGCCCTGCTGCGTTGTGGGGTGACTACCATAACCCTAAGCTGATAGCAACTGCAGGCAAGAGGCACCAAACAAGAGTGGGAACAGAAAGCCTCTCTCACCAACCCATTCTCCTGGCCTGGGAAAGGACAGCATAGAAACATGTGATCTGCAGTGTCCTCATCTGTGAGGAAAGACTTGCAGCTGTGTGAGGAGAATGGCCCAGGTGGGAGAAGGTGAGAAGGGGAGGTCACTACCCACATCAGAGAGAGCACTGGAGTGCCTGTCCACAGTGGCACTCACCACCTCCAGAGCAGACTGTCTTGGACAGTGAGCATACACACCCACCTGGAGGCACAGGCTTAGCCCAAAGGGCCCCCTGTTCAACTCAGATCACCAGACTAAGGCAACTGCAACTGTCCCTGTTGCAGTACTTGCTGCTGGTGTCTTGGCTAGCAATCTGGGAGGCCAGATCCACTCACGCCACAAACACTATGAGCACTGATACCCACCTCACAGGGCTCCTTAAGGCCATGACCAAGGTTTGCAAGGTAGAGAGAGGTGGCTGAGAAAGGCTGAGATGAGGCAGCCTGCTCTGTCTGGGAGCACACTCACTCACACCATGTGTGTGGCCCACCCATCTTTCCTGAGGTCCCTTCCCAGGACCCAGGATGCATAGCTAAGGAATCAGCCACATGGGAACCGGGAAGCCTGGGTGACAGCTTCTGTCTGCCTGGTGAGCAAAGGGAGAAGAGGAACAGATGGCAGGGAGGCGACAGCTGAGCTAATTACAGCATCAAGCAACCCTTTCCCAAACCTCTGAGTCTAACCCTGGTTCTTCTGTTGGTTTCAGCTCCTGAAAGTCCCTGTGTCCATAAGCTCTTTTCTCTCTCCCCATGCCACCTCTGTCCTGGACAACCCACCCCTTCAAATCCGTCCCTTACCAAGTGGCCAGAATTGTTATTTCTAGCACAACTCTGAGGTCACTTCCAGCTTTAAATCCTTCTGAAACACACACACACCCTTAGGGAGAAGATAGACCAAAACATGCTTATCTCAGGACAGTGAGATGATAGGAAATGATATATAATCTAAAAAGAATGTGTGCAGTAGCTTCCCAAAGCCTCTAGGACCAAATCTAATTTTGGCACAGAGTTTATGACCCTGCACAACCTGTTCCTGGCCGGGTGAGGTGGCTCAAGCGTGTAATCCCAACACTTTGGGTGGCCAAGGTGGGAGGATCACTTCAGGTCAGGAATTAGAGATCAGCCTGGGCAAAAGAGCAAGACCCGTCTCTACAAAAATAAACAACCTGCTCCCCACAACCTTCAAGGATTTTCCTCTGGCACCTCCCAGGGACAACCAGCCAATAGTACTTGGGAATTGCTGCTCTCAGGTATCAATGCCTATCTACATTGTCCCTACTTTCTCTACTAAGACTCAGCCGAAATGTCACTGCCTTGAACATTAGCTGCTCTTCCGCTCACATTCCAAACATGCCTCCAACATACTGTGTGCCGACGGCAGGGTCATGCCAGTGACCCCAGCCTCAAACAATAAGCATTAAGGAATGGTAGGGGCCTTATCAGATGTGTTGTATACTCAGCAAATGATTGCTTTTACAGGAAATGCAGAGGACAGATGAACACGAAAAGGAAACACTCAGAAAAATTCAGAAAATGGGGCAACAATGAACCCACTCTCTTCAAAAAATTAATGTCATGTAAAAGGAGGGGGTTGAGCAGTGGACTATTCTAGATTAAAAATGATTAAACAGGTTGGATATGGTGGCTCAAGTCTGTAATCCCAGCACTTTGGGTGGCTGAGGTCAGAGGACTGTTGAGCCCAGGAGTTCCAGAGCAGCCTGGGCAACATGAGACCCTATCTCTACAAATTAAAAAAAAAAAAAAAAATTAGCTGGGTATGGTAGCCCACGCCTGTAGTCCCAGCTACTCAAGAGGGAGAGGTGGGAGAATCAGCCTGGGAGGTTGAGGCTGTGGTGAGCTGTGTGCACACTCCAGTCTGTTTCCAAAAATAATAATAATAATAATAAATAAACAAATAAATAAGTGATTAAAGGGACAGAACACAACTAAATGCAATATGAGAACCCCAGCTGGATCTGAGTCTGCAAAAAAAAGGAAAAGTCATAAAAGATAGGGGAAAATTATTGTAGATTTTCTTAGGTATGATAATAACATTGTGATTGTGTAGAATGTCCTCACTCTTAGGAAACACATGCTGAGATGTGTCCGGGAAAAGTGATGTCCAAAACTTACTTTCAAAGGGCTTGTGGGATCTCTCTCTATCTATCTATCTATCTGGAGAGAAAACAAATAAGGTGAAATACATCCATCAAAACTAGGTAGCCGGGCACAGTGGCTTATGCCTGTAATCCCAACACTTTGGGAGGCCAAGGCAGGTGGATCACTTGAGGTCAGGAGTTCGAGACCAGCCTGACCAACATGGTGAAACCCCATCTCTACTAAAAACACAAAAATTAGCCAGGCATGGTGGTGGGCACCTGTAATCCCAACTTCTCAGGAGGCTGAGACAGGAGAATCGCTTGAACTCAGGAGGGGGAGGTTGCAGTGAGCTGAGATTACAACACTGCACTCCAGCCTTGGCCACACAGCAAGACTCCATCTTAAAAAAACAAAACAAACAAACAAAACTAGGTAACACACTGGGTGCAGTGGTTCACACCTGTACTTCCAGCACTTTGGGAGGCCGAGGCCAGAGGATCACTTGACCCCAAGAGTTCAAGGCCAGACTGGGCAACATAACAATAAATCCCATCTCTACAAAAATTTAAAAATGAATCAGCCAGGTGCAGCGCACATCTGTAGTCTCAGCTACTCCAGAGGCTGAGGCAGGAGGATCACTTGAGCCTAGCAGTTCAAGTCCAGCCTGGGCAACAAAGAGTAAATCCCATCTCTAAAAACAAAACAAAACAAAAATACTAGATAGTGAGAATTTGGGTGAGCACTGAATTATTCTTCCAATTTTTCTATATGTTTGAAATTTGGAAAACAAATGTCTTAAGAGTTGCTGAAGAGCTAAATGGTACCTGAATACCACTTTCCCCTATCAGTGGTTTTTATTTAGCCTTTTGTGGGTCCTTTGAGAATATGATAAAAGCCATGAATTAAATCCCCCTAGAAATTTTCAACTATGCACAAACATAAGGATTTACCAAGAACTTTAGGGAGCTGACAGGCATTTAACAATCTTCACTCTGATCTATCCAACTCCACCCCCTCTCCACTCCCTCCCTCAAAAATAATTATGACAACAACAACAACAAAAACACAACTACAAAAAGTGGCCTTGGGTTGGGCATGATGGCTCATGACTATAATCCCAGCACTTTGGTAGGCTGGGGTGAGAGGATCACTTGAGGCTAGGAGTTCCAGACCAGCCTGGGCAATATGGCGAGACCCCCATCTCTACGAAAAAAAATTTAAAAATTAGCCAGGAGTGGTGGTGCATGCCTGTGGTCTCAGCTAGTTGGGAGGCTGAGGCAGGACTGCTTAAGCTCAGGAGTTTGAAGCTGCAGTGAGCTATGATGGCACCACCTTACTTCAGCTGGGGTGTCAGAGTGAGACCCTGTCTGTATTAAAAAATAAAAATAGGCCAGGCACAGTGGCTCATGCCTGTAATCCCAGCAGTTTGGGAGGCCAAGGTGGGCCGATCGTTTGAGCCCAGGAGTTCAAGACAAGCCTGGGCAACATGGCAAAACCCCATTTCTACAAAAAGCACAAGAATTAGCCACGTGTGGTGGTGTGCGCCTATACTCTTGGCCAGTTGGGAGGTTGAGGTGAGAGGACTGCTTGACACCAGGAGTTCAAGGTTGCAGTGAACCATGATTGTGCCACTGCACTCCAGCCTGGGTGAGAGTGTGACACTATCTCAAAAATAATTAATTAACTAAAATATTTTTTAAAATGTGGCCTAAGCTATGAGGTAAAACTTGACTATATGAGAGAATGTTCTGTGGTTAACTCCCTTGCAGTAAGAGGTTTTGCCCACCCTTAGGTTAGAGAAAATGAGTAAAAGTGTAGCTCAGAGGTCTCGTGGGATAGAGGCCAAAGGAATCAGATGGACAGGAGACTCCTACATCCTAGAAACAAGGCTTCCCGTGATATCACTAGGAACATCTGACCCTGCTGTTCACACAATGGTGACAGAAAGATGCTGCTCCCACCCCTAGCAAATCATGCCTAGAGGTCACATTCTATCTGAATCTCATCTCCGTCCTCCTATAAGATCAGCAGCAGATGCTTAACTGAGAACCTACCACAGGTCAGGCACTGTGCTGAGTGCCTAGTAATCACTCCATCCTTAGAACAACCCTAAGAGGTAGACACTATTATCATCACCACTTTACAGATGAGGAAATGAGGAAACTGAGGCAAAGAGTTAGGGTATTCACCAAGGTCACGGTGCTAATAACTGATGGGGATATGACTGAAACCCAGGCATTTGGGCTCCAGAGCCCATGTTCTTTCCATATTAGACCATTCCATTTCTATTTAAATTGTTTTTAGTTTATTTTTTATTGTTTTATTTTATTTTCGAGACAAGGTCTTGTTCTGTTGCCCAGGCTGGAGTTACAGTGGTACTGCAACCATAGCTCACTGCAGTCTCAAACTCCTGGGTCCAAGTAATTCTCCTGCCTCAGCCTTCCAAGAAGCCGGAACTACAGGCACATACCACCATACTCAGCTAATTTTCTGTAGAGGTAGTGTCTTGCTATATTGCCCAGGCTGGTCTGGAACTTCTAGCCTCAAGCAATCCTTCTGCCTCAGACTCCCAAAGTGTTGGGATTACAGACATGAGCCATCACGCCCAAACTTTTTTTTATTTTATAGAGATGGGAGTCTCACTATGTTGCCCAGTCTGGTCTTAAACTCCTGGGCTCAAGCAGTTGACCCACATCAGCCTCCCAGAGCATTTCTATTTTTTAAAAATATGGTTCTTACAAACAACTCTGAAAAACAGGCACAGAAAATGAATCCCTGGCCACACAGTGAGTCAGTGGAGCAGCCAGGATATTTATGTTATTATTATTATTTGCAGCCTGTTAGAAGCAAAAGGATGTTTTTAAAACCCTAACAAAATCCTCTGTGACTGCTGATCACTCCTCCACTAAAAAAGAAGAAAGAGGCTGGGTGAAGTTCCTGGAGTAAGGGACAGAGACCTTGTCCCCATTTCGCTATGGTCTGGGACTCTGCAGAACTCGGAACAGTCTAGCGGGAAGTATGAAGCTCCAATGGAGGCTGAGAAGGCAGGCCCAGCAGCAGACGAGGAGAAAGAACCAGAGGCCCTGACAGGACCCCAGTACCTACACAACTAACAGGAAGAAGACCAGAGAACCTCCAAAAACAGCCAGGCTTTGAAGTAGCTGGGGATCCTTTTCTGAAGGAATAAAAGAAGACCCGTGGAGAGCTCTCAGTGAGGGCACGTCCAGGGATCACAGCCACCGAGGGGAAAAAGAAAAGAAAGGAGTTACCAGATTACAAGTGGGAAACAGTGCCCCTGAGTTGCTGTGAAATCTGGGCTTGGTTTTTGTTTTTTGTTTTTTTAAATTGTCTTGCTCTGTCAGGCAGGCTGGAGTGCAGTGGTACTATCATAGCTCAATGAAGCTTCAAACTCCAAGTGATCCTCCCACCTCAGCCTCTTGTGTGGCTAGGACTACAGCTGTGTGCCACCATGCCCAGCTATTTTTTTTTTTTTTTTTTTTTGAGACGGAGTCTCGCTCTGTTACCCAGGCTGGAGTGCAATGGCGCCATCTCGGCTTACTGCAACCTCCACCTCCTGGGTTCAAGCAATTCTCCTGCCTAAGCCTCCCAAGTAGCTGGGACTACAGGTGCATGCAGCCATACCCAGCTAATTTTTGTATTTTTAGTAGAGATGGGGTTTTGCCATGTTGGCTAGGCTGATCTCGAACTCCTTTTTTTTTTTTTTTTTTTTTTTGAGACGGAGTCTCGCTCTGTTACCCAGGCTGGAGTGCAGTGGTGCCATCTCAGCTCACTGCAAGCTCCACCCCCCCGGGTTCACGCCATTCTCCTGCCTCAGCCTCCTGAGCAGCTGGGACTACAGGCACCCGCCACCACGCCTGGCTAATTGTTTGTATTTTTAGTGGAGACGGGGATTCACCGTGTTAGCCAGGATGGTCTTGATCTCCTGATCTCGTGATCCACCCGCCTCGGCCTCCCAAAGTGCGGGGATTACAGGCGTGAGCCACTGCGCCAGGCCCTGGTCCCGAACCCTTGACTTCGTGATCCACCCGCCTTGGCCTCCCAAAGTGCTGGGATTACAGGCGTGAGCTACCATGCCTGGCCCCAGCTAATTTTTATTTTTATTTTGTAGAGACAGGGGTCTTGCTATGGTGCCCAGGCTGGTCTCGAACTCCTGGCCTCCAGCTATCCTCCCACCTCGGCATCCCAAAGCGCTGGGATTACAGGCATGAGTCACCATGCCCAGCCTAGGCTTGGCTTTTTTCATGTGTAAAATGGGGTTAATATCACTTGCTACGTCTAGCTCAGAGCTGTCATAAGGATTCGAGTTATTTCCCAAACAGGGAAGGAAGATGCTCAGGTGAAAATATTGTTTACAATAGGCCAAGACCTGTACTAAGAACTTAACAAGCATTAGAACGACAAACTCTGCATGTTCTCACTTTTTTGTGGGAGCTAAAAATTAAAACCACTGAATTCATGGAAACCGACAGTAGAATGATGAATACCAGAGGCTGGGAAGGGTAGTGGGAGTGGGGTGGGGGAGTGGAGTGGGAATGGTTAATGAGTACAAAAATATAGTTAGATAGAATGAATACAATCTAGTATTTGAGGCTGGGCGTGGTGGCTCACACCTGCAATCGCAGCACTTTGGGAGGCCAAGGCGGGTGGATCATCTGAGGTCAGGAGTTCGAGACCACCCTGTCCAACATGGCAAAACCCAGACTCTACTAAAAAGACAAAAATTAGCTGGACATGATGGCAGGTGCCTGTAATCCCAGCTACTCGGGAGGCTGAGGCAGTAGAAACGCTTGAACACGGGAGGCGGAGGTTGTGGTGAGCCGAGATTGTGCCACTGTACTCTAGCCTGCGTGACAAGGCGAAACTCTGTCTCAAAAAAAAAAAAAAAAAAGATCTAGTAGTGACAGCAAAACAGGGTAACTATAGTCAGCAATAATTTATTACATTTAAAAATAAAAGTATAATTGGATTGTCTGTAACACAAAGAAAGGATAAATGCTTGTGGTAATGGATACTCCATTTACCCTGATGTGATTACTATACCTGTTTGGCCATATCAAGTACCCCATTAATTTTTGTGGGTACATAGTAGGTGTATATACTTATATACCTACTTAAGCCCAGGTGTTTGAGACCAGCCTGCGCAACACAGTGAGACCTTATCTCTAAAAAAAAATAAGCAAAATTAGCAGAGTGGTGCGTGCCTGTGGTCCCAGCTATTCAGGAGGATGAGGTGGACGGACCACTTGAGACCTGGAGGCAGAGGCTGCAGTGTGCCAAGATCGTGCCTTTGCACTCCAGCCTGGGTGTTACAGCAAGACCCCATCTCTAAAAAAATAAAAATAAAAAAGAACTTAGAAGCATTAATTTTGATTCTCAGAAGCTTATGAGGTATATTATTAGTTCCATGTTTCAGGTAAGAAAAGTGAGGACTACATTAGTTATGTAATCTTTGTGACAGCTCAAGATCATTCAGCTATTAAAGGAATGAGAGGGGACCTAAACCAAGGTCTGATTCCAATAGCTATGCTATTTCCATGATGCTACTCTGCTATTTTACTGAGCACCAAACAGTAGAGAATTTTGTAGCTAGGTGAGATCACTGGAAACAACCATCCTGGTCCTGCCATGATTTTGCAGATTAGAGAAAGGGCAAACCACAGATAAGCAATGATAGTGCTAGGACCCCAAGACAGATTTCCTGACTCCAGACCTAATATTAATCCCTCTGTGTCACCTTCTCTTGTACTAGTATGTTCTCATTCTTCTATGTATGCTTTGCTCTTAATTTAACATTTGGAATTTCATCATGCTAATTAAAGCAATAAGACAAGAAGAAAAGGCAATTAAAAGGCATCACATGTGTTAGTTTTACCTTTATTCACCAGTTACATTATGTTTCTTTTTTCTCCAGTTCCAGAGTTGACTCAAATGTAGGGCATTCCTTGGGCTACTCTAAGAAACAAACTTTTTTTTTTTTTTTTT
Source organism: Homo sapiens (assembly GCF_000001405.40). Taxonomy (NCBI): domain Eukaryota; kingdom Metazoa; phylum Chordata; class Mammalia; order Primates; family Hominidae; genus Homo; species Homo sapiens. The sequence goes on along the minus strand of NC_000003.12, from coordinate 47,387,570 downwards.
GAGACAGGGTCTCTGACACCCAGGCTGGAGTGGCGAGATCTTGGTTCACCACAGCCTCGACCTCCTGGGCTTAAGCCATACCCCCCACCTCAGCCTCCTGAGTAGCAGGGACTACAGGTGTGTGCCACCACACCACGCCTGACCTTTCTTTTTTTTTTTTTTTTTTTGTAGAGACAGGGTCTTGCTTTGTTGCCCAGGTTAGTCTCAAACTCCTGGTCTTGACTGATCCTCCTGCCTTGGCCTCCCAAAGTGCTGGGATGACAGGCATGAGCCAACGTGCCTGACCAGTATTGTTAATTAATACAGTATATGTTCAGCTACTAAATTTCAAATGAGACTAATTATATTCAGAGAATGGCGTATTGCCAAGTGAAATCTTCAGCTCCTTGGTCCATGTCAGCAAGCCTGAAAGAAAACCGCCATAGGCCAAGAGTACTGGGGATAAAAACATACCTTCATCCTCCCCTTGTCTAATCCCTACAATAATACTCAAGGCCTCGTTCCCACATCTTTTCTGAATGGCCCCTTGCCTGTCTGAACAACACAGTGAGGAAGACTCAGGTTACCTCTCCCAGAAGGTCCTAGAACTAGACTAGGTCATTCAACCAATGCTTGTTAAGCACTCCCTATATACAAATATTTTATTACGTCCTGAGTAAAGGAAAGAATCTGGTCTAAACTCTAACTGAAATGGATATAGGCCTCTGGTGTATGAGATTCAAGTCAGAGAATAATGGACAATCCAGGTCATCTGTGCCTGGAGCTGTTCCGCTGCAAATACAAGTGAACAGACAGGCTCAGGCAACTGGGTGACTCCAAATCTGTGACAAGAGATAAGACAGGTCACCACCACAGGTAACAGGCAATGTCCCATGCCCCTCACTGCTGAGCAGCCAGAGGCCTTTTAGGCCTCTAGTCCTCTTATTTACCTTTCTATGTATGTGTCTGTGTATGTACATACATGTGCAAGCTAGTTTTTCAAGAGCCAGCCATCCCATGGAAAATCTGGAAGGGGAAAAAATTCCATAAGCCTGAAAAACCAGGCTTCTACCCGGATGTGAATAAAATGAACAGTAAAAAAAAGGCAACAAGAGTGTGCACTGTGGGCTGGGCACGGTAGCTCATGCCTGTAATCCCAACACTTTGGGAGACCGAGGTGGGCAGATCACTTGAGGTCAGGAGTTCGAGACCAGCCTAGCCAACACGGCGAAACCCCATCTCTATTAAAAATACAAAAATTGGTTGGGCGTGGTGGTACACCCCTGTAATCCCAGCTACTCGGGAGGCTGAGGCACAAGAACTGCTTGAACCCAGGAGGCAGAGGTTGCAGTGAGCCAAGATTGCACCATTTATACCCCAGCCTGGGTGACAGAGCGAGACTCTGTCTCCAAAAAAAAAGAAAAAAAAACCAGCGTGCACTCTGTGGTGCAGGCTAACCCAGTGGTGGACAGCAAGACAGTCTGAATTCAGAGGAGGGAAAAGTTCTTTCTTGTTTCTGGCCCAAACACTTGCTGGGTGGCTGAGAGGACCCTAATGACGTACAGTTCAACCCATGTGATAAACAGGAGGAAGGGAATTCCAGTAAGGGCCTGAGCAAGGGCAGTGACCAGATGTGGAAGGAAGAGAAGCTGAAAGTTCTCATAGGAGAGGACTGGGGAGTGAAGTTAGAGAGACAGGCTGAAGCAAGCTGGGGACAGGCCATGAGCAGCCTGATGGGAAAGTAGAGATTTAGAGATCAACTCAGCCAGAGTGGGAGGATGGGAGATGAAGAGAAGCCAAGTGACAGGCAGGGTGGCTACCAGCCAGATGTACACCTGCACTTGAGGATGAGGGTTACTGTGTAGATTACTAGGAGGTAAGTTTCATGAAGACAGGGTTTTGTGGTGTTTTTTTGGAGACAGGGTCTCACTCTGTCGCCCTGACTAGAGTACAGTGGTGTGATCTTGGCTCACTGTAACATCCACCTCTGGGTTCAAGTGATCCTCCCACCTCAGCCTCCTAAGTAGCTGGGCCTACAAGGCACGCACCACCATGCCCAGCTAATTTTTGTATTTTTAGTAGAGATGGGGTTTCATCATATTGGCCAGGCTGGTCTCAAACTCCTGGACTCAAGCAATCCACCTGCCTCAGCCTCCCAAAGTGCTGGGATTACAGGTTAGAACCACTGCTCCCAGCCAAGACACAGGTTTTTGTCACCACTGTACCCAGGGCTGGCACATGACAGGCACTCAATAACTATTTGTTCAATGAATGAATCAGGGATGAACGTAACAGCTCAGTCCAAGTAAGCTGGACTTGAGCTCAAGTACAGCTGGTTAAGGGCAAGTGTTTGGGCCAGAAAGAATAAAGAACTTCAAACAGAAATACCTGAGGCCAAATCACTCACTGATAAAGAGGACAAGAGTCATCCATCATCAGTTTCCAGTGAATCAGCACTCTGGCCTCCAAAGCACAAGTTAAGAAGATGCAAGGCCAGCAGCATTTCCCCACTAAAAAATTACGTGGGTCTGGCTGGGTGTGGCGGCTCATACCTGTAATCCCAGCACTTTGGGAGGCCGAGGCAGGCAGATCACCTGAGGTCGGGGGTTCAAGACCAGCCTGACTAACATGGAGAAACCCCGTCTCTACTAAAAATACAAAATTAGCCAGGCGTGGTGGCACATGCCTGTAATCCTAGCTACTTGGGAGGCTGAGGCAGGAGAATCGCTTGAACCCGGGAGGCAGAGGTTGTGGTGAGCCAAGATGGTGCCATTGCACTCCAGCCTGGGCAACGAAAGCAAAACTCCATCTAAAAAAAAAAAAAAATTCACACGGGTCCAATATCCTAACCTAAAGTTTGCCACTGCAGTTCAAAACCATCCTGTTTTTCTGGCTTCTATTTCACATTATGCCATAATGGAAGGCTTGTCTACTGGGAGTGAAAATCAATACTAGCCACCATGAAAGATTTGTCAAAAGCCCAGCCCTCTCAAACAACGAACCCCTTTACCTGTCTGGAAAACTCCTATTCATCCTTTAAAATCCATCTCTGGCAAGCCTTCCCTGATGGCCCCTCCTCAGGCTGGTATTTCTATACACTGCAAATACTTCTACTCTTTTTTTTTTTTTTTTTTTTGAGACAGTCTCGCTCTATCACCCAGGCTGGAGTGCAGTGGCACGATCCTGGCTCACTGCAAGCTCCGCCTCCCAGGTTCACGCCATTCTCCTGCCTCAGCCTCCCGACTACAGGCACCCGCCACTATGCCTGGCTAATTTTTTGTATTTTTAGTAGAGATGGGGTTTCACCGTGTTAGCCAGGATGGTCTTGATCTCCTGACCTCGTGATCTGCCCGCCTCGGCCTCCCAAAGTGCTGGGATTACAGGCGTGAGCCACCGCACCCGGCCTACAAATACTTCTACTCTTAATGTCATCACTATAATTTTTAAATTTCCTTTATGAATTCCTTGAAAAAAAAAAAAGGCTGTCTCTTACTTGTCTGCTTATCAAGGTTCAGCATAGTACTTAACCAGTTGATGTAAACAGAACCAATTTTCACCCTTCTATTCTAAATTAAATTCTAACCCTCAGCTCCAATTCACTGGCAGAGGTTCCCACAGCTCAGAGCAAGCATAAAGCAGGACAAGGGTGCCAGTGGCAGAAGGCAGAGAAGGGGCTCTGCAGTTGGGGAAGGGGGTGCAGGTTGGGAAGAGTCCCCAGGCTGCAGTGGTGTCTGCACAGTCTCCTCCAGTGTCTATAGGAGTAATTGTTTCATATCTGATACCACCTCGGGCTAAAGGGCTAATGAGCAACTCCTCTCCTGGAGGCCCAGGTGCATGGAGGGAAGTCACTGGTCACACAATACCCTTTGGGTCGGTGTGAATCGTCAGAGCAGCAAAGGCTAAGTTCAAACAAAAATACTTCCTAGGAGTTTCTGGGCCAAGATTTTATCTACTGCATTCCCATATATTTATGGTCACCATCTCTAAATTTCCGCTCAGCTGTAATTCAATCATTTGAGAAATATTTTTCTGACTGCCAACTATGTAGAGGGTACACTGTTAGGCTCTGGGGAACACAGAGATGCTTCTCAGGTAACACACACTTGAACAGGGGGGTTAAAACACAGCATACATAACTGTCACCAGGGAAAGGATGAAAAGAGTTAAGGAATTAAGAGAAGAGAAAGATTAATCCAGGTAGAAAGATTAAGAAAGGCTCTGCAGAAAGGAGAGCTTAAGTAGACCTTGAAAGTTGGATGGGAGACAAGAAAATGGAATTCACGGAGATTGAAGAAGGGCACCTCACCACCCCACAGGGCAAAATGAGACCTCTTCTAGGCAGGAGGAATTCCATGACCAACGGCACAGAAGAGGAAACAGAGTATGGTAAGGAAACAGCAAGTGACTGAGAACAGAATCTAGGGTACCTCTATCAGATGCACACAGTAGATGAAGCACACAGTGGGGACTCAATAAATGCTGAAAGAAGTGGGATAAGTCTGGAAGAACTCTAATGGAAAACTAAAGATACTGGCTCTATTCCAAGACTCCGTCTCCAAAAAAAAGATACCGGATCTATTCTGTAAAACAGAAAACAGGAGTTTTGGCCAGGCGCGGTGGCTCATGCCTATAATCCCAGCACTTTGGGAGGCCAAGGTGGGTGGATCACGGGTCGGGAGATCGAGACTATCCTGGCTAACACGATGAAACCCCCTCTCCACTAAAAATACAAAAAATTAGGCAGGGGTGGTGGCGGGTGCCTGTAGTCCCAGCTACTTGGGAGGCTGAGGCAGGAGAATGGCGTGAACCCGGGAGGCGGAGCTTGCAGTGAGCTGAGATTGCGCCACTGCACTCCAGCCTGGGTGACAGAGTGAGACTCCGTCTCAAAAAAAAAAAAAAAAAAAAAAAAAAGAAAAGAAAAAGAAAACAGGAGTTCTGTTGTGTCTTAGAAAAATTCATCCAATTGTATTTGTATGAAACAGCAGATGAAGGCCTGTAATCCCAGCACTTTGGGAGGCCGAGGCAAGCGGATCACCTGATGTCAGGAGTTCGAGACCAGTCTGACCAACATGGCAAAACCCCATCTCTAATAAAAATACAAAATTAGCCGGGCATGGTGGCGCATGCCTGTAATTCCAGCTACTTGGAAGGCTGAGGCAGGAGAATCGCTTAAACCCGGGAGGCTGACGTTGCGGTGAGCCGAGATCGTGCCATTGCACTCCAGCCTGGGCAACAAGAGCGAAACTCCGTCTCAAAAAAAAAAAAAAAGGTAGGAAAAAGAAACAGCAGATGAAGAAGAGAGCAACGTCTGGATAACCGTTAACAAAATTCTAGAATTTTGGATCAATTACCCTCATTTCCTGGCCCCAAGAGGCTAGATGATGGACTCAAACACTGTCTGAACTAAGGCAATGGTGTATGGCGATTAGAGGGGAGACAGCTTCTTGGGAAACTACTTCCAAACCCATTTTCTTTTTCCTATTTGTCTTCCCAAGCGTCTCGCTAAGTGGTGCACCATCTAGATTGGGGCTTACTCTGGCATCTGCTGTGCTAAGCCCACAAGGCCCCCCACCTGCGACGGCCTCCTGGTTGTTCCTTTTCATTTCTGCTCTAGCCCTCAGTGCTACCAATACAGCGGATGTCTCGGAGGGCACCTGTGTTCAATCACCACACCTGAACCTCTCCACAGAAGTTCCTTGCCTTAGTCAACGCCAAACCTGCCCGTCTGTTCTTCCAACACAGTAAGATTTCTCTGAGCTCTACAACACTGTTTATGCCCTCCAGTCGGTTACGAAAAGCAGTAACCCTCCTAAAAATGTCGTGGGATTGTATTGTTTGGTCCAAAGAGACTCCCGAATGGGAGACCATACAGAATCGCAGCAATTGTAAAACAAACCCTCACCGCAGGGGTCGGGCATCTCCCTGGGCCACCGGGGCTCACGTCTTAAACACACGCCCCTGAGCCATCCCCAGTGTCTGTCCCAGGCGGGCGTGGACTTGACAGCGCACCGAGGGCCGGGCGCAGCAAAAGAATCCGCACGGTCAGGGCCGCCCACCGCTCCCGCGCGGGGCGGTCCTGGCATGGAGGAGGGGCGGGGCAGAACTGGGTCCGAGCGTCAGAAGGAGGAAGTGTGCTGCCTCAGTGGGAACAGCGGATGACTCGGGGCAGAAGTCGGGAACCGGGTTCAGATGAAGATGCAGGTGCTAGCACGGGGCTATCGGGGAGGAGAAGAATGGCCTGCGGGCGCCGGGGTGTGGGACAGGCTGAGGAAAACCGGCGAAGGCCCCTCCTGGCCTCACCGGACCCTGCGACCGGGCCTGAGGAGGTGATGGGCGCGCAGGGGGGCGTCACGCGCTTGCAGACGACGGAGATACGCGGCGGATAGGGGGGAAGATGGAAGGCAAGCTCACCTTCTTCACAGCTGGCTGGAAGTGAAAGTCACCGGCCTCCTTCAGGTCCAGCCAGATCATGGGCATGCGGGGCACGGCCTCCATGGCGGCTGGCACCCGCCGGCCACCCGGCCACTCCCGTAGCTGCTGCAGCTGCTGGCTCAGCCACGAGCCCAGCCCCGCCCCTTCGTGCCGGAAGTCACTGGTCACGGGAGGGAATGAAAAATGCCAGCGGCCTGCCGGGAGTTGCAGTGAACCCAGCCACCCGCTCGCGTAGTCTTTTGCGCAGGCGCTGTCCCTGTTGCGCATGCTCAGTCTTCTTCGCGCGGAGGGAGTAGGGCGGGGAGGAGCTCGCCAGCCCGAGGCGAAACGGCTTCTGGGATAGTAGTCTTCATCCACTAAACTGAGAGGCGCGGAGCGAGCTTATTCCCCGCTCCCGGGCCAAGCCCAGCTGCGGGTCCCGCCCGCCGCGCTCCTCCCTCCTAGGAAGAGCATGAGACCTCACCTATGAACTTGCCCTCCCACGTATTGTCAAGAGCCGTGGAGGACTGGTGCTGTGGTAGAGATGACGTGGCGGGCGGGCCGCTGGAAAGAGATGACGCGAAAACGGGCCTTAGAGAGGGTGCGGAGGGAGCACCTGGCCTGAAGGAGTCGGGGCTGAGAGCTGGGGGTTTCAGTCCCAGTGCTGCGAAGGCTTTCGAGCTTTGGAACAGAATCACTGACCGGAGACTGGCCTACTCAGCCCAGCCTGGGAGGCCGGGCAGTGCCCAAGGGAGACGGACGATAGGGAGGGAGCGCCTGGATGGAGGGTCTCAAGCGGAGTGAGGAGGCCCCGGGCCCTGTGGGGAAGTGGGTGGGGGAAGGTATACGGCCAGGTGAGCACCCAGGGACGCCCACAGTATCTGGAAGGAGACCACGGAATGGAGAGCACCTGTTGCCTCTGGAGAGGGGACCTATAGAGCAGGAATTGTTAAATCATATGGCTGTATCACCTACTTTTAGAAATAAATAATAGGCTACTCGGGAGGCTGAGGCTGGAGGTTCAATCGCTTGACCTGGGAGGCGGAGATTGCGGTGAGCCTAGATCTTGCCACTGCTCTCCAGCCTGAGCGACAGAGCGAGACTCCGTCTCAAAATAATAATAGTAACAATAGAAATAACAGAGAATGGCCTGGAGATAGTGAGTGCAAAAGTGCGAGCTGGGAGATCAGTGAGCCTTTTGTAGTCTTCCAGGAGACAGGTGATTGTGGCTTGGAGCAGAGGGAAGTAAAAAGTGAGCAAAGAAATATTTTGCCCACTTTGAGAAATATTTGAGGAATATTTTGGAGACAAAAGTATCAGAACTTGGAATGGATGGATGTAAGGGCATGAGGACGTCGAATATGATTTCCAAGCTTCTGGCTTGTGCAGGTGGGTGGCTGTGGGGCTGTTTACTGATAAGGGAAAACAAGGGAAGAGCAAAGGTTCAGGTCCGTGTTAAGCTCGAGGTCAAGGCCTTTGACTCGTTCTGGATGAAATGTGGAGACCACGATGCCGGGTGCGGTGGTTCACGCTTGTAATCCCATCACTTTGGGAGGCCGAGGCGGGCGGATCGCTTAAGCCCGGGAGTTCAAGACCAGCCTAGCCCACATGGCCAAACCCCGTCCCTACAAAAAATATAAAAATTAGCAGGACATGGTGGCTCATGTACGCCTGTAGTCCCAGCTACTCAGGAGGCTGAGGCGGGAGGAACCTTGAGCCCGGGAGGCAGAGGTTGCAGTGAGCCGTGATTGTGCCATTGTACTCCAGCCTGGGCGACAAAAGTGAAACCATGTGTTAAAAAAAAAAAAAAGAAAAGAAAAAGAAAAATTATGGAGACCGTGGGATGTGGGTGGGATCTGGGATTCTAAGACAGGCTTCACCCACAAGGTAGAGCCCAGGTCCCTTTGTTGTGAGACCTCAAACCCTTTCAAGACTTAGTCAAGGGCCTAGCTTCATTCCAGTTGGAGTTAGAGCAGAAGAAAATGAAATTACATGAATGTTCATAGCAGTACCATTTCACAGTAGCCAAAAGAGAAGCAATCCATGCAGTGATGGATGGATGCATGAATAAAGATGATGTGTGTACATACAATGGAATATTATTCAGCCTTAAAAAGGAATGAAATTCTGTTACATGCTGCAACATGAATGAACCCTGAAGACATTATGCTAAGTGAAATAAGCCAGTTGCAAAAGGACAAATACTGTATTCTGCTTATCTGAGATACCTAGTTAGTCAGAGTTATGGAGACAGAAAGTAGAATGGTGTCTGTTGGGCTAGGGGAGGGGAGAATGGAGAGTTACTGTTTAATGGCTGTATAACAATCTGAACAATTTAATGCCACTGAACTGTATGCTTGAAATTGTAAACTTTGTGGCTGGGCACGGTAGCTCACACCTGTAATTCCAGCACTTTGGGAGGCCAAGGCGAGTGGATCGCCTGATTTGGGAGTTCAAGACCAGCCTGACCAACAGGGAGAAACCCCATCTCTACTAAAAATGCAAAATTAGCCGGGCCTGATGGTGCATGCCTGTAATCCCAGCTACTCGGGAGGCTGAGGCAGGAGAATCGCTGAACCCGGGAAGCGGAGGTCGCGGTGAGCCAAGATTTGTGCCATTGCACTCCAGCCTGGGCAACAAAGAGCGAAACTCTGTCTCAAAAAAAAAAAAGAAAAATTGTAAACTTTGTTAGGTATATTTTACCACAGTTTAAAAAAAATAAAATATAAGACCTTGCAAATAATTTATTTAAAGAGAAAGAAAAATTTTGCCAGTTCTTCCAGCATCTTAGAAGAGCTTGTTTCTGGAAGACTTTTTTTTCTTTGAGACAGAGTCTTGCTCTGTTTGCCCAGGCCAGAGTGCAATGGTGTGATGTCGGCTCACTGCAGCCTTGGCCTCCTGAGCTCACTCAATTCTCCAACCTCAGCCTCCCTAGTGGCTGGAGTACAGGCGTGTGCCACCAGGCCTGGCTAATTTTTTCTTGTATTTTTTGTAGAGATGGGTTTTTGCCATGTTGCCCAGGCTGGTCTTGAACTCCTAGGCTCAAGCAATCTGCCTGTCTCAGCCTCCCAAAGTGCTGGGATTACAGACAAGAGCCACTGCGCCCAGCCTGGAAGACCATCTTGAGGTCACCTGGACAGAGATAGAGAAATTTTGGGCAAAGCTGGGCATGGTGGCTCACGCCTGTAATCCCAGCACTTTTGGAGGCCAAGGCGGGCGGATCACTTGAGGTCAGGAGTTCAAGACCAACCTGGCTAATATAGTGAAACTCCACCTCTACTAAAAATACAAAAATTAGCTGGGTGTGGTGGCGTGTGGCTGTAGTCCCAGCTACTAGGGAGGCTGAGGCAAGACAATCGCTTGAACCTGGGAGGTGGAGGTTGCAGTGAGCCAAGATTGCACGACTGCACTCCAGCCTGGGTGACAGAGCAAGACTCTGTCTCAAAACAAACACAAGAAAGAAAGTATGGGAAGGCCTACAACCTGCAAAACTGCCCGAACACAATTTGTAGTAAGTAAAATACAAAAGCATAAAGCAGCCTACCTTGGGGCTTTCTGATGGTGAGGCAGTGGTCAGCCATGAGGGAGCTGCAAGACCTAGGCACAACAGCTGAGTCCAGAGCAGGCTGGGAATTGGGAGACTACATCATAGCATTACTGAGCAAAGAAGCAGGCGGCTGCTTGGCCACAGGACACAGACAGCCCAGGACCCAAACTTGAGGCCAGCAAGGGGTCAGGATTAAGCTGTTGCAGTTCAGTATGGGCTGGAACAGGAAGTGAGAGAGGAAGGGGAGAAGTAGGAAGCCCTAAATTGGGCCTTGCAAGACAGAGAAGACCTATAGAGATGGGCATTCCAGGCAGGTGGAATTGCAGATGCAAGAGGGAGCTCTGGCGAGGCTCCAGGATTCAGGAGAGCTGGGCAGATGGGTCCCTATCTCATGAGCTTCCTACAGTGATAGCTTTGGCCCTACTGCCTTTCCTTCCCCTGGCCTCTACTCCCGAGGTGGAATGGGAACACCTTGTCCCCACATGGTGCTTCTGGAGTTGAACTACAACAAAAGAAATAAAGTATTCTGTGAGTTCCAGGGTGTATTCATTTGCTAGAGTGGCCATAGGAAAGTACCACATACTGAGTAGGTTAAGCAGAAATGTATTTCCTCACAGTTCTGGAGGCTAGAGGTCTGAGATAAGGTATTAGTAGAGTTGGTTTCTTCTGAGGCCTCTCTCTTTGGCTTGTTAATGGCCATCTTATCCCTGGGCCTGGTGACCCTGCCTTTAAACTCAGTCACATTCTGAGGTACTGGAGGTTAGGACTTCAAACATGAAATGAGGAGTAATGGAGGGGGCACATTTAGCCCATAACACAGGGTCACAGTGACATGAAGGGCAATTGGTGTGAAAGGCATCAAAGACCAAGAGGACCTTCACAGGCCTTGAATGCTGAGGGCGGGGATGGGTTGGTGGAGGTGAGACAGCAGAAAGGGTGACTCCGGGGCAGGGAGTGCCCTCCTAACATGTATTTCCAGGCAGGGTTGGGAGTTAGAAGCCTAAGACTTGATGGTCCTGGGGAAGAGTCTGCCTCATCACGAGGGGGCAGCACACCCTTTTCTCAAGACAGCCTCCCCATCACACCCAGCAGAGTTGGATGGGCCCTTAAAAACACACACACCCTTCCCCATTTTACCAATGTAGAAACCCAGGCCTGGACTGGGGAGGGGACCACCCAAAGTCTCAACAAGTGAATATACATGAGTCTGGGCTGCACTTTGGGAGGCAGAGGCAGAGGCAAACAGATCACCTGAGGTCAGGAGTTCAAGATCAGCTTTGCCAACATGGTGAAACTCCATCTCTACTAAAAAATACAAACATTAGCCAGGCATGGTGGCGGGCACCTGTAATCCCAGCTACTTGGGAGGCTGAGGCAGGGGAATCGCTTGTACCCGGGAGGCAGAGGTTGCAGTGAGCTGAGATCATGCCACTGCACTCCAGACTGGGGACAGAGCGAGACTCTGTCTCAAAAAAAAAAAAAAAAAAAAAAAAAAAAGAGTCTGGGCTGGGCATGAGTCTCATCTCTCTCAGTTCTTTTATTCAACAAATATTTATTCAACACCCACAGTGTCCTAGACATTTGTTCTAGGTGCTGTTGATCAAAACAGGTAAAGAGCTCTGCCCACATGAGGTCCCATTTTAGGGAGGGACATAGACATTAACACAATAAAGAATAGACAGTATGTTAGATGGCAACAACTGTTGTGGTTGGAAGAAAATCAAACGGAGAGGAAGGTGGGAGTATAGGTAGGGGACAATGCAATTTTATATTGGGTGGTCAGGGGAGGCTTCACTGAGAAGATACTATTTGAGCGGAGATCTGAACGAAGTGAAGGAGCAAGACAGGGCATAACTAGGGGAAGTATGTTTCAGAAAGGGGGAACAGCAAATGCAAAGTTCTTGAACCAGGACTGTGTCTGGCATACCTGAAGAACAGCAGGGAGGCCAGAGTGTCTGCGGTCGAGTGAGTGTGTAGAATAGAGGAGATGGAGTCACAGAGGCAATGAGGAGGGGTGAGGTGAGGGGTTGCAGATGGAGTGGGGTGGTTGCAGATGGAGTTGGGTCTCGAAGACCATGATGAGGACGTGGGTTTTCTTTGGACAAGCTGGGGAACCATGGGGAGGGTTTGAATAGACCTAGGGATATGATCTGGCCTAAGTTTGTTTAAGGGTTACATAGACTGAGTAGGGGATTAGAGGAAGAGCCCTACCAAGGATTCCTAAGACAACACTCTGGGCTCTGTAGAGGGGAGAGTGGAGACAGGAGGACTGTGTCACTCAGATCTAGCTTTCAGGGTCGTCATAGTCAGATCTTGGTCTGGACACACGCAAGAGACATGAAGGAGACTTTTGAAAGGAACATACCCTTGTGGTTTGCGGTATTCAGGCCAGTCAAGGGGGCCAGATCACCCCCACAGAATGGGGTGGGGATAGTGTGAAACCAGAGGGGACAGAGAGCCTAATGGGGCTAGTGAGGAGGGAAGGTTTCCTGGAACCTGGAAGAGGAGATGTGATCCATAGGCTCAGTGCAATTCCTGCCAAACTCCCAAGTTTTTTTGTGAGAAAGTTGGCATACTGTTTTTCAAATTTATATGGAAAAGCAAAGACCGCAGAAGAGCCTAGACAATCTATCTCTCTTTTTTTTTTTATTTTTTTGAGAGACAAGGTCTTGGTCTGTTGCCCAGGCTGGAGTGCAGTGGCATGATCCTAGCTCACTGCAGCCTGAAACTCCTAGGCTGAAGTACTCCACTGGTCTCAGCCTCCTAAGTAGCTAGGACTACAGGTGTGTGCCACCATGCCTGGCTAATTTTTAAATTTTTTATGGAGAAGGGTCTTGCTATGTTGCCCAGGCTGTTCTCAAACTCTGGCCTTCAGTAATCCTCCTGCCTTAGCTTCCCAAAGTACTGGGATTATAGACATGAGCTACTGTGCCCAGCCACTAGACAGTCTTGAAGAGAAACAAAATGAGCAGACTTGTTTTACCAGATATCTAGGCCTGCTAGAAAGCTGAGTAATTGGGACAGTGTGGGTGTTTGTTCAGGAATGCAACATTAGACCCTCAGAACTGAACAGAAAACCCAGAAATAGACCCAAGGCATCCACATCTACTTAATGGACTCAGAGGTAGTATTGCAGGCCAGTGAGGAAGGATGGCTACTGAATAAATGATGCAGGCTAACTGGTCATCCATATGAAAAAAACAAAAAACAAAAAAACAAATTGGAGTCTGTTACAGGTTGAATTGTTCCCCTTAAAAGATATATTGAAGCCTTGGCATCCCCCACCAGTATCTGTGAATATGGCCTTATTTGGAAATAAGGTCTTTGTAGATATAATCAAATTAAGGTGAGGTCATACTGGATTAAGTAGGTTCTAATCAGGCCAAGCACAGTGGGGCTCACGCCTGTAATCCCAGCACTTTGGGAGGCCAAGGTGGGTGGATCACAAGGTCAGGAGTTCAAGACCAGCCTGGCCAAGATGGTGAAACCCCGTCTCTACTAAAAATACAAAAACTAGCCGGGCATGGTCGCAGGCGCCTGTAATCCCAGCTACTTGGGAGGCTGAGGCAGGAGAATCACTTGAACACGGGAGACAGAGGTTGCACTGAGCTGAGATTGTGCCACTGCACTCCAGCCTAGGCTACAAGAGAGACTCCGTCACAAAACAAACAAACAACCAAAAGCCAACTAATAGATGTATGAGGTATGAGGAAGGATAAAATTAGAAAATCACTATTTGGCAGCCATATTAATAATTCGACAAAAATCATCAATGGACATAAAAACCAGTAGACTTGAGAAATAAACTAATAGGGTAATTACACAGTCCATGGTATCTCCCCTAGATACTTAATAATCACAAAGGGAAAAACAGTAGCTTTATATGGAGAAACTTAGTAGACCTCATCTTACTCACGTGATGAAGTTTAATGTCACCAGCAATGAGAGAAATCTAGATCATGTGCCTTCTGGTATGATGCTCTGAGGACACAGTACCCAAAACGCATTACCTTAATCTAATCACGAAGAAACATTAGATAATCCCAAATTGAAGGACATCCTATAAAAGAACTGGTCTATCATCTCCAAAAAGTCAGTCTTATGAAACACAAAGAAATACTATTCTAGATTAAAGTATAAAGAAACATAGACATAACCTCTTTAGCATACTAAAGAAGTGTAACACATGATATGGGATGTTCTTTTTGTTCTGAGGAAGCGGTCCCCAAACTTTTTGGGACCAGGGACCGCTTTCATGGAAGACGATTTTTCCGTGGATGAGGGGCAGGGGATGGTTTCAGGATGAAGCTGTTCCACCTCAGATCATCTCTCATAAGGAGCACACAACCTAGATCCCTCACCTGTGCAGTTCACAGCAGGATTTGCACTCCTATGAGAATCTAATGCAGCTGATCTGACAGGAGGTGGAGCTCAGGTGGTAATGCTTGCCACCCACCACTCACCTCGGCTCCAAGGGACATTACTAGTATGAGTGATGAAATCTGAATAAAGTCTGTAGATTAGATAATGGTAGTGTTTCAGTGTTAATTTCCTGAATTTGACAGTTGTTCTGTGGTAATGTTTACATATAGGATAATGTTCTTGTTTTTAAGAAATATACACCAGGCCAGGTGCAGTGGCTCACATCTGTAATCCCAGCACTTTGGGAGGCCAAGGCAGGCAGATCACTTGAGGTCAGGAGTTCGAGACCAGCCTGGCCAACATGGTGAAACCCCATCTCTTCTAAAAATACAAAAATTAGTCAGGTGTGGTGGTGTGTGCCTGTAATCCCGGCTACTCAGGAGGCTGAGGCAGGATAATCACTTGAACCCAGGAGATTGCAGTGAGTAGACATTGCACCACTGCATTCTTGGGCAACAAGAGTGAAACTCCATCTAAAAACAAAAATGAAATATACACTGAAGTATTTAGGAGTAAAAAGGCAGTATTCTGCCCCTTACTCCCAAGTGACTTGGGGCTCAGGGAAGGGGAGGGGAGATATGTGTGTATATATGGGGGCACTGAAAGAAAGAGAGAGGGACACAAATGTCAAATGTTAACATTTGGGGAACTGGGGTAAAGGGTATGAAGAAATTCTTTGCACTATTCATGCAACTTTTCGATGTAAGTCTGAGATTATGTCAAAATAAAAAGTTAAAAAGAAAAACAGGACATCATAAAGAAAATGAACAGACAAGACCAAATTGGGAGAAGATATTTGTGAGACATAATCAAAAAAGGATTACCATTAAGGATATGTAAAAAAGTCTGATGAGTTCTCAAGAGAGACAAACAATCCAATGGACAAATGGGCACACAACTTGGATGGGAACTTACAGGAACAGCCAAAACCACATGGAAAGATGTCCAACCTCATCAGTAACCAGGAAAATGCAAACCCCAACTACACTGAAATGCCACTTGATAGTCATCAGAATGATGAGTATACATCTGTCAATAATAAGTGTTGGTGAGATGGGGCTGTAGATAGGGCTGTGAATTGGTGCCACCATTTTGGAAAACTGGCCTTATTTAGCCAAGTTGACACTATCAGCCCCTGTGACCTGCTGGGTGCCTGTATACCGTTGAAAGACTCCTGTGTACAGCACCAGGAGCTGTGTCAGAAAGGAATAGTCATAGCCACCCAAACAGGAAACATGGAGTCCTCCCCTGCTGCCATCTCCCATGTATGAGAATCCAGAACCACTGCATTACAGGTGGGGAAACTGAGGTGTGCGATGGGAAAGGGGCTGTCCAAAACACCACGTGGGCTCTGAGGGAGGGCCAGAAGAGAGGTTAGCTGTGGCAGGAGAAGTGGGGAGGAGGATAAGAGAAGGCAAAAGGGGGAAGGGGAGCTCTCTTGGTCTCACACTTGGCAGAGTGGAGGCCAGAGCAGGAAGCATCCCCATCTTATTCCTTCCCTCCCAGCCACCAGCCAGGATCCTAGAGGTCGGGGAGGGGCCTCTGAGGCAGCCCTCTTCCACTGGCCTAGAAAGCAGTGGGGACCTTCCCCGTCAGAGCAGAAAAAAGGCTGCTCAGTGGTGCAGCACTCCTCTTCCCTCCAGAGGGTCCCAGACCCTCCAGGAACTCTAGGAGCGCTGGGCACATTCTCCCTAGGAAAGGATCCAACATCCCGGGTTTGCAAATATTCAGGAAGGTTGGAAGCCTCTGAATCCATCCACAAAATCACAACCCTTCCCCAGCTCCCAGCCTAGGGGTTGGGGGGCCGGCGGCGGGGTGGGGGTGGGGGGGAGGGGGTCACTTGGCCAGCAGATGGCGCCAAGGCCACAGTGTTGCCACAACACAGCCACAATCCTGGGGTGCCTTTGGCTGCACAAAAACACACCCACATATTTAAAATCAGGGCTTTTTGTTGCTCAGGACCAGATTTAATTCTTATGCAAGTGGCCCTTTGGTACCAGTGTCTGTGAAAGGAAAGGTAGCAATGGAGAATTTATTCCTCTCCTGGCTGGTACAAACTCCCAAGTTCAGGCCACTGAAAGGAAGGAAGGGCCTCCGGGGCGGATGGGGCCTTCGGGATTGCCCAGGTACACCCTCCGAGGTTGTCTGGTGCCAGGCAGTGAGCTACAGCACAGCAGAACATGGTGGAACTTTGAGACATCCTCGCCTTTGCAGTGAGACCCTGCAGGCTGGCTGGGCAGCACCCTCTTGAGGGTGCCAAAGCCACTGGGTCAGGACTGGGATCACCTGTGGGACTCTCAGATGCAAAGCCTTCCTAGTCAAGGTCTCTGTCTCCATGGGTAATAGAGTGACTTGTATCCACCATTTGGGTTTTGGAACATCAGGTGGTGCCCCATGTGGCCCCACTGTGGCCACAGCCGCTTTCTTCACCCCATTCGACTTGTGCAGGCCGCTTAGGCAAGGGTTCCTAGAATCTGTGCCCGCCTCCTGGCTACTTCATTATAGCAAAGAGAAGCTGCCACTGAGGTCCGGGGCTTACACAGGCCCACCAGGGTTCTTTCATCACAGTTCTTCAGCCCTTGTGAAAGCTTTTTGCTTCAGCCATCTTCTCAAGGGAGGTGTAGAGGCTTTGGGGACATCCAAAAGGAGTCACAGGTCTCAGCTGCCTGTAGTGCTGGCTCTGTGCGGAGAAGATGGAAGTAATAACTGTGGAGCGGAACCACTCACCTGAAAGGGATCTTTCATCTCCTGCAGGTGAAGACTTTTCCCAGGGTGAGGTAGGGGAATCCACTTCCGGCTCTCTGCACCTTCCAGCTGTCACCCAACCTCAGGCCCCAGGGTCAAGTCCCATGTGGGTGGGTCTCGGAGAAAGCTCTTCCTGGGTGCCTGGAATCCTGCCCTCGCCTTCTGCAGCTCAGGCCCCAGCAGCCAAACCAACATCAGACTGCCGCTCCTCCTCTGACTGCCGCTCCTCCTCTGACTGCCGCTCCTCCTCTGACTGCCGCTCCTCCTCTGACTGCGAGCAGAGCAGCCTGGGTGTGTGACACTACCCTGGGGTGGATCCCCAGCACCTCCACTTACCAGCTCTGTGCCTGGGTCCTGTTTTTGTTGTTGTTGTTGTTGTTGTTTTTGAGATGGAGTTTCACTCTTGTTGCCCAGGCTGGAGTGCAGTGGTGTGATCTCAGATCACCACAACCTCCATCTCCTGGGTTCAAGTGATTCTCCTGCCTCAGCCTCCTGAGTAGCTGGGATTACAGGTGCTCGCCACCACGCCCGGCTAATTTTTTTTTTTTTTTTGTATTTTTAGTAGAGACGGGGTTTCACCATGTTGGCCAGGCTGGTCTCGAACTCCTGACCTCAAGTGATCCACCTGCTTTGGCTCCCCAAGTGCTGAGATTACAGGCGTGAGCCCCCGCGCCCGGCCTGCGTCCCGTTCTTAACCTCCCAGTGCCTTTGTTTCCTCATCTGCAAAATCGAGTTAATGGTAGTCCCCTTGTCTATGCTTGGCAGGGGTAAGAGCTCTGTGTTTGATAAGGGTCTCCAGTGCATCTCTGCGCCATGACTGCAGCAAAAGCCACCATACCTGAAGCTTCCCCTACCTCCCACACTGGCCCAGGTTGCCCATATTAGCTTTCTGTCTGCTTTATAGATGAAGAAACTGAATCCCAGAGAGATTGACTAAGAAGCAGTGGGGAAGCGGCAGAGGTGGGATTTGAACCCAGATCTATGGGACCCTGGAGCAGAGGAGGGGCTTATACAGCTGTACCCTGAAGCTGCTCTGGGTTGATTATCAAGCATAGGTTATTGAAGGGTTTTCATGTAGCTATAACGGAGTTTGATCATTTGAACTTATACCCTGTAAAGTCTACCTATCAAAAACACCTTTCTTCTACTTGAGAGCCTCCCACCTGAGTTCCCAAGACTGACTACTGCCTTCCAACCTCAAGTCTTTGGACATGTTATAGAGGCTTAGGGATTGACAGGATCATAAAGGCTACAAGGTTTTGTCCCCACCCCTCTCCATTGGATGCCTGAGCCCTATATTTATTGCATTCATGTTGCCAGTAACAGAAAAGCCCACTCAAACTAGTTTAAACAGTAAACTCCAGAGGCCCCCTCCACCTTCAGGCAAAGTGTGACCCAGCAGCTCAGCGATATCAGTAAGGATTTGTTTCTCTCTCTCCTCTGTGCCTTCTGTGCTGCTGATCTCATTTTAAGGGCAGCCCACCTCATATCCAAGATGTCGTCTTTGTCACATCTAGTCAGGCTCCCTTATTATTTCCAAGGAGCAGGAAATACCTTGGTCTGGTGCAGTGGCACACACTGGTAACTCCAGCAGTTTATGAGGCCAAGGTGGGAGGACTGCTGGAGCCTAGGAGTTTGAGATCAGCCTGAGCAACATAGTGATACCCTGTTTCTACCAAAAAATTAAAAAGATTAGCTGGGTGTGGTGGTGTATGCCTGTAGTCCCAGCTACTCAGGAAGCTGAGCAGAAGGATTGCTTGAGCCTGGGAGGTTGAGGCTACAATGAGCTAGGATTTTGCCACTGTACTCCAGCCTTGGTAACAGAGTGTCTGTCTCAAAAGAAAGAGAGAGAGAGAGAGAGAGAGAGAAGAAAGGAAACAAAGACAGAGAAGAAGAGGAAAAAGAAGAAGGAGGAGGAGGAAAGAAAGAGAAAGAAAAAAGGAAGGAAGGCAGGCAGGCAGGCAGGAAGGCAGGCAGGCAGGCCAGGCATGGTGGCTCATGCCTATAATCCCAGCACTTTGGGAGGCCGAGGTGGGCGGATCACCCAAGGTCAGGAATTCAAGACCAGGCTGCCCAACATGGCGAAACCCTGTCTCTACTAAAAATACAAAAAAACTAGCCAGGTGTTGTGGCAGGCACCTGTAATCCCAGCTACTCGGGAGGCTGAGGCAGGAGAATCGCTTGAACCCAGGAGGTGGAGGTTGCAGTGAGCCGAGATCGCACCACTGCACTCCAGCCTGGACAACCAGAGCAAAACTCCGTCTCAAAAACAAAAAAAAAAAAAAAAAAAAAAAAAGAAGAAGAAGAAGAGAGGGAGGGGAGGGAAGGAAGAAAGAAAGAGAAAGTGTTCTGTGTTCCCACCAAAAGTTTTGAGATGTATTCTAATTGGACCAGCTAATCACATGCATACCCTGAACCACATTAATGGAGGGATGAGAGGCACTGGTAGACTTCGGCTAAGTCTAGTTACTCTAAGTTCCACTCCTAGAACCATGCAGATCCTCAAAAGGAAATTGAGGCCCTATTCGAAGGGAAAAAAGGTAGGGGAAATAGATGCCGAAGAGGCCAAGCATCAGATGGCCCCTACAGTTTCCTATGATTTTCCTGCCAGTGGATTGTCCAGACATAGTTCAATGTTTCCCAAGCCGCCTCCGTCATGCTAGGCTGTAGCTGTTGTCAGGAGGCCTTTCCCATTGACATGTCTCCCTCTGAGAGTGCAATCTCTGATTCTGGCTCTGAGGCCACAAAAACATTCTGGTTGTCTTGTTTGTCGCAGCCTTTCAAGAGCCGGGAACTGAAACCTTGTTGCTCCTCTCCTCCAGGTAAATCTCCCCAGTTTCCCACTATTCTACATAAGACTTGGCTGTGTAATTTGAACACGTTTCCTAACTTTTGTTGTTATTGTTGTTGTTGAGACAGAGTCTCACTCTGTCATCTAGGCTGGAGTGCAGTGGCGTGATCTCGGCTCACTACAACTTCCGCCTCCCAGGTTCAAGCGATTCTCATGCCTCAGCCTGCTGAGTAGCTGGGATTACAGGCGCACACCACTATGCCCAGCTAATTTTTGTATTTGTAGTAGAGATGGGGTTTCACCATGTTGGCCAGGCTGGTCTCGACCTCCTGACCTCAGGTGATCTGCCCGCCTTGGCCTCCCAAAGTGCTAGGATTAGAGGCATGAGCCACCACACCCGGTCAACATTTTTTTTTCTTCTTTTTTTTTTTTAAGAGACAAGATCTTCCTGTCACCCAGGATGGAGTGCAGTGGTGCAATCATAGTTCACTGGAGCCTTGAACTCCTGGGCTCAAATAATCCTCCCACCTCAGCATCCTGAGTAACTGGGACTACAGGTGCATGCCACCACCCTTGGCTAATTTTTTATTTTTTTGTAGAGATGGGGTCTTGCTATGTTGCCCAGGCTGGTCTTGAACTCCTGGGCTCAAGCAATCCGCCTCAGCCTCCCAAAGTGTTGAGATTGCAGGAATGAGCCACTACACCCAGCCAGTTTCCTAACTTGTACAGGCCTCATTTTCCTCATCTGTCAATGCTGGGGGCAATCTAAGCTTCTCAAACTGATGGGGAGTCACATATTGGGAGTGCAGAGTCCCTGAACAAACACGCTACAGCATCTAAAGGCTTGATTTTACTGGAGTTTCTGCCCCACCGTGGAAATATTAATACAAAATGTTTCAATGTTAAAACAGTTATGGACAACTCAACAATAAAAAAACATAATAATTTGGCTGAGCACAATGGCTTACACCTGTAATCCCAGAACTTTGGGAGGCCGAGGCAGATGGATCACTTGAGGTCAGGGGTTTGAAACTAGCCTGACCAACACGGTGAAACCCAGTCTCTACTAAAAATACAAAAATTAGCTGGTGTGGTAGCAGGCGCTTGCAATCCCAACTACTCGGGAGGCTGAGGCAGGAGAATTGTGTGAACCCAGGAGGTGGAGGTTGAAGTGAGCTGGAATTGCACCACTGCACTCCAGCTTGGGCGAAGCGAGACTGTCTCAAAAAAATAATAGTAATAATAATAATTTTAAAATGTGCAAAGGACTTGAATAGGCATTTCTCAAAGATGATATGTAAATGGACAATAAGCACAAGAAAAGATATTCAACATCATTAGCCATTAGGAAAATGCAAATCAAAACCACAGTGAAATATCATTTCATACACACTAGGATGGCTGTAATAAAAAAAGAGGGGCAGACTGGGCATGGTGGCTCACAGCTGTAATCCTAGCAGTTTGGGGGCCAAGACAGGAGGATCATGTGAGCCCAGGAGTTCAAGACCAGCTTGGGCAACATAGTGAGATCCCATCTCTACAAAAAATTTTAATTAAAAAAAAATTAGCCAGGTGTCATGACATGCACCTGTAGTCCCATCTACTCGAGAGGCTGAGGTGGAGGATCGCTTGAACCTGGGAGTTCAAGGCTGCAATGAGTCATGATCAAGCCACTGCGCTCCAGCCTGGGCAACAGAGTCTGTCTCAGAAAAAAAAAGCGAGAGAGACAAATGTTGGCAAGGGTATGGGAATATTGGAACCCTCCCAGATTGCTGGCGGAAATGTAAAATGACACAGCCTCTGTGGGAAACAGTTTGGCAGTTCCTCAAAAAGTTAAACATAGAGTTACCATATAACCCAGAAATTCTACTCCTAGCTATACATTTCTGGATAATTGAAAACATATCTCCATACAAAAACTCATATATCAATATTCATAGCAGCATTATTCATAATAGCCAAAACATGGAAACAACCTAAATGGCTATAAACTGATGAATGAATAAATAAAATGTGGACTATTCATACCACAGAATACAGTTCAGCCATAAAAAGGAATGAAGTACTAACACACGGCAGAACATAGATGAGCCTTGAAAATACCGAAGTAAGTGTAAGAAGCCAGACACCAAATGCCACAGATTAACACGATTCCATTTACATGAAATGTCCTAAATAGGCAAATCCATAAAGGCAGAGTGGATTGGTTGCCAGGGATTGAGAGGAGGGGAACATGGGAGAATGACTGCTAATGGTACAAAGTTTCTTTTTGGGGCTGATGACAATGTTCTGAATTGTACACTTTAAAAGGGCGTATTTTATGGTACATAAACTTTATCTCAATAAAAAGAGTTCTATTGAACATTTTAAAAAGCTGGCTAGGGGCCTCATTTTCCTCATCTGTCAATGGTGGGGACAATCTAAGCTTCTCAAACTGACGGCGGGTCATGTATTGGGAGTACACAGTCCCTGAACAAACACATCCGCAGCATCTAAAGGGTTGATTTTACTGGAGTTTCTGCCCCACCATGGAAATATTAATACAAAATATTTCTTTTTTTTTTTTTTGAGACAGAGTCTCGGATCTGTCACCCAGGCTAGAGTGCAGTGGGGCAATCTTGGCTCGCTGCAACCTCCGCCTCCCGGGTTCTCGCCATTCTCCTGCCTCAGACTCCCGAGTAGCTGGGACTGCAGGCGCCCTGCCACCACGCCCGGCTAATTTTTTGTATTTTTAGTAGAGACGGGGTTTCTCCATGTTAGCCAGGATGGTCTCAATCTCCTGACCTCGTGATCCGCCCTCCTTGGCCTCCCAAAGTGGTGGGATTACAGGCGTGAGCCACCGCGCCCGGCCCAATACAAAATATTTCAATGTTAAAACATTTATAGACAACTCAACATAAAAAATATAATAATTTGGCCAGGTGCAGTGGTTCACTCCTGTAATCCCAGCACTTTGGGAGGCCGAGGCGGGCAGATCACCTGAGGTCAGGGGTTTGAGACCAGCCTGGCGAACATGGTGAAATCCTGTCTCTACTAAAAATACAAAAATTAGCCCAGTGTGGTGGCAGGCACGTGTAGTCCCAGCTACTCGGGAGGCTGAGGCACAAGAATCACTTGAACCCGGGAGGTGGAGGTTGCAGTGAGCCGAGATGGCACCACTGCACTCCAGCCTGGGCGATAGAGCAAGACTCTGTCTCAAAAAAAATAAAAAATAAAAAATAAAAAGCTGGCTAGGCATGGTGGCTCATGCCTGCAATCCCAGCACTTTGGGAGGTCAAGGTGGAAGAATTGCTTGAGCCCAGGAGTTTGAGACCAGACTGGGCAACATAGTGAGACCCTTGCCTCCTCAAAAAATTAGTCAGGCTTGGTGGCTCATGCCTGTAGCTACAGATGCAGAGCACCCAGCTACAGAGCGACAGAGCAGGACCTACCTCAAAAAAATAAAAAAAAAAGTTGCAGATGTATTGTGGAATAAAATGCAGACTCCGCATGGGCATTTTTAAAATACTTTTGTTATTTTTGTAAAACTGAAAGTTTATTATTTTGAAAGTTTTCAAATAATAAAAGCTAAAAGAAGAAACATAGAGATAAGCATACTTTAGTGAACGTTCTTTCAGATGCCCTAATAATGATATTGTTAGGATGTTGATTGGTGCTTAATTTTATATACAAGGAGTTATGCCTTAATCGGGGGTGGGTTGACATGCTATCTTCCTTGGTCTGCGCAATCCCCCTCTCTGCTTTTATTTTTATTTTTCCCACCCCATTTCCTATCCCATCCCATTTTCCATCCCCTCAACCTTTAATCTTTTTTTAAATACATACAGTGGCATGATCATAGCTTATGCCATGAGCTATGAGTGTCTGTTCTCACACTTGAGCCTCTAACTCCTAGGCTCAAGCACTCCTCCCATCTCAGCCTCCTGAATAGTTAGGACTACAGGTGTGTGCCACCATGCCTATCTAATTTTTTAATTTTTTGTGGAGATGGGCTCTTGCTGTGTTGGGGTCAGGCTGATGAACTCCTGGGCTCAAGCATTCTCCCTCTTCTGTCTCTGGAGTAGCTGGGACTATGGGCATGTGCCACGACACCCAGCCCTTTAATCATTCTTACTGGCATTTTGGGGGTGTTAGAAAATGTGTATCATTTCAAGAGATGAATTCTAATATCTATATATAAAGAGTAGTAAGTTACACATCTCTTCTTCCTAAAAGTGGCAGTCTATCAGAGAAGGGATAATGGCAGGGGCCTGGAGGGCGTGAGTGTTGGCAGGCTTGACAGTGGTGGCCCAGTGCTGTTGAGCTATGAGATTGTCACCCAGGCCTTAAAAATCTACCATGGGGATAATTGGGAAAGTCCCGTTTCCACTGCTGGAGGCCATCCCATTAGCTAGGTCGGTGAGTGTCTCAAGGGCCCAGGCTTGGGTAGGAGACAGTGGGGAAGCAGGTATTACCTGCCTCATACCTGTAAGGATGGCTGGCAGGAGAGAATGCCTGGCACAGGCACCAAGTGCTTGGTTACTGTTCGTTATTGATGTTATTATAATGTTTCTCTCACCTGAAGGTAAGACAAGATAGTAATCTTGGGCCTGAAAGCCAGCTGGCTGGTAAATTTAGAGCTTCATCCAGCGAAGTCTGGGGATCCAGACTATACTCAGGTCCTGGGCTTGGGGGAATATGCAGAGCTGTTTCAGAGGACAGACAGGAAGGGAACTGGTCTCACCAACACCTTTGGGGGTTTCCGGTTTCCCCTTCCTGCACTATTACCTCACGTGGCAGCTGAATACGCAGGGCAGGGATTCTTCTTCCTGTTTCCTCACACAGAGGAGGAAATTGAGGGACAAAGACAGGAAGTGACTTGTATTAGGCCGTTCTTGCATTGCTATAAAGAAATACCAGAGATTTGGTAATTTATGAAGAAAAGAGGTTTAATTGGCTCACAGTTCTGCAGGCTTTATAGGAAGCATAGTCCTGGCATCTGCTTGGCTTTTGAGGAGGCGTCAGGAAACTTGCCATCATGGCAGAAGGTGAAAGGTGAGCAGGCACGTCATATGGTGAAGGCAGGAACAAGGTGGAGGGGACGTGCCACACACATTTAAACTACCAGATCTTGTGGGAACTCAGAGAAAGAGCTCACTTATCATGAAGGGGATGGCCCAGGTCATTCATAAGGGATCCACCCCCATGATCCAAACACCTCCCACCAGGCTCTACCTCCAACACTGGGGACTACAATTTGACATGAGATTTGGTAGGGACATACAGTCAAACTACATCATTCTGCCCATGGCCCCCACAAATCTCATGTCCTTCTCACATTGCAAAATACAATTATGCCTTTACAACAGTCCCCTAAAATCTTATTTGTTTTTTGTTTTTTTTTGAGACAGAGTTTCACTCTTGTTGCCCAGGCTGAAGTACAATGGTGCGACCTCGGATCACTGCGACCTCGGATCACTGCAACCTCTGCCTCCCAGGTTCAAGTGATTCTCCTGCCTCAGTCTCTGGAGTAGCTGGGATTGCAGGTACCCACCACCATGCCTGGCTAATTTTTAAATATTTTTAGTAGAGATGGCGTTTCACCATGTTGGCCAGGCTGGTCTTGAACTCCTGACCTCAGGTGATCCACCCGCCTCGGCCTCCCAAAATGCTGGGATTATAGGTGTGAGCTACCGTGCCTGGCCTAATTTTATTTTTTTGAGACAAGTTCTTGCTCTGTCACCCTGGCTGGAGTGCAGTGGTGCTATCTCGGCTCACTGCAACCTCCACCTTCCAGGCTCAAGTGCTCCTCCCATCTCAGCCTCCAGAGTAGCTAGGACCACAGGCACATGCCACCATGCCTGGCTAATTTTTATATTTTTTTTGTAGAGTTGGGGTTTCACCATGTTGCCCACGCTGGTCTTGAACTCCTGGACTTGAGTGATCCATCCACCTTAGCCTCCCAAAATGCTGGGATTACAGGTATGAGCTACTGCTCCTGGCCTACTTATTTATTCATTTTAAAAATTGTTTTATCAACTCCCAAGCACTTAGACTCCAAAGTCTTAACTCATTCCAGCATTAACTCAAAAGTCCCCCAGCCTGACCAACATGGTGAAAACCTGTCTCTACTAAAAATACAAAAATTAGCCGGGCTTGGTGGCACGCGCTTGTAATCCCAGCTACTCAGGAGACTGAGGCAGGAGAATTGCTTGAACCCGGGAGGCAGAGGTTGCAGTGAGCCAAGATCGAGCCACTGCACTCCAGCCTGGGTGACAGAGCAAAAATCCTACTCAAAAAAAAAAAAAAAAAAAAAGTCTCAAGTCCAAAGTCTTAGCTAGAGATGAGTCCCTTCCACCTAGGAGCCTGTAAAATCAAAAAGAAATTATTTACCTCCAAGATACAGTGGGGGTATAGGCATTGAGTAAACATTATCATTTCAAAAGGGAGAATTTGGCCAAAAGAAAGGGGCTACAGGCCCCATGCAAGTCCAAAATCCAGAAGCCATTCATTAAATCTTTTTTTTTTTTTTTTTTTTTGAGATGGAGTCTCATTCTGTCACCCAGACTGGAGTGCAGTGGTGAGATCTTGGCTCACTGTAACCTCCGCCTCCCAGGTTCAAACCATTCTCCTGCCTCAGCCTCCCAAGTAGCTGGGACTACAGGCATGTGCCACCATGCCCAGCTAATTTTTTTTTTTTTTTTTTTTGAGATGGCATTTTGCTCTTGTCGCCTAGGCTGGAGTGCAATGGTGGGATCTCGGGTCACTGCAACCTCCTCCTCCCAGGTTCAAGCAATTCTCCTGCCTCAGCCTCCTGAGTAGCTGGGATTACAGGTGCCCACGACCACGCCCAGCTAATTTTTTGTGTATTTTTAGTAGAGACAGTGTTTCACCATGTTGGTCAGGCTGGCCTCGAACTCCTGACCTCAGGTGATCCACCTGCCTTGGCATCCCAAAGTGCTGGGATTACAGGCATGAGCCATCGCATCTTGCCTAATTTTTGCATTTTTAGTAGAGATGGGGTTTCACCATGTTGGCCAGGCTGATCTTGAACTCCTGACCTCAGGTGATCTGCCCACCTCAGCCTCCCAAAGTCCTGGTGTTAGATATGAGTCCTAAATTTCTCTTCAAAGAGTCAATATGTCAGTATGTTCCATTCTTTGCCTTCTACTTTTAAACTTAACTTCCTCATAAAGCAACCTTTTTCCATCACCTGCTCCACCCTGACTCATTCCGATTACCTGCTCCACCCTGACTCATTTCAATTACCTGCTCCGCCCTGACTCATTCTCCACCCTGACTCATTCCATAACCATTTTTCCTGCCAAACCACTTACCTCATCACTCTCTTTAAATTAGCCAATCAGAATTAGTTTAGCCTGTGCAGTCTAACCCTAGCCAATAGGGGAACAACACAGCAGCAGGAGAAATTCTTCCCCTCCCTTGCCCAGGTTTGCACTCACCATTGCTCCATCTGTGAGGGCGCACCCTTCTATAGAAGTAAATTGCCTTGCTGAGACGAAAAAAAGAAAATTTTATATTCAAGTGCTATTTCTTTTGCTGCACCAAAACTTTATAACACTGGGATTACAGGCATGAGCCACTGCGCCCAGCCCATTCATTAAATCTTAATGCTCCAAAACAATCTTCTTTGACTCCATATCCTGCATTCAAGGCACACTGGTGGGAAGGGTGGGTTCCCAAGGCCTTGGGCAGCTCTGCCCCTGTGACTTTTCCATGCTGAAATTGCAAGCCATTGGTGGCTCTAACATTCCTGGGTCTGGAGGATGGCAGCCTCCTTCCAACAGCTCCACCAGGCAGTGCCCCACTGGGGACTCTGTGTGTGGGGTCTAACTCCACATTTCCCCTTGGCACTGCCCTAGTAGAGATTCTCTGTGAGGGCAGTGCTACAGCAGCAGGCTTCTGCCCAGACACCCAGGCTTTCCTCATACATCCTCTGAAATCTAGGCGGAGGCTGCCAAGCCTTCACTTTTGGACTCTGTGCACCCACAGGATTAACATAATATGGAAGCTGCCAAGGCTTACCACTTGCATTCTCCAAAGTGAGACTGCAAAGTGGCAGCAGCTTGAGCTATACTTGGGCCCCTTTGAGCCCTGGCTGGAGCTGGAGTGGTCAGGATGTGGGAAGCAGTGTCCTGAGGGTGTGCAGGGCAGCAGGGCCCTAGGCCTGGCCCATGAAATCATTCTTCCCCACTAGGCCTCAGGGCCTGTGATGGGAGGGGCTGCCACAAAGGTCTCTGAAATGCCTTCAAGACCTTTTCCCCATTGTCTTGGTTATTAGCATTTGGCTCCCTTTTAGCTATGCAAATATCTCTAGCAAGTCGTTGTGCCACAGCCTGCTTGAATTCTCTCCTTGAAAATGGGCTTTACTTTTCTACCACATGGCCAGGTTGTAAAATTTCCAAACTTACACATTCTGCTTCCCTTTTAAATATAACTTCTGCCCAGGCATGGTGGCTCATGCCTATAATCCCAGCACTTTGGGAAGCTGAGGCAGGTGAACTGTCTGAGGTCAGGAGCTCAAGACCAGACAGACCAACATGGTGAAACCCTGTCTCTACTAAAAATACAAAAAAATTAGCCAGGTGTGGTGGTGCATGCCTGTGATCCCAGCTACTCGGGAGGCTGAGGCAGGAGAGCTGCTTGAACCTGGGAGGTGGATGTTGCAGTGAGCTGAGACTGCACCATTGCACTCCAACCTGGGCAACAAGAGTGAAACTCCATCTCAAAAACAAACAAATAAATGAATAAACAAAAAATATACATATGTTCCAACTTTAAGTCATTTCTTTGCTCCCACAGCTGAGTATAGGTTGTTAGAAGCAGCCAGGCCATATTCTGAGTGCTTTGCTGCTTAGTAATTTCTTCTGCAATACCCTAAATCAAACTTCCACAGATCCCTATGGCATGAACACAATGCAGCCAAGCTCTTTGCTAAGGCATAACATGCGTTACTTTTGCTCCAGTTACCAATAAGTTCCTCATTTCCATCTGAGACTTTGGCAGCCTGGACTTCATTGTCCATATCACTATCAGCATTTTGGTCACAGCCATTTAACCAGTCTCTAAGAAGTTCCAAACTTTCCCTCATTTTCCTGTCTTCTTCCAAACTCTCCAAACTCTTTTTTTTTTTTGAGACGGAGTCCCACTCTGTTGCCAGGCTGGAGTGCAGTGGCACAATGTTGGCTCACTACAACCTCCACCTCCCGTGTTCAAGTGATTCTCCTGCTTCAGCCTCCTGATTAGCTTGGAGTACAGGCACGTGCCACCATGACTGGCTAATTTTTGTATTTTTAGTTAGAGACAGGGTTTCACCATATTGGCCAGGCTGGTCTTGAATTCCCAACCTCAGATGATCTGCTCACCTCAGCCTCTGAAAGTGCTGGGATTACAGGTGTGAGCCACCATGCCCAGCCTGAGCCCTCCAAACTCTTCCAAACTCTACCTGTTACCCAGTTCCAAAGTCACTTCTACACTTTCAGGTATCTTTATAGTAATGCCCCAATCCTTGCTATCAATTTTCTGTATTAGGCCGTTCTTGCATTGCTATATTAAAAAAAATACCTGAGACTGGGTAATTTATAAAGAGAAGAAGTTTAACTGGCTCACAGTTCTGCAGGCTTTATAGGAAGCATGGTGCTGGCATGTGCTTGGCTTCCAGGGAGGCCTCAGGAAGCTTGCAATCATGGTGGAAGGTGAAGTGGGAACAGGCACATGGTGAAAGCAGAAACAAGAGAGCGAATGGAGGGGGAGTTGCCACACACTTTTAAATGACCAGATCTTGTGTGAACTCAGAGCAAGAGTTCATTTATCACCAAGAGCATGGCCCAAGCCATTTATGAGGGATTAGTCTCCATGATCCAAACACTTCCTACCAGGTCCTACCTCCAACACTGGGGATTACAATTCAACATGAGATTTGGCAGGAAGATACGCTCAAACTATATCATGACCCCTCAGGGTTGTACAGTTAGTAAGCGGTATCCTTTGGCTACTTTCCAAAAGCTGAAGCACCTTAAACCTCTGCTGAGACTACTTAACAAGCCCCCTGGCTTTGGTGAAAAGTGCAGACCTGGGGTAAGACCCTTCCAGCTGTGTAACCTTAACCTCTCGGTGCCTTTGTTCCCTCACCTGTAAAAGGGAGATGATCATGACTTTTTTGTTGCTTCTTTAGAACTCAGCTTTAGGATTAAAGAGATAGTATGCATTTCCAGCTGGGAGATGGCCCCAAAAATGTGCCTTCAGGGAGGGCAGCTGAGTCTTCATCCCTCCAGCTCCCAGCCCTGTGAGCAAAAGGTCCCCTCCTCTCTTGCTCTAAAGAAGATGTGTGTCTGCCTCCACCCACCTCACCTGATCACTTCACCTGAGGTTCGAATGTGGAAAAAATCTGATTTTTTCTCATTGTTTTTTCTTGCTACAAATTATTGCAAATCCTTATTTATAAAAGCAATACATACTTTAAAAATTACTAAATTTATATAAAGAGAACACACCTGACAGGGTGGCTCAAGCCTGTATCCCAGCACTTTGGGAGGCTGAGGCAGCTGGATCGCTTGAACTCAGGAGTTTGAGTCCAGCCTGGGCAACATGGGGAAACCCTTTCTCTACCAAAAATACAAAAACTAGCCGAGTGTGGCGGTGTGGGCCTGTGGTAGCAGCTACTGGGGAGGCTGAGGTGGGATGATCGCTGGAGCCCAGGAAGTCGAGGCTGCAGTGAACTGAGATCTCACCGCTGCACTCCGGCCTGGGCAACAGAGCGAGACCCTGTATCTAAATAAATAAATAAATAAATAATAAATAAATAAGTGGCCATCCTTTATTTTAATGGACGCGCATCTAGTCCACTGGGGTTCTTCCTAGCGATTGTCTCTCGCTCCTGGCTCTGGCTTGCGTCTATGGTTTGAGGATGACTTAGGGGAAAATACCACAGTGGGGCATGGTCCCATGGGTCTACACGGCCCTCCAGGCTCCGGCCTCCCTGGACGGCCGGGGTCCTGGGCTCGGGCAGTCCTGCCATTCTCGGGGTGGGTGGCCCGGACCGGGGTAGGCTCACCTGTGGCTCGCGCCGGGGTCTTTGTTGCAACCGAGGGTCAGGAACCGCAAATGGCCCAGCGTGAAGCATTCTCCCGTGCAGATTGGCCACGGGGGAATTCTTCACGCGGTATTTGCGATTCCTGACACTCGGTTCCAACAAAGATCCCGGCGCGAGTCAGAGGTGAGCCCGCCCCGGTGTGGTCCCCCGGGTCCCTCCTCTAGCCTGCAGACGCGCCTCCCTGAAACTCCGCCGCGAATCCCGTCCTTCCCCTCGCCGGCGGCTTTAGCCTGGTTACCTCCCGACCACTGGGGTGCCGCCGCCTGGGCCAGCAATTTAGAGCATGGCGCCTCAGTTTCCTCATCTGGAAAGTAGGAGCGGATCCAGCACTTAACGCAAGCTGTTGGGAAGGGGGAGGCCTGTAGTGTGTGGGGAATGCGAGGGTCTAGGTTGTTGCTAGTCCTCCGCAGGAGACGAAGAGGAGGGGTCCGGGCTGGCTGAGGGCGCTCGGTGCTCTCAGGGCCCTGGCTGTGCTCTGGACCCTGGGCTCTGGCCCCAAGAGATTCCTTGGAAACCCACCCTCCCCTTAATCCCACATTTGGGAAAACTGGAGGCAGAAGTGGAGCCTCCTGGCAATTGAGAAGAACAGCCAGGACGGAAACAAGTCTCAGAGTCTGGGCCCTCTGGGATCTGGGGAAAGGGGTTCAGCCTAGTGGCCACCTCTAGCCCCATCCTTTAGCCCTGTCTGCCGGCGCCTCAGCCCCCTCACCCAGGCCTTGAGGGAGGGGTCGGTCAGTGACGGTGATGGTGGTGACTATTCAGCGTAGCTTCTGCAGGTGCCTCCAGGGAGTTGTGGGTCCTCTGAGGCAGCCATGCCCTCCTCCCAGCCTGGGAACACCAAGCTACCACCTGTGGTCAGGGACCTATATGAGAAAGTCAAGTAGACACCATTACCAACATCCTAAGTCATTTCTAGGGCTGGAAAAGGGAGGGGAGGCCTGCCACAGACCTCCCTTTCCCCACCTGTCCAGCTCACTCTGGGGCCTTCAGCACCCCTGTCCTGCACAGTCCGGGGGTGTCCCTTTTAGAGAGCCCCCAAAACTCTAAGCCTGTCCACACTCCTCTGCCTTCGCACACCTGCTTTCCTCTGCCTGGAATTCCTGCCGCATCCTGTATCTGTAAACCCTACTCATCCTTCAAGGCACAGCTCAAAAGTCACCTCCTCCAGGAAGCCTCTCTCCTCTCCCAGGTAGAAATGCCCTTCCCTTATCTTTTTACTCTCACTGTTCAGACAGTACTGTGTTGGCTCACAGCGCACCCTCCTAAACCAGCTGTAGGTGGCTGTGGAACAAGGTTCTCTATAAGGTGCTCCTGGCATCCTGAGAGGCAGTTTGTTTTGTGAGGGACCTGAACACCTCTGCTCCCTGCCCAGTCACGTGACAACCAAATGCCCTTTCACATATCCGGACACCCCCAAAGGGGGCTGCCCATCCTTGGGAGAGAACCACAAGCAAGGCTTAATAAAGCATTTCTGGAAAAAATGATTAAGTGAATGAGTGAATGAATAAAGTGTTAGAGAGAGGCTGGACTGGTTTGATGTGGGGTAAGGAGACCAATGAGTCAGGCTCTGGGTGGGTAGGAACCATGAAGAGAAACTGGGGGCCATCAGAGGGCGGGTCTGGAGGCTCAGGAAGGCAGAGGAGTCGACTGCCAGCCCCCTCAGCCCCTTAGTTTCTTAATGCCCCCACCTTTATAACACAGCTCCAGCCAGAACTTCTCCCTGAACAGCAGACTAGGACTATGGGCACGCACCACCATATCCGGCTGATTTTTGTATTGAGGAGACTTGGTTTTGCTTTGTTGCCCAGGCTGGTCTCGAACTCCTGGCCTCAAGCGATCTGCCCCTCTCAGCCTCCCAAAGTGCTGGGATTACAGGTGTGAACCACCACGCCCGGCCTAGTTGACACCTAAATCCTGGTTGGCACCCACTAGTGGGTAAGAGGAGGGGAAAAGGGATGCTGCAAGAGGTGACTCTGGACCTGAGCAAGATAAGTCGAGACCCTCAGATCCTCTCCCACAGTGGAGAAATTGATGTTCAGCTGGCAAAGGCTACTTCCAACCCTTGCAGGCCCACAGAATGCAAACGTACCTCATTCATGCCACATCACTCCCTTGCAGAACCCTCCACTATGAAAAAAGAGTGCTTCCTGGCCTCATCCAGGTCTTCTGTGGGTCACTAGGCCCAGCCTCTTGGATCCTGCACACGATGGGACTGGGTTGGGTGACTTCTCCCAGGAAACTCAGGGCCCATCTATGGTGGTCAACATCACACATCACACAAGGTCTGGGGAAACTGGCCCTGCAAGATGAGGCTGGCCTGTAGTACCAGCCACAAGGCCCTGCTTCCGGGTGATGCTGATGCTGCCTATCCATGGACTACATGTTGAGTAGTGAGGCTTTAAAGGACATGCACTTCCAAAATTATTTAAACTTTGCCAATAGTTTACATAAAATAATTTATGTGTGAGCACCTAGATAATAGTTATTTAATTTGGCCAGGCACAGTGGCTCATGCCTGTAATCCCAGCATTTTGGGAAGCTGAGGTGGGTGGATCACTTGAGGCCAAGAGTTCAAGGCTAGCCTGGCCAACATGGTGAAAACTAGTCTCTACTAAAAATACAAAACTTAGCTGGGTGTGGTGGTGCATGCCTGTAATCCCAGCTACTCGGGAGGCTGAGGCAGGAGAATCACTTGAGCCAGGGAGGAGGAGGTTGCAGTGAGCTGAGATCGTACCACTGCACTCCAGCCTGGGCAACAGAGTAAGACTCCACCTCAGAAAAAAAAAAAAAAAGTTATTTAATTCAAAATCAAGAAGATGTAAAGCTCCGCAATCCATGCTTAATGCTAAAACTTAAAGATGGTATGAAAAATAACATTATGAACAAGTTTGCCATAGTCTACTGGCAAATAATAAAAGTAATGCTTGGAATAGTGTCCGTGGCCCTGCTCTCCCGGGGTCCTTCACCCACACTGTTACACCCAGCAGACATGAAGCCAAATCCTTTTCTACCCTAAAACTCCCAGTTTAGGCTTCCTCTAGATTCTTGCAGATTAAGTTCAACCAAATTAGAGCCCAATCGTATTAAAACACACAAAATTAGATCTGAATACGACGGAAAGACAGGTCTTGTTCTAGTTTAAGCTCTAAGATGCAGGGAATTTTATCAGTTTTGTTTACTGCTTTGTCCCCATACCTAAAATTCAGTATTTTTAATTAAAAATAAATCGTGAGGCTGGGCACGGTGGCTTACGCCTGTAATCCCAGTACTTTGGGAGGCCAAGGCAGGCAGATCACCTGAAGTCAGGAGTTCAAGACCAGCCTGGCCAACATGGTGAATCCCCCATCTCTACTAAAAATACAAAAATTAGCCGGGCGTGGTGGCAGGTGCCTGTAATCCCAGCTACCCCAGAGGCTGAAGCAGGAGAATTGCTTGAACCCGAGGCGGAGGCTGCAATGAGCCCAGATCGCGCGATTGCACTCCAGCCTGAGTGACAGAGCAAGACTCCGTCTCAAAAAAAAAAAAAAAAAAAAAAAAAAAAAAAAATCAAGAATGAAGGAGAGTTCTGCTTGGAATGCAGGGGCTAAGTGCCCCAGCCCCTCCATCCTGGGTCGGGGGCACACATCCTGTCTGTTAGGGGTGCTACGTGTAAACTGTTCCCCAGGCCATCCCAACAGGAGAATAAGCCCTGAGGTCCTGGGAGCCACTGGAGGGATCTGAGCATGCTGCAATTTACAACTTTACAATTTCATTCTGGCTGCTCTGCTGTCTATAGATTGGAGGGTGAGCAAGGGGAAGTAGGAAGACCAGTTAGGAGATCATTGTAGTAATCCAGGTTCTTTTTTTTTTTTTCCTGGGCTGGGGGGGACAGAGTCTTGCTCTGTTGCCCAGGCTGGAGTGCAGTGGCACAATCTCGGCTCACTGCAATTTCTGCCTCCTGGGTTCAAGCGATTCTCCTGCCTCAGCCTCCCAAGTGGCTGGTATTATAGGCACCCACCACCATGCCCGGCTAATTTTTGTATTTTTAGTAGAGACAGGGTTTCACCATGTTGGCCAGGCTGGTCTTGAACTCCTGACCTCATGATCTGCCCTCTTCGGCCTCCCAAAGTGGAGGGATTACAGGCGTGAGCCACTGCGCCCGGCCCATAATCCAGCTTCTAAAAGATATGCTGATGGTGTGGACTAGTATGGCAAGAGAGGAGAGAACTGGATTGGAAGTAGCGTCAACAGAACTAGGTCATGACTTGGTTATTGGAGAGGAGGAAGAAGGAAATGAATGACCCTCAACTTCTCCCACCTCCAAAACCCACTGCTGGGTTCCTAAATGAGCAACTGGGTAGGTGAGAAGATTGGGGGAAACTGGGGGATGACCAGGTTTGAGGATAAAATCAAAATTTCCACTTTGAACTATGATCATATTGGACATATCCAAGTGAACGCATGAATCTGGGCCAGTCCAAAAAATAAGATTCCAGACACCTTCCTCACATGTGGGATAAGGTGGTACCAGCTAGGGAGAATGCATGGAGTGAAATCAGAACCCAGGGCTGAGCTCTAAGGCCTCTTATATTCAGAAGTTAGAAAAAGGTGGTGGTGGGCAGTATGAGTGGAGAACAGGGATGGTCTCTGAGACAAGGAGAGGTGAGCACCCTAAGGCAAGGGAGAGAGGAAAAGTGAGGAGCTTGTAAGGACACACACCATGCTCACTCTGGTGATCTCAATCCCTGCTGGTGGGGCAAGAATCTCCCTAACCACAAGGGTCCCACTCCCTAAGAGAAGCAGGTGCCCACCCTAAGGGGGACCCCAGATGAGTCAGGAAAATGAATTAGAAATTTAAAAATTGCCCACAAAAACAGAGGCTCAGATGGCTCCTTTGGTGAATTCTATCAAACATTTTAAAAAGAAAAAATACCAATCCTTCACACACTCTTTCAGAAATAGAGATGTAAGCAACACTCCCTAACTCATTCTGTAAAGCTGGTGTTACTGACCAAAGACATCACATGGAAAGGAAACTACAGAAAATATCTCAAGTGAACACAGATGCAAAAATACTTAATATTAGCAAACCACATCTGACAACATAAAAAATAATTATACACCATAACCAAGTGGGATTTATCCCAGGAATGCAACGTTGGATCGACATCTTAAAAATAAATTAATGTTATAACATTAACAGGCTAAAGAACAAAAACCACATGTCACCTCATAGATGCAGAAAAAGCATCTGATGAAATCTCACACCAATTCATGATACAAACTCTCAAGAAACTAATAACAGAATGAAACTTCCTCAATTTGGAAAAGGTATAGATGAAACACCCACAGGTTAACATCAACTTGAACAGTGATGGACTGAAGGTTTTCCTCCCTAAGATTGAGAACAAGGCAAGGATGTCCACTTTTGCCACTTTCATTCAACACTGTACTAGATTTCTAGCCAGTACAATAAGACAGGAAAAAATTAAAGGCATACAGATTGGAAAGAAAGAAGTAAATGTCTTTATTTGCAGATGACATGATAATGTAGAAAATCTCAAGGAAGACACACACGGACATTTTTTTAAAAAATGATAAAACTAACAGATTGAATTTAGACAGGTCACAGGATATAAGATCAATAAACAAAAATCAATGGTATTTCTATATACTAGCACCAAAAAGTCTGAAAACAAAATTCAGCAAGCAATTCCATTCGTAATAGCAAAGTAATATGAACATTTTAACAAAAGGAGTGTAAGATGTATATACTGAAAATAACAAAATATTGCTAAGAGAAATCAAGGAATATCTAAATAAATGGACACAAACTCCATGTTCACAGACTGGAAGACTTCATATTGTCAAGATGGCAATTCTCAACTTGATCTGTAAATTAAACACAATATATATTTAAAACCTCAGAAGGCTTTTCTGTAGTAACTGACAATCTGATCATAAAAGTGACATGGGAATGCAAAGTATCTAGAAAAGTCAAAAGAATTTTGAAAAATAACAAAGTTGGAGGTGTTACATTACCTGATTTAATGACTTACAAATACTTTAAAGCCAGAGTCATCAATAACACACAATCATGGACAGGCACAGATCAATGGAACAGAACTAAGAGTTTAGAAATAAACCCTTATATTTATGCCCAATTGATTTAGACAAAGGTATCAAAGCAATTCAATGGGGAAAAGATACTCTACAACAAATGGTGCTTGGACAAATGGAAATCGGTCCATGAAAAGATGAATTTAGACTCTTCCCTTACACCATGCCCAAAAATGAACACAAAGTGGATCACATACCTACATGTAAGAATAAAACAAGAAGACTTCAAAAAGTTCTTAAGATACGACACCAAAGGCATGATCCATAAAAGAAACAACTGATAAACTAAACTTCATCAAAGTAAAAAACTTTTACAATTCAACCACCACCACTAAGAAAATGAAAAGAGCCCTTGTTAGTATAGTGGTGAGTAAAAAAAAAAAAAAGAGAAAGGGCTGGGCGTGGTGGCTCACGCCTGTAATCCCAGCACTTCGGGAGGCCGAGGAGGGCAGATCACGAGGTCAGGAGATCAAGACCATCCTGTCCAACATGGTGAAACCCCGTCTTTACTAAAAATACAAAAATTAGCCAGGCGTGGTGGCGGGCACGTGTAGTCCCACTACTCAGGAGGCTGAGGCAGGAGAATTGCTTGAACCTGGGAGGTGGAGGTTGCAGTGAGCCAAGACCACACCACTGCACTCCAGCCTGGCGACAGAGTAAGACTGTCTCAAAAAAAAAAAAAAAAAAAAAAAAAAAAAAAAAGAGAGAGAGAGAAAGAAAGAAAATGAAAATAAAGACAAGCTAAGACTGGGATAAAACATTTGCAAATAATATATTTGATAAATAAAGGATTTGTATCCAGAATATGTAAAACTTTCTTACAATTCATTAATAAGACATGTGAACCAATTTAAAAATGGGCAATAATTGAATAGATATTTCACTAAAGATATACAAATGGTTAACAATCGCATGAAGATGCTCAAAATCATTAGTTGTCAGAGAAATGCAAATGAACCATAATGAGATGCCACTTTGCATCCACTAGAATGGCTACAACAAAACAGAAAAGTCCAAGTGCCGACAAGAATGTGGAGGAACCTGAACCATTCATTATACATTGCTGGTGGAAATGTAAAGAGGGACAGCCACTTTGGAAAAGCTTGGCAATTTCTTAAAAAGTTAAACCTAAACCTACTATATGATCCCAGCAGTTTCACTCCTAGGATCTACCCAAGAGGAATGAAAATATATGTCTAACAAAGACTTATAAATGAATGTTCATAGCCGTATTATTCATAATAGCCCCAAATTGGAAACAATCTAAACATTTATCAATCGGTGAATGAACAAAATATGGTATAAGTGGAATACAACTTAAAAACAATAAAAGGAACTATTGGTACATTCTACAATATGAATGAACTAAATTATTCTAAAGTAGGAAGCCAGACACAGAAGGCCACATATTATATGATTCCACTTATGTGAAATGTCCAGAATAGGAAAATCTATAGAGACAAAATAAAATAGTGGTTGCCTGATGATGCAGGTGAAAAGGGGAACTGCAAAAGGGATTAACTGAGTGATGAAAATATTTTAAAACAAGATGGTGATAATGGTTGCACAGCTCTGTACATTTACTAAAAGTCATTGAGTTGGACACTTAAAATGAATGAACTTTAAGGTATGTAAACTATGACTCAATGAAACTATTAAAAAATCAGTGACGTAAAAAGGAGGAAGACAAGGGAAGCATGATTAGGTGACATTTGAATGTGGATATACCTGATTGTCCCTAAATTCTTCAAGAAGCTATTGTTCAGCCTCTTCTTCATGTCCATTGTTGTGTCTACAGTAATGGAGAGTCTCACAGAGCTCACCACGTAGCAGGTAAAACAGGTAAACAGGTCACTGCATGGTAGAATATGGCCAAGGGCCAGCACAGCAGATGGAGGAGGAGTGCCACGCTGACCAGAGATGTTTTCATGAAGGTAACATCTAAACTGAGATCCTGAAGACCGCTGCTGGGCAGCTGAGAGGAAGTGTCAGTATCTCAGTGACATTCTATGTCATGCTATGAAGTTTAGGTTTTATGAACTGCAGAACTAAGCTGGGCGTGGTGGCTCACACCTGTAATCTCAACACTTAGGGAGGCCAAGGCGGGAGGATTGCTTGAAGCTAGGCATTCAAGACCAGCCTAGGCAACATAGTGAGACCGATTCTCTACAAAAAATAAAAAAAATAGCCAGGCATGATGGTGCATACCTGCTGTCTCAGCAACTCAGGAGGCTGAGGTGGGAGGATCGCTTGAGCCCAGGAGTTCAAGGCTGCAGTAAGCAATGTTGTGTACTGTTAGGTTATTGTGAGTAGCAATAAAAAGCAGCAGTGCTGGACTTTGGGGTGAAATGGAGTGGGCTCTGCTGTTGGTCATGAGGGGGAAAGGAGTCCAAATAACAAAAACAAAGAAAGAAAGAAAAAAGAAATGGAAAGTCAAGCAGATGAATCCAGTTTGACTTAGCAGTCCACTCTTCACCTATGGGGCTCTTTGGCTCTGGTCAAGGGGGCATAGATTACATGGAAAGGGCTGCTACTACTTTACAAGCAACAGGCCTTTCTCCCAGAGGGCAGAGTTCCCAGATAGTCTGGCTATCTCTTTCAGCATGAAGGCACCTGCTTCTTCACTCTTCCCCTTGCTGCCCAGTCTGCTTTTCCAAGGTCTATGACTGTTGGGAGGAATGCTGCTCCCTTCACAGGTGGAAGACACTGCTGTCCTTAGGCAGACTGGACTGTGAGTGTGGAGATCTGGTCTCAATTTCTCACAATGCCACTGGTTAGCTGGAGTCAGGTCAATTACTTGGCCATTCTGAGGCAGTTTCCTTATGCTAAAATGTTACCTGCTCCGTGGGGATTACTGAGGACCATGTGAGATTCAACTGATAAGAGTGTTTATATGTAAGACATGTCCTGGTGGGGTGTGTGTGGGAGTGATATGCCTTCCAAAAACTTAAAAAAATTAAGTTGCCATCCAGGAGTCCAATGGACAAGATTGATCACAAGCTGACTTTTGGAAAAGTGTGACTGAAGAGTTTCCCAACAGGCAAAACCACACTAACCACAGTGTAATCTTGGAAGAGCAGATCTGGAATGCGGCTGTATTTGGGGAAGTGAAACTGAAGATGGGAGTATAGTTCTCACACTGAAGAGCATGCAAATCACCAAGGAAACTTGCTCACGCCAGAATGCTGAGCTGCACCCCAGCCCTAGGGAACCTGTCTCTAGAGAGGGACTTAGGAACGGATCTGTGGTTTAAACATTTTCCAGTGACTTTTATGTGCACCAAAGTTAAAGCACCTCTCGCCTAGAGCATAAAAAAGGAGCTGGAGATGCTGATTCCAGGCAGTCAACAGGCAGCCACATTCCACTGGGAAACTCTGGAGTTTTAGGGCAGTGAATGGAGAAAAGGGGAAATCCGAGAGTAGGGGCGATCAGGACAGGCACCAATATGCAGTCCCAAAGTGCAAATGAAGTCTTTGCATATTTTTCACCAGAAGTGACTCTCATAAAATAAATCTCTCCAAAGACTACTTTTGCTGTACATCTGGCTTTTCCCTTATATTCACAGAAATATTCCCATTTTGTCCAATATATTTTTTTCAGTGAATCACAATTAAAAAACAAACATGTACTTCTAATATCTGAGAAATAAACCAAGAAAGGACAAGAGCTATTAGGAGTGTTCTCTTTATTTCTCTTTGGTTTCTTAACACAAAAGACATGCATTCTATAAATAAAAGGAACTAAGATTTTCTGGGAAACCATAAATTGGGAGGAATTCCCACAGTCACACCTCTGTGGTCAAGAGGATGGTCTTCAGCCCCCATCTGGCTGTAATCTCTGATGAAATCCAGAAGAGAAGGCCCGTGTGTTATCCAAGAAGGTGAAACACTCAAGGACAGTGAATGCCACAGTCCTCTGCTCAGAGCTGGGCTAGGCCCCAAGGCCCACTGAGTACAATGTCTACCCTATCTCCTTGTTACATCCTTTTTACAATATCCTTGGGTGATGCTTCTTTTCATGGGGCTATTGGAAAGGCTCCAACACCAAAGAGCCAGACCAGCCATTTACGAATAGCCATTCACCATCGGACTGAGGAACCTACTGGGAGAGTGTGAATATGTTGGTGTTTCCTGACTTGTGCTCAGAGCCCAGATCAAAACACTGGCTTGATCTTACTTTGAAACATCGACCTCAGGTGCAGCAGTGTAAATTCTACACCAGGAGGTGGGATTGGACTCAGGAAGTCCACTACAAGAGCAGCAGGCCATGGTAGAAAATGATCTGCCATACCCAGTGGCAAAATCTGGGCCAGTATCCTAAGGACCCACTCAGTAGCCCACAGACCGATTCTTAATACCTTCACAATCCAGGCTTGTTGGTGCTACTTCAAATTCACAAAAGAAAGGGGCTTATAATAAGACAAGCACTGATACACTCCTAACAGGAAATGCACACCCCACCCACCTTCCGAGTCTACCCCTACAGGCAAACCAGGAAGGAGGGAGAAATGCTGGAGCCCTACCACGAGCCCAGGTTAAACGACATCCGATATCAGATTGTTGAGACGTTAAAAATAAAAATATCATTTTCAAGTGCTTGTAGCAGAGGCCTAGCTCCTAAGTTGTAGGTAACAAAGGTACTTCCCTCTGAATACATGGCGATTGCACACACTGGTAAACCTGACGGTCCTGGGGTGGGGGAGACACCCCAGGCTCCACATTGTGCCTTTCTGAACAGGCTTCCAGGCCACCCCAGGCAGGCAGCAAAGGATAGGAAACCAAGCAGGTGGAGACTGGAGCCCTAAGACTCAGTCTTGGGTTACAGGAATTGAATCTTCTTTTAGTCTCTACTGGAAGAATTTTAGAAAACCAATTTTGGCAGCAGCAGTTGAAGGACAGCCCCACTGCCCAGTGCACTGGCAAGAGAAAATGTCCTCCTCTTTGAGTCCCGCTGTGCTACATTAGGTCCTATCCAG
Organism: Homo sapiens; assembly: GCF_000001405.40. NCBI lineage: Eukaryota > Metazoa > Chordata > Mammalia > Primates > Hominidae > Homo > Homo sapiens. Next base: position 47,345,509 of record NC_000003.12, on the reverse strand, counting down.
GGAGGAGGAAGCAATATGAAATCTTTCCAAAAGGTAAAGGTCATTTGCCAAGATTAGAGGAAGAAATATAAAATCTGTTCTTTGCAGCAGCAAGAGATTCTTTCGGCCTTTAGTTCTTTATGTCATAAAAGCCAGCTGTGCTTGAATGTAAAGGTCCACCTTGCTGGTCAGTCTGCCCAGGGCTGGAGGGAGGCCAGACTCTTGGGATTGGCGAGTGGATGGAGGAGCAGTGGAATGGCAGAGCAGACAAGGTTACCAGACCAAGCCCGCCCACAGCTGGTAGAAGGAAGCCCTGGTTAGGTTCTAGAGGTGCATATGGTCAACGTGCCCCAGAAGCATCACAATGAGGGAAATCATCCAAGAACGAGATTGATGGGCAAGTGAGAATCTGGCCAGACCTGCTGTTTCCTGCTGGTCAAAAAAGGAAGCAATGTTAGTGAGAGTGGGGAATCTGAATGAGCGCCATGGTGGCAGTAGGAGGTAATCACAGGGGCGCCTGGAGCCCCCAGCCACAGCTAGGAGCCCCCACCAAGAAGAGTGGCAGTAATTCAGCAGATAGCCTAACTCTCTACGCCTATGATTTTAAAAGTCCTCTGATGGTGGGTGAGAAGACAAACCCCATGAGCACCTTACTACAGGCCCAGTCAAGAGTGCACTGATTCCACACACACTGGGGCTCAGAGGGAACCCCCAGCTCAATGCGAGGCCTCAGGACCCTGGGATCCGAATGTGGGGTGGATACCGCCCTTCTCCAGTTAGACGATTTTCCATTTAAACATAGATTTGCCGTTAGTGTCTTTTATGCTTTTTTCTTCTTGCAAAATTTGTTCACATAAAAAAATTATTTTTCTTTCCAGTTTCTTTCAAGTGTTTCTTTGTTTAAATTTCCTTCAGTTTCTTTCAAGTATCTTTTTTTCCCTTCTGTTCTCCTGGACAGATCAAAAGGCCTCACTGAAATCCCAAAATTAGACATGGGGAAAACTTCTCTTCTCCCTGCTTACCCAGCAATGAGGACAGAATCCTTGGTGCCCCACTGTGGAAGAAGGAATGTGCCTGTGTGCAGCCTTCCACTGCTGTGGCCACACCATCTCAGGCAGGGAGAACGCTTGGGTCTGTCCTTTCGTCCCCAGCTACATCCCAGTTTCCAGCAGGCTTGGACACTGCAGCCTCCCCATGGCAAATTGGCCAGACTCGGCTGGAGAGCAAGCAGGCGATGGGGAGCATCAGATGGAAGGCCTTCTGTGAACAGCTGGCCCACAGAGAGGCGGTGGGTAGGAGCTGGGCCTGGATGGAGCCTGTGTTCATGTGGACCAGAAAACAGTTCCATGTCACCAGCTGCAGGATCCAGAGGAGCTTGTGTTCCATGCTGTGCATCTTGATGACCCAAGCCTGAAGGTCACAAGGGTGGCACAGTGGGGGAGGGCTTAAGCACCTGGAAAAACTGTACCTCCGGCGAGCTCACGTTTCGCCATCTCTTCTGGTCCACTGCCTCTCCTGAGGGACTGTTCCTGGAAGGAAGCGCCTATGTCTGTACCAGATCCCTGCCCCACCACATCCCATCCTCTGCCTTAGATGGTGAGGAGAGGGATGCAGCCCACACCGACCCCTCCCTCATGGCACGCCATGGGGGCCATGAATGTCCAGCAGTCTGTCTCTGGGTCATACATCTCCACTGAGCTTAGGTTTGACTGTCCGTCGTAGCCCCCAACAGCGTAGAGGCGCCCACAGCTGGCCACCAGGGAGACCCGGCTCCTGCGCGTGTGCATGGGGACAATCAGGCACCACTGGTCTGCCACAGAGCTGTACATCTCGGCAATGCTGAGGAAGCCAGAGCCATCGTAGCCCCCGCAGACAAACATCTTGCTCCCCAGGGAGGCGGCTCCGTGCCGGCAGCGCTTGTTGAGCATGCCAGCTGCAGGGTGCCAGGTGGCTGTGTGGTGGTTGTAGTGTTCCACCTGCAGTGGGGAGAGAGGCACAGGTACAGGACAGTCAGAGGCAAAGCTCAGTCCATGGAGTGACCGTGCAGGGCACAGCAGCCCCCCATGATGTCAAACTCCTGTGGGAGGTATGGGGACAAGGAGCTCTCCCAGTATTCCCTCTGCTGCAGGCCTGCTCTTTGGTGTATGGGGACAGGGAGAGGTCACCTCACCTAACCCTTTCTGTTTGCATCTAAGGAAACAAAAAGGATGTGCCCAAGGATGCAATGCTAGGTAGTGACAGAACCTGTATGAGAGCTGGGTCTCCTGTAATCTCCAGGGCTCTCCACTGCAGCACTGACTGACTATGGAATGACTAGTAAATGGCTGTTGAGCCTTTTTTACAGAATAAATACAATTTCAAACAAATTATCCAAAAGAATACAACTGTTTGCAAATTTACACTTGGTCTATAACTGAACTTACTTTGGGCAGGAATCTCACAAGTTCTATGTAGTGTTCAACAGACAGTAGAACAGGGTGGTGGCTGCAGATGTGACTACCCTTTGCCCTTCTTTTGTGTACACTGGCTCATTCTCTGGAAGTTCAGAATTTCAGAAGGTGCAGTGGATAGCCTGAAACCTCACTAGATGATACTTTATTCAGCTGTGGCAAGGCTGAAGTTTTTTCAAATAATGATCTTCTAAAATAAATCTCAAAGACAGAAGTAGGTACCCTTATCCCAGGGGGAGCCCAGACTCACACTGCTGAAGATCTGCAAACCATCATGGCCGCCTGACACATATATCCTGCCCTCAAAGACTGTAACCCCAGCAGCACTGCGATTCGAGCTCATCGAGGTCACCACTGTCCATCTTCAGGAAAGAGTCAAAATAGGAGGGGAAGCATGAGATTCAGGGTTCTTGTTCCCTCAAGACAGCCTAGCAGGGTTTAGGTGAACTGTGCTGGCCATCTCTCCATCTCTTATCACCTCTCCCACCACCTCTCTGACAGTTCTCCCTGGCTGCCGCCTCTCACCCAAGCTGCAAACCCACAGCCCATCTTCTCTGCTCATCTCCATGGCTGCTCAAAATCATTGTCTCATACAAGACCTCTTTCTCCTACAGTTCTGCTCCTCCCTGCACTCCCTGCCTTGTTAAGCAGACCACCAGCCCTCTAGCTGCTGTACTTATAAAGCTCAGTGCTATTCTGGCTGCTTCTCCCTCACCATCAACATTCCTGTGGTCCCCCAAGTCCTGGCTGGTTTGCTTCCTAGTCAGTGCTTGCTCCCATCCCCACTACCAGTGCCCTACCCCTGACCTCTCATCTGGACCACTGCAACAGCCTCTTTACAGGCAGCCTGGCTTTCCTACCAGTCCCATCCGACCCCACCCAGCCAGAGGGATTGCTCCTCCTGTACCTGCACCATGTCCGTCCAGTGGCTCCTCACTGTCTCCTCTAAGAGAATCCAGGTTCCTTCATGTGGTTTTTAATTTTTTTTTATTTTTGAGACAGGGTCTCACTCTGTCACCCAGGCTGGAATGCAGTGGTGCTATCATAGCTCAATGCAGTTCTGACCTCCCAGAATCAAGCAATCTTCCTGCCTCAGCCTTCTCAGTAGCTGGGACTAGAGGCTTATGCCACCATGCCTGGCTAATGTTTTTTTCTCTCTCTCCTTTTTTTTTTTTTTTTTTTTTAAAAGAGACAGGGTCTCTCTTATGTTGCCTAGGCTGGTCTCAAACTCCTAGGCTCAAGTTACCTTCCTGCCTTGGCCTCCCAAAGTGTTAGGATTACAGGCGTGAGCCACTGTGCCCAGCCCTTCATGTGGTTCTTCACCTCTTGGTCCTCAACCACCCTTCAGCTTCACCCCACACCACATGCCACCCACCCTGCTCCGTCTCCCATCCACACGCTGTGCTCTAGCCCATGAGAGGATCATTGCTGTTCTCGATTACAGTGAACACTTTCTTATTGCAGCCTCACTCCTTGTTGTCTCCCTATGATGAGCAAACACCTCCCATTGGCTATCCATGACAGGTCTCACCTTGGAAGACATCCCTGCTACCCTGTCCCTTCCTGCAACCCTGGGGAAGATGAAGGTTCTCTCTGCTCTGTGCCCAAGAGCTTCTGACACAGGCCTCCAGGGTAGGATGATCATGATGCAACCCATGGCCCAACCACATTGGATGCTTTAAAGGATCTCAGACACCCAGCTTGCTGTCTGATCCACAGTAGATTGGTCAAGTGAACAGAATACTGGCTTAAAGGCATCCTAATAAGTCCATTCAACTAATTTGTTTATATTTTATTATATAAGATGAGAGGATTCAAATACTGAAATGAAAAACTCGGGCTAACCTTGTCAATGTTTTTCAAAGAGTGTTCCACAAATGAGTCCCACAAGATGGTGACTGTTGTGTATATAAAACCCGAGGTTAAACAGAGTTATTTACTGCAGGGTTTCTTAGAGTCTTTAAAATGTTAATATATCTTATGGAAAGACAAGGACTCTGGCAGTTCAGACATCAACATTTCCCAAGCCTATCTGACCACAGAACTTAAAAACATTTTTTTTTTTCCAAATCATATCCTACCCACTTTGGAACATGCTGTTCATCTACTTCTTATTCCCTCTTGCCTGTATTTCCATTAAAATGGGCTGATTTAGCTAAGAGGTACAGACCATTAAATAAGTATTTCCAAGCAACTATGTAGACTATTTGTTTTAAAATTTTATTTACTCATTCTTTCACTTAACCAAGGGTTATTAAATATCTAGTATATACAAAGTACTATACGGGCAAAAAGGTAAGACATTCTCTACCCTTGAGAAGCTTAAATTAAAAAAACTACAGTTCTGATTTTTATACTCTCTGTTTATAAGCTCCAGTTGCCCCAAGGGAGCTGGAGTCCTTACTTGTCCGTCTCAGGTGAGTAGGTCTCCACGGAGCTGAGGGAAGAGTTGCCATCGTAGCCCCCACAGACGTAGATCTGCCCATCCAGCACGACTGTCCCCATGGCACTGAAACAGACAGAGCTGTCATCCCAGATGAGCCGCAGCCTTCCTGGAGCAGCCTCTCTTGCCCACTGAGAAACAAACCTATCAATTGCCTCTTTCTGCAACGTAAATCTAAGGTATGTGACTAAGTAAAGGCATAAAACTGAGGTGACAGAAGCTGCCCCATCATTCCTCTTGTGCCCCACCCTTCTACCGCAGGCTGCCTCCCCTCCCTGCTCTTCTCTGTCCTTAATCTTTCTAAAATGCTTACCTTCCACCTCACCATGTGAAGGTCGAATTTACCTTGAAGGCCCAACTCAACTTCCACTCTCCTCTTCCTCCCCTTTGTAAGAATTACTCTTTCCCACCCCCACGCTCCCTGAGTGGCTTATTAATCAGCAGTTGTTACAATCATTCATTCATCCATCAGATCTGTAACAGCTGGGGTTTAGAGTGGTAAGCAAGCCAAAGTTCCAGCCCACAAAGCACTTATGTTCTGACATTATAGGCTACCAGGAATCTATCTGCCACTTCTGTGTGTAATTTTTAATCAGAGCCTTGCTCTGTCACTCAGGCTAGAGTGCAGTGGTACCATCATAGCTCACTGTGCCTTGAACTCCTGTGCTCAATTGATCTTCCTGCACTTCAGCCTCCCAAGTAGCTGGGATTACAGGTGTGCACCACCACACCCAGCTAATTTTTTTTTTTTTGAGACAGGGTCTTGCTATGTTGCCCAGGCTGGTCTCAAACTTCTGTCCTCTTGTCTCAGCCTCCCAAAGTGCTGGGATTGTTAAGAGTGAGCCACCACACCCAGCCAATCTATCTGCCACCTCTTAATAAGTGAGGAGCTCCTGGAAGACAGGAAAGGGCCTTCACCTGTGTGACCCTCACAGTGATAAGTATGATGTCCTGTATGTAACAGGCACTGAATGTATGTTTGTTGTGTTACCTCTGCTTTTTCCCACTCAATTCACAGATGTTGTTTTCATCATGTGCATGGCCTCTAATTTATCATAGTGGCTGATGCCACAGCTCCTGTTTGCTGTGCATTTACTACATGTGTTAGGTACTCTACATTTGTTATTTTCTTTTTTTTTTTTTTTTTGAGATGAGGTCTTGCTCTATCATCAGGCTGGAGTGCAGTAGCACAATGATGGTTCACAGCAGTCTTGACCTCCTGGGTTCAAGGGATTCTCCCACCTCAGACTCCCCAGTAGCTGGGACTACAGGCACATGGCACTATGCCTGGCTAATTTTTTTTTTGTATAGACGGGGGTCTCACTATGTTGCCCAGGCTGGTCTTAAACTCCTGGGCTCCAGCAATCCTCCCGCCTTAGCCTCCCAAAGTGCTGGCATTACAGGTGTGAGCCACTGTGCATGGCCCACTTGCTATTTTCAGCCCTTAGCACACCCTGCAAGGAAGGAAAGAGCACCATAATCACTGTACAGACAGGCAGCCATAGCTTGGGGAGGCTGAGGTCTCTCCTCAAGACTGCCCAGAGAGAGGCCTGCCTCAGATTTAAATGAGACAAGCCCAACTCCCCAACTCCTTACATGCCAAGCTCTCCTAATATCAAAGACCCAGGGGTCTGGTGGTGTAATCATGTAATCTTCCCTCCTACACAACGCCTTATAAGGAATTCAGCACAAATGCCAAGCTGCCCAATTCACTATTTTCAAATGTGATGCTGGTGAAGATTAAAAATGAATCTAGGTTTCTAACAAACAGGAAAATAAAACATACCAGGCTTAATGCTACCTTTTCTTTTTTTTGAGACGGAGTCTCACTCTGTCAACCAGGCTGGAATGCAGTGGCACGATCTTAGCTCATTGCAACCCCCGCCTCCCCGGTTTAAGCAATTCTCCCTGCCTTAGCCTCCCAAGTAGCTGGGATAACAGGCGCCCGCCACCATGCCTGGCTAATTTTTGTATTTTTAGTAAAGACAGGGTTTCACCATGTTGGCCAGGCTGGTCTCAAACTCGTGACCTTAGGTGATCCGCCCTCCTTGGCCTCGCAAAGTGCTGGGATTATAGGCGTGAGCCACCATACCTGGCTTGCTGCTACCTTTTAAATGTACATAGTAATCAAACTGATCCACAGAATGTCCCTTTCAGGGACATGATAACTGACCCCCTGAACCAGCCAGAAAGAGGAGAGGGACTTGCCTTAGGCAAGTATTGTGGGAAGATCACAAATTTACTAGACATGATCACTATCCTTCTGGATACGGACACAAAACAAACATAAAAATTACATAACAAAACAGGTGTTGAACAATATGAAAATGAATTAAGAGGTGCCCCAAAACTGCATGAGATTAACTATCAACTAGGTGGTAAAGGCGAGTGTGAAGAGAAGGAGAAAATGCTGATCAGCATGGACTGGAATAGTCCAGTGTAAGAAAGGTCTATGGGATGGCGTAGAACACTGGGGGAGATAGGAAGGAAAGATGGCAGGATGTCACTAACTGGCAGAACAGACAGCTGTGTGGGATGTCAGAAGAGAAGTGACTAGGAACGTTTTAAGGTAGCCTGTAATTTAAAAGGGATGTAATGGAACCGGGCCCACACTAATAACAGGATATTAACCACAGTGAAGGAAAGGAATACCCAGAGAACTTTCCTCCAAGACAGCCCTCTAAACCCAGTAACATCAAAGCAAGGAAGTGGTCCAGAGCAGACACACAAGGAAGGACAGCTGACTGCAGTCAAAGCAAAAAAGCTACTCATGGTTGGGGACACGGAGCAATGAGTCACTCAAACATAGGAAGCTGCAAAGTATCCAAGGAGCAAAAGTGGGGATGGTGGGAGGAAAGGACTCTCAATGCGTTCTTGGGAGGGGCAGATCTTACGTATTTTTTTCTTCCCAAAGGAACCTACTCCGATGCTTTGTGAACTGGTCTCACCAGTACAAAGGCAGATCCCTCCCAGCTCACATCCACATGCAAACGCTGCTGGATGTGGAACAACATTAGGCATATATCAAGGAAGCTCAATGTGTAAAAGCAATCAGTGCAGAGCTGTCCTGGGTAACGGCCAGGGGGCTCTGGGCAGCTTTCCTCTCCCCTCCTTGGGCTGCGCCAGCTTTTCAGCTGCCCACACATGTGATGACTCCATCACGTGTCTGACATAATGAAACATGCCACCTGTCACCTCAGCAGTAAGAAGGGCTAAACAAAGGCACTGGGATGTCTTCTAATCCCACTTCTTATTCAGACAATATAAGCAGAGAAGTGGAGAGAGCAGGTAGCTAGAATGTACTGAGTGACATATCAACTTGGCCCACCTTGCAAATACCTATGTGCTCCTGTCTGGGAGAATGTGTGTGACCTAAATAAAAGAACATTGCTTTGGTTCGTATTCTCCCCAGGTAGTGGAAGTGCATGTGTGAGGGGAGTCCTGGGGAAGGAAGGTACACAGAAAAACACCTTGGATTTCCTTTTATCACTAATAAAGGTAAATCCTCCTTATTCTTCAAGTTTCAACTTTAATCCCACCTCTTCCCTGAAATCTTCCAGAAGTTCCAGTCCAGTTTCTCTCCCTCTTCGAATCTTCCATAATACACATTTCCAGTCCTTATCTGGCACTTAAAATAACAACACAACTTCCACATGTCCATGCCTGGTCTCCCCAAGTTCCCCAAAGGACAAGGTGGATATTTTACTTTTAAGCAGATGGGGGCTCGCTCCCAGGAGGTACTGGCAGTGGCTGGCCTGGCTGCAGGAAACTCCCAGGCCAAAGCTTGTATTTTACTCTACTGTGTGCCCCTGCTCGTCTAGCATGGCGCTCCCCAGGTGCTCAGTGTGTATGTTCGGGCTGCACGTGGCTTCCAGAATACCTTCTCTTGCTATTCATGCTCCCCACTCTGGTCCATGTGTCTGTCTCCGGGTTGTAGGCCTCCACAGTGCTCAGCCGTAGCTGGCCGTCATATCCTCCGATGGCATAGAGAAGCCCGTTCACCACAGCCACGCCAACGCGGCTGCGGGCTGTTGTCATGGGACGGCATCTCTCCCAGCAATTGGCAATGGGGTCGAACACTTCCACCACATTCAGGGAATCACCTGCATAAAAATTTGCTACTCAAATTAAAACAAATGAGACCACTTGTTTAGAGCACAGCTATTGGGCATTGATTATATGGAACATTCGACTCAATTCTATTAGCTCTTCCCACAGAATTACTCAAGGCACAAGGGCCCACTAAGAAATTTCAGCCATGATCACCTCAAACCTAATTCTTTAAGGAAAATCAGAATCAGACAGGAGGTATTTATTTTTTAGAGAGGGTAGTTTTCAGTTACAATCAGGTACTCCACCTGCTTAAAGCCAAAGGTATAGGTGAATCGATACAATATTTCCTCCAGGCAGGAGGCATGCCAGAGGGACGGGCATGCGCTCCAGTGCTTTCATTTGCTAGGGGGTGACCCAAGGCAAGGGGCTTTGTGTCCCCACCCTCTGCTTCACATGTGAAATGGAGATAATCTTTATGGATTAAATGATATAACAGGTAAAGCACCTAGCATGGTTCTAGAATAAACTTTGCGCTCAATAAATAGTCATAGTAGCAAGGAATGATCATTCCAGCCCTACCTTTTTCATCAGGTTTTTGTGATGATCAAACAAAATAACCCCCTCTTCCTGTGGTATGCTGCTATGGGGCACTTAGCATTTCATTTGCACGCCGCTCCAGCGTGCACTGAGTTGAGGATTTACCTGTTCCAGGCCCTCTGATTAACAAGCAGCAGCTAGTACCCAACTCTCATTAACCTTCAATTAAAAACAAAACTGGGCCAGGTGCGGTGGCTCACACCTGTAATCCCAGCACTTTGGGAGGCCAAGGTGGGCAGATCACTTGAGGTCAGGAACTCAAAACCAGCCTGGCCAACATGGTGAAACCCCATCTCTACTAAAAATAGAAAAATTAGCTGGGCGTGGTAGCATGAGCTTGTAGTCTCAGCTACTCAGGAGGCTAAGGCGGGAGAATTGCTTGAACCCGGGAGGCAGAGGTTGCAGTGAGCTGAGATTGCGCCACTGCACTCCAGCCTGAGTGACAAGAGTGACACTCCATCTCAAAAAAATTAAAAACAATAAAAAATAAAAACAAAACTGCCTGGGAGTGCCCACCAACTGCCCCCAAGTTGGGAGGCCATGCAGCTTTCTGAAAACCTTACTCTTAGATTCAAAAACTGCCAATAACCCACGGACTGTAAAGCATGTGTGTGTTTCACAGGGGGTGGGGCTGAAGAGTAAAAAGTATTATTGACAGTGGTAGACCCTGTGTATTTGGATAATCTTTCTCTTGGGGACTTTCTCAGTCTAACCCCAGAGATCCATATGACAAAATGTGAATAGCCTGGTATGGAACTGGGTCTCTGACTGTATCCTATCCGGGGCTGAAGGATGCTATACCATAGCCAATGTGATATTAGGGCAAAAGTGCTGGCTCAGGAATCAGAACACCCAAGTTCTAGTCCTTGCTCTGCCAAAAACAATTGTATGAACATAGTGAAAGTTCTGTGGGGCTCAATTTCCTCACTTGTCAGGTAAGAAGGCTAGGCCTCAAAGATTTCTAGAAGGTCTCTTTAGCACTGATATTCTGATTCAATGGCATGAATATGTGACATGCTCTAACTGTAGAGCAATTGTATAAAATCAAGAGGGGCAAGGGTGGTGACAGTACAAAACAGAGAAACCAGAAGGGCCAGGCTAATTTGTCTGGTGCTTCCTCATCCATGGAGTCCAAGAGGAGGGTCTATAAAGGGGAGCCGCAAGGTACCTGCTGAGTTGAGGCCCCCTACAGCGTAGATAAGTCCAGCGATGGATGTGCAGCAGCGTGGCCGGGTTCTGAAAGCTGGCAGGTGGGGCCGGCGCTCTGGCATGAGGTGGTAGTCCTTTGCTTCGTCTACCAGGTCCCTAGAATAAGGTGGAAGATGCTAGAACAGGAGGTATCCCCCTGACTTAGTCCTCGTTTGCATCTCTGAGCCTGGCTCTCCACTGCCAACTGCAGGGGAAACCTGGGAGGAGAAGCCTTCTGGAAGGTCTGGTCTCAAAGAAACCAGGTGAGTTCTGGGAAAATCATACATGGCTACTGAGATATACTCAAAATTAAAGGGGCAAGACAAGCAAAGACCACCTCAGCTAGTGTAGATTAGGCATGAGAAAAACAAGGTAGTGGCCAAAATGGCTGGACCTGGGAGTTTCGACAAGCAGCATGCACCCTGTTGCCACTCAGACCTAGCCCTTCCTTTCCATCCCTACGACTGCACCGTGGCTTGCAACCTGCAATTAATCACCACTCATCTCCACGGTGGCAGCTCCTGACACATTTCCCTGCCTCAGGCCTGCCCCTCCATTCCACTTCCACACTAGAGTTCAAGCTAAGAACCTTCAATAGCCACCCACTGCCGACAGAATAAAGTCCAAACTCCTCAACAGCACCCTTGAGACCGCTGGTCACTGGGCCCTAGCTACCTCCAGACACTACTCCACCCCATCCTGACACACACCTTCACACCATCTGCCATGGACAGGCACTTACTTCCTCCTGAACCAGCTGATCCCAACCAGGAGTTGGAAAATGAAAGAAAGCTGAATGTGTGTAAAGTTTTTATCAGCAAAGGAGAAAAAAATATTTCAGGGTTGTGAATTTGATAAGCAATCTGGAGGAGAATGAACATTTTTCTCTGCTGTTCTACTTTTACAGCAATCATCCTATAGGGCTGCCATCTTCTGAACTGTTTGGGTAACTCTGCTGTACCATGTTGTCATTGATTTGCTCTGGGTAAAAGTTTCATGTGTTGGTAAACATGTCTGCCCCTTGCCCATCATCGTAGATGTAAAGCCTACACCTGGCAGAGGCCCTCCATGCCCACAGCACTGACTAATATTTACTGAAGAGGGCAATGAGCCCCAGGAAGTCCCATTTGCGCCACTGAGTGAGCTGCTGGTGTGGACAGGGTCAGAGCAGGCAGTAAAGATGGTTGCACATTCATAAATAGCTCAGTGGGGAAAGATGCTGGAAAATCCTCAGATAACTCAGCAGGGGAAAGCCCTTTCTGCTTTGATGCTCCCACATGGCACATCTCTCTGCCCAAGGCATAAGATTCGGGCTCTTCACACTTCCTGTTCCAGCTTCTAGACAGAGGGCAGACCAATCTGTGTGCCATGAATTAGACTGATCACTCTAAATGCTTTCTTTCCAGAACTGGAACAGGTGGCCAACTCCTCTTCCCTGCTTAGACCTTTGGCAGTGTCCTGTGCAGGTCCACCCTCACTCACCTGCATTTGTGGCAGCAACGCACCAGGTCATCCTGCTGTACTCTGTCTGAAAGGAACTGGGGCCGACAGAGGGGCAGGCGGATATTGGACAGCAGCTCAGGCAGGTAGGGACCCCTCTGCTCCCGGTCGTATCTGACCCAGGCCAATGCAGCTTCAAAGACCTGTCATGAGAGTGGATGTTCTGGCAGCAAATCCTCCCACCCAGAGGCCACACCCCAGGCCTCCAATCTCAATGCCTCCACTTCCTATACTGAAGCAGTCCCTTGGGCCCATCAATCTTTTCTCCTACTTGTCTCTGAAATCCCTGATTTCTCTCTACTTCCTAGGCTACTAGAACAGCTTCCTGAATTTCATTATGATTATGATTTCCTAGTGAAAAATCATCAATGGCATCTTATTACTTTCTGTGAAAACAAAATGCCTGTTTCCCTTCCCGCTGCTCCTGTACCCCTGCTCCCTCTAAACTCCCTCCATCACCCTCTCTGTACTCCGGCAAGGCTGGGCTGGTTCTCCTGTTTACACTGTCCCCCCTCATCTAAAATGCCCTCATCTCCTCCTCTTCATCTAAACCCACTCCCCTATTTTTAAGGCCTGGCTCTAGATCCATGTTCTCCAAGGAGCCTTTCTTAATGGCTCCAACCACAAGGACCTCTCCCTCTAAAGCCCTACAGCCCTTATGAAATGTATCACTCAAAGAAATGTGAGCTGCCCCCCCGCCCCCCGTCATATTAATTAGTTTAAGAGCTAGGGACAGGACACCTAGTTTTTGGAATGAGGCTTTTTCCTCGAAACCACAGTGTCTATGCTGCCAAGCCCAGGATCCACTTTTCTCCCAGGCTCCTATCAAGCCCGCTTCACCTCTCTAGCATCCCCCTTTTCTAGAGGAAAGAGGAAAATAAATCATACCTTTTAATCCCTCCTCAAATTTCTTTTTTCTTTTCTTTCTTTCTTTCTTTTTTTTTGGAGATAGGGTCTTGCCCCATCGCCCAGGCTGGAGTGCAGTGGCGCAATCTCAGCTCACCTCAACCTCTGCCTCCCAGCTCAAGCAATCCTCCCACCTCAGCCCAAGTAGCTGGGATTACAGGCCAGGAGTTTAAGCTGGACCAGGCCTGGCTAACTTCTGTGCTTTTAGTAGAGATGGGGTTTTGCCATGTTGCCCAGGCTGGTCTCAAACTCCTGAGCTCAACAAATCTGCCCACCTTGGCCTCCCAAAGTGCTGGGATTACAGGCGTGAGCCACTGCTCCCGGCCTTCCTTAAGTTTCTAACCTTCGTCCCTCATCCTCACTCTCAGGTGAGAAAATAGAAAATCAGAAGAGAATTTCAGTAAGAATCTACCTGTCCCCCGTCCCTGGGCGTGTGCCCCAGCTCTCCCTCCTGCTACTGTGGATATGGATGGCTTGTGCTCCTATCAAAGATGCACACCCTTATGCCCTAGACTGTCCTCACTTATTCCAGAACATCATTCCAACAACTGCTCTCCCATTTCTCCAATATTATCAATTCTTCCCTCTCTTCTGGAAAACTCCCAACAGCAGTCAAATATGCTGTAATTTCTCTCACTTTAAAAAAAAAAAAAAAAGGTCGGGCCTGGCGCAGTGGCTCACGCCTGTAATCCCAGCACTTTGGGAGGCCGAGGTGGGCAGATCATCTGAGGTCAGGAGTTCGAGAACAGCCTGGCCAACATAGTGAAACCCCGTCTCTACTAAAAATACAAAAGTTAGCCAGGCATGATGGCGCACACCTGTAATCCCAGCTACTTGGGAAGCTGAGGCAGGAGAAATGCTTGAACCTGGGAGGCTGAGGCTGCAGTGAGCTGAGATTGTGCCATCGCACTCCAGCCTGGGTGACAGAGTGAGACTCTGTCTCACAAAAAAAAAAAAAAAAAAAAAAAGGCCTGGCATGATGGCTCATGCTTATAATCCCAGCACTTTGGGAGGCCAAGGTGAGAGGATCATGTGAGGCCAGAGTTCAAGACCAGCCTGGCCAACGTGGTGAAACCCCATCTCTACTAAAAATATAAAAATTAGCCAGGCATGGTAGCGGGCACCTGTAATCCCAGCTACTTGGGAGGCTGAAGCAGGAGAATTGCTTGAACCCGGGAGGCAGAGGTGCAGTGAGCTGAGATTGTTGCCACTGCACTCCAGCCTGCCTGGGCGTTGGAGCAAGATTCTTTCTCAAAAACAAACAAACAACAACCCCTCTTGATTTCACAGACCCCTCCCACAGCTGCCCCAATGTTCTGTTCTTCCTTAGAACAAGATTCTTTCAAAAAGTTATCTATACTAGGCCGGGCACAGTGGCTCACGCCTGTAAACCCAGCACTTTGGGAGGCCAAGATGGGCGGGTCACTTGAGGTCAGGAATTCGAGACCAGCCTCGCCAACATGGTGAAACCCCGTCTCTACTGAAAGTATAAAAATTAGCCTGGCATGGTGGTGCATGCCTGTAATCCCAGCTACTCAAGGAGGTTGATGCGGGAGAATTGCTTGAACCTGGGAGATGGAGGTTGCAGTGAGCCAAGATCGCACCACTGCACTCCAGCTTGGGTGACAGAATGAGACTCTGACTCAAAAAAACAACAAAAAAATTATCTATGCTTGCTGTTTCTGGTTCACAGGAGGATTATTTCTAATAGTAAATATTGGAAATAACCCAAACATGCAAGAATAAGGTGAGTAGGTTGACAAAAATCAACAGAATGCTATTTAGACACTAAAATGTATGGAGGCCAGGTGCGGTGGCTCACGCCTATAATCCCAGCACTTTGGGAGGCTGAACTCACTTAAGGACAGTAGTTCAAGACTAGCCTGGGCAACATGGTGAAACCCGGTCTCTACAAAAAATACAAAAACTAGCTGGGTGTGGTGGTATGTGCCTGTAGTTCCAGCTACTCGGGAGGCTGATGTGGGAGGATGAGGCTGCAGTAAGCTATGATCTTGCTACTGCACTCCAGCCTAGGTGACAGAGCAAGATATTATCTCAAAAAAATAAATAAAACATAGAAAGTTTTCATGAAAAATGCATGATACAGTAAAACAAGCCCAATAATATACAACAGCCACATACATGTCATGATCTTAACTTTGTAAAAAAATACATAAACAAAACAATGACTATAAAGAGCAGCATCTCATGTCACCTGCACAGACTGCTACTGGGCTCACATACCTGCTCCTCAGATTTGACATTCAGCTCATCCCGAGACACCAGCTCAAGCACGTCTTCCAAGGGCAGGGCCAGGAACTCTTCTGACATGGACACCTCCACAAAGTGCTGGTGGATGAAGCTGTTGGCAGCGTCGTACAGCACAGCACACATCATTGTCTCAGCAAACTGGCGCACACCCAGGCAGTTTTTTGGGTGAAGCCTTTGGCATAAGGAAAGAAAAAAAAAATTAGAGGAAGAAAGGATGTTATCTTTGATCATTCTCAGGCTGGTTCTGGGTAGAGCCACAGAATGAAAACAAATTCTTAACCTCAGCTTTGTTGGAAACTGTATTTCTCTGGGACTCAACTTCTAAAGGTATAAAATTAAGAAGAAAGATTATCCTCAAAGGTCCCTGCCTTTTGGGCCTGGTGCTCTGTGCGTCAGGTGGAATGAGCTCTCTGGGTAGTTCTGTAAAGTAACTGTCAGAAGGTGAGAAGTAACCATCACAGGAGTGCAGGCACTGAAAATCTGTTTGAGACGTTCCACCACTGAAATTCCTGGTTGAGTGTCCAGGGCATTATCTCAACTTTGGTCACAAGGAAGGCACTGAAGTCACAGAATTAGAGTTTAAAAAACACAGACAGGGCTGGACACGGTGGCTCACGCCTGTAATCCCAGCACTTTGGGAGGCTGAGGCAGGCAGATCACGAGGTCACGAGATCAAGACCATCCTGGCTGACACGGTGAAACCCCGTCTCTACTAAAAATACAAAAAATTAGCCGGGTGTGGTGGCGGGCGCCTGTAGTCCCAGCTACTTGGGAGGCTGAGGCAGGAGAATGCTGTGAACCCAGGAGGCGGAGCTTGCAGTGAGCCGAGACTGCGCCACTGCACTCCAGCCTGGGCGACAGAGCAAGACTCCGTCTCAAAACAAAAAACAAAAAACAAACAAAACAACAACAAAAAAAACACAACACGGACAGATGGCTTCTTTAGTATGGGAACTCTTATACTTGTCTTTTTTTTTCCTTTTTTTTCTTTTTTGAGACAGGGTCTCACTTTGTCCCCCAGGCTGGAGTGCAGTAGCGTGAACACGGCTCACATCACCCTTGACTTCCTGGGCTCAAGCGATCCTCCTGCCTCAGCCCTGCAAGTAGCTGGGACTACAGGTGCCACCATGCCTGGCTAATTTTTGTACTTTTTGTGGTAGAGACAGGGATTCACCATGTTGTCCAGGCAGGTTTGAACTCCTGAACTCCAGCAACCCACCTGCCTCGGCCTCCCAAAATGCTGAGATTTTTTCTTGTTTTAGATAGAAAGAGACTCCACGGGCCTAATTGTTCAGACAAGCAGAAACAACAGCAGCAGCTATCATTTATTTACCATCAGTGAGTCAAGTGTTTTGCTAGGCCTTTTATACACATTCTCCAGAATCTTCTTAACCTGTAAAGTAGTAACGCACTCACAGATGGAAAACAGGCTCAGGGAAACCAAAAATGGTGCTCACAGTCCCTTGAGATAAGCAAGTGGTGGTGCTGAGATTGAAATCAGGACTCTTGTGCACATTCCCACGGTAGCCTGGCAGACTTACACTCATCAGGGCTAGAGAAACCCAGGATAAATCCTGGCCCTGATGCTCATGGGGCAACTTGGGTGGGTTATGTTCTTCCAAGTGTCAGTAATTTGCTCACCTGAAAGAAGATGATGACAACAGCTACCCACCTCTTAGGGCTGAGCCATGATACATGGTACCTGGTATGAAGTTAATGGCTGTCTTAATTTTTTATTATGGTTGTTTTTGTTTTTTGAGACAAGGTCTTATTCTGTCACCTAGGCTGTAGTGTAGTGGTGCAATTATGGCTCATGATAGCCTTGACCTCTTGAGCTCAAGTGATCCTCCTACCTCAACCTGCCAAGTAGCTGAAACCACACACCTAGCTAATTAAAAAAAAAAAAAAAAAGTGTTTTTTGGTAGAGAAAGCATCTCCCTATGTTGCCCAGACTGGTCTCAAACTCCTAGGCTCGAGCAATCCTCCTGCCTTGGCCTCCCAAAGTGCTGGGATTACAGGCATGAGCCACTGTGCCCAGCTTGTTTTTCTTACTACTGTTGCATCTAAGAAAATTCCAAACGAGCCCAGTGCGATTCTAAAATCTTGGTGACAGCAGCAGACCCTGGGGGATTCTTATTTGGCTCCATGACTGATTCTCTGTAGGGATGGTATTGATCAGATTAAAAATTGGCCGGGCATGCTTTTCTTCATTAGAAAGGTTTATGTCTTTTCCCCGACGTTAAGGTTTTAGGCACAGGGTTATATTTATTTAGCAATATTCACTATTGTCCCCTAGCAGTTGACCCATCAAGGACTGAATGAATGGGCAAGGTACCTTGGAGCCTGGCTTTATGACTAGTCAAAATTCTACATAGTTATTTCATTCCAGCCTGAGCTTGCTCTGTCCATTGCTTTGGAAACTGATGTGAATTTAGAAGAGCACAGAAACATAAGCAGAGAGCAAGATGTAGGCAAAGTTCATGGCCACTGAGGAATACAGCGCTGAAGGTCAGAATGTCAGCTCAGTCATCTGTCAAATGCCTTTCTCCTAAAGCACTTATAGTGATTGAATGAGACTTGTTAAAGCACTTTACAAATATAAGGCAGATATAAAGATAAACCTTCCCTGGGCCTCTACAGCATGTGCTTCACTATTTCCTAACACTTTGACATCAACCTGAGAGGAGGATTCAAAATGCCACGGGGCAGAAGCTGGATCAAGTCCAAGGATATGGGAGCCAATGATCAACGTAGCCATTGGCATTCATTTCCAAACTCTCCTTCTCAGGTTAGGATTCTCGTACCTTATTTTTGGGTGTCTTTGATTAGCTTGGCATAATACTGAGCACAAAACACACCTTTTTTTTTCCCTTTTGTTTTTTTTGAGACGGAGTCTCCTGGTGTTGCCGAGGCTAGAGTGCAGCGGCATGATCTCAGCTCACTGCAACCTCTGCCTCCTGGGTTCAAGTGATTCTCCTGGCTCAGCCTCCCAAGTAGCTGGGATTACAGGCGTGCGCCACCACGGCCGGCTCATTTTTGTATTTTTAGTAGAGATGGCATTTCACCATGTTGGCCAGGCTGGTCTCCAACTACTGACCTCAGGCGATCTGCCTGCCTCGGCCTCCAAAAGTGCCAGGATAACAAGCGTGAGCCACCACGCCCGGCCAAAACACACCTTCCTTTTTTTTTTTCTTTTTTTTTGAGATGTAGCTTCGCTCTTGTTGCCCAGGCTGGAGTGCAATGGCACGATCTCGGCTCACCGCAACCTCCACTTCCCAGGTTCAAGCGATTCTCCTGCCTCACCCTCCCGAGTAGCTGGGATTACAGGTGCCTGCAACCATAGCCAGCTAAGTTTTTTGTATTTTTAGTAGAGATGGGGTTTCACTATGTTGGCCAGGCTGGTCTCGAACTCCCGACCTCAGGTGATCCACCCTGCCTCGGCCTCCCAGAGTGTTGGGATTACAGGCGTGAGTCAACGTACCCAGCCAAAACACACCTTCTTAACTGAACTGGGCTTTTACATCCAAGAGGATGGGGGACGTGGGGAGCCTGTTTGTGAGGCAATTAGTGGGGGAAAAGGAAGGAGAGCGGCCACACAGGAAAGGGGCCCATGCAAGAGGAGGAGGGAGATATGAGGGAAAATAAACCTACAGCTACAGGGTTGATGGAGACCCACGTCTTTCATTAGCCACATCACAACCTTCTTCCTTGCTGACACAGCTTGACTTTGGAAGCAAGAAGACAGCATAAGACATAATGCTTTATCAGAGGCAGGAAGCGGTGACTTGAATTAAACAGGTTACTGACGTGGTTCATTGACGCATTTGGTGTACCAATCTACCTCTGAGAGAATTTCAGAAAATACACAGCTCCAAGGCTGGGTGTGGTGACTCACACCTGTAATCTCAGCACTTTGGGAGGCCGAGGTGGGCAGATCACTTGAGGTCAGGAGATCAAGACCAGCCTGGCCAACATGGTGAAACCCCATCTCTACTAAAAATACAAAAATTAGCTGGGTGTGGTGGCACACGCCTGTAGCCCCAGCTGCTCCGGAGGCTGAGGCAGGAGAATCGCTTGAACCTGGGAGGTGGTGGTTGCAGTGAGCTGAGATCATGCCACTGCATTCCTGCCTGGGCGACAGAGCAAGACTCTGTCTCAAAAATAAATAAATAAATAAAAATACAAAAATTAGCCGGGCATGGTGGCAGGCACCTGTAATCCTGCTACTCCGGAGGCTGAGGCAGGAGAATGCTTGAGCTCGGGAGGCAGAGGTGGCAGTGAGCCGAGATCACGAAACTGCACTCCAGCCTGGGTGACAGAGTGAGACTCCATCTCAAAAAAAAAAAAAAGCAAGAAAATACACAGCTCCAGTGCTTGCCTAAAAGCAAGGAGGCCCATACATTTGAAGGCCGGAAATAGGGC
The DNA here is from genome assembly GCF_000001405.40 of Homo sapiens. Lineage (NCBI taxonomy): Eukaryota > Metazoa > Chordata > Mammalia > Primates > Hominidae > Homo > Homo sapiens. The sequence continues at coordinate 47,325,700 of NC_000003.12, read as the reverse complement.
CACCAGAAAAAGTCAACCCCAGCCTCAGGGGGAAAAAAAGCAGCGGGCTGAAGATGTAATAGACTGAGCAGCCTCAGGAACTGTGGCTTTAAGAACTCTGATGGCATTGTGGCTTCTCTGTGCTGTCACATATCTTTTCCACTGGTGCTCAGAATGGTTTTCCTCAAGTCGCTGGCAATCAAATCTTGAAAATGATGCACCCTCGGCTGGGCGTGGTGGCTCACGCCTGTAATCCCAGCACTTTGGGAGGCTGAGGCGGGCGGATCACAAGGTCAGGAGATCGAGACCATCCTGGCTAACATGGTGAAACCCCGTCTCTACTAAAAGTACAAAAAATTAGCCAGGCGTGGTGGCAGGCGCCTGTAGTCCCAGCTACTTGGGAGGCTGAGGCGAGAGAATGGCGTGAACACAGGAGGCGGAGCTTGCAGTGAGCCAAGATCGCGCCACTGCACTCCAGCCTGGGCAACAAGAGTGACACTCTGTCTCACAGAGCAAGGCTCCGCCTTAAAAAAAAAAAGAAAAAAAAGAAAATGATGCACCTTCAAGGGCACATACGAAGTGGGGAGCTGGGAGACACCATCACATTCTGTAGCGAGGCTCAGGGAGAATCATTCCAAGGAACAGAGACAATAATAGGAACTACTGGTGAGAAAACAGAAAGCAGGCCATGGCTCTGGAGTCTGTGGCAGGAAACAGGAGAGGTATAGGTTTAGGTCTCAGAAAGGGTCCTGAAGGGCTGAATGAAAAAATGTCAAAGATAGGCTCAAAACATCAGGTTTATGCGTAAGTACTTATTCCTAAAATGCTACTGGTGCATGCAAACCTGCACTGGCCTAAAAATGACTTTTCTTTTTTCTTTTTAGTTTTTAGAGACAGAGTCTTGCTCAGTTGCCCAAGCTGGAGTAAGGTGATTGTAACTCACTGCAGCCTTGGGCTCCTGGTTCAAGCAGTTCTCCCACCTTAGCCTCTCCAGTAGCTGGGACTATAGATGTGAGCCACTGCACTTGACTAATTAAAAAAATTTTTTTTTTGTAGAGACAGGGTCTTGCTCTGCCATACAGGCTGGTCTGGAAATCCTAACCTCAAGCAATCCTCCTGCCTTGGCCTCCCAAAATGCTGGGATTACAGCATGAACCACCTCATCTGGCCTAAAAATCACTTTTCTAAGCAACTTTTAGATAACAGTACTTTACAACATAGCCTGGATCCAGTGTTGACAGTGACAATCTCAAAAGCCCCCTAGGTGGAGCTGTTGTCCATTGGTGAAGATTCGAGGCTCGTCAACAATCCTTTCCAGGATTAATCCTACTTAGCCACAGAGTCATTTCAGCAGTGGTAAAGCCCAAGGCCTCCAAGCCTGGGGCTCTACCTTACAGAAAAAAAAAAAAAAAAAAAAAAAAAAGAAAGAAAGAAAAAGAAAAAAGGAAGTCATTTTCCAAGTTCTGTGGGAAAAAGAGGTGAACTAAGTCCAGTCTGTGTCTTAAAAAGCTCACAAACGAGCAGGAAAGATAGTGTGTGCTCCTCACATCTCCATATGCACCCTCTGGCCTGCCCCAGAAGGCATCCCACAGCAGGGACAAGGTTGGTTCCGCAGCTTTACTCTTACTACAAGGTCTTTATAAAACTGCGAACAGCACCACTTACCTCAGGATGAAACCCTTTACCCAGTGTTCAGCAGATGAGCTCCCCACTAAATCTTAGGCATCATTACCACGGTTATTTGATTAGCTGTACACACAGCAGTACTCAGTGTGATGACCATGAGCACCGTGTGGGCAGGATATGAACAGACAGCGGGTGTGGTCCATAAGCTGCTAACTGAACTGGATAGGTGGAGTGAGAATAGGGGAGGGGAGGTCAGCTCCATGAGGGGATGAGGTTCGGAGGGCAGATCTGAGTCAGGAGGAATGCTGACAGACCAGATACCTAGTGATCAGAGTAGGCTCAGGTGAAGGCTGGGTGTGTGAAGCACCATAGACACAGGGGTGCTGTTTGGGGTCCTCCTGCCTGTCTGTGGCCCAGCACTAACCCACATCCCCAAGCCTCTGCTGGTTAAAAGGCCTTTACCTTATGACTAAGAGCTCTGGCTCTTGAGGGGGAGGGAGAGCCTTCTTAACTGCTCAGGCAGAAGGTCACAGGAGACCCACGAGGCCTACTGCCAAGCACTGGAAATAGGTGGGGGTATAATCCATGGTCCCAACCATAAAAGTGCATACAATGATAGTTCCCAATGGACTAAGGAGGATAGAGAATTCCAGTAAGTGAAATTTGGGTAGGCTCTTAAATAACTGAAGTATGAAAAGGAAGGTCAAGAAATTCAAAGAGGGCTGGGAGCAGTGGCTTATGCCTGTAATCCAAGCACTTTGGGAGACCAAGGTGGGCAGAGTTTGAGACCAGCCTGGGCAACATGGCAAAACCACATCTCTACCAAAAAAATTACAAAAATTAGCCAGGTGTGGTGGCACGTGCCTGTAGTTCCAGCTACTCGGGAGGCTGAGGTGGGAGGATTGCTGGAACATGGGAGGCAGAGGTTGCAGTGAGGCGAGATCATACCACTGCACTCCAGCCTGGGTGACAGAGCAAGATCCTGTCTTGAAAAAAAAAAAGAAAAGAAAAGAAATTCAGAGAGCAAAGTACCTAAACAAAGATGGAGATGGCTATGGAACAGTAGAGGAGCACTGCACAAATCAGTTTGGTGAGAAATCAGCTAAATTAGTGGCTGGTGAGATCGGAGGGGGAGGAACAGAAGATGTACATGTCAAGCCAAGGGAAAGGGCAGGCTGGACTATGTAAATCATGTTCTGAAAAAATTCATCTCAAAGAAGTGGGCACTGCTACAAACTGATTTCAAGAAATGTAAGTGCTGCAGAATAACCTTTCCAGCTCACTCCCTTCATAAACCTATATATGGTCCCAAGAACTCAGCAAACTGGCAGAAGATTCCAGAAATGAAATAGTCATGTTCTCCACCAGGCCCACCACATCACCTCACCGTTCTCGAAGGAATGTGCAGCAGGCGTCTTTGATGCTCTGCAGCTGCAGGAAGCTCGCCCCCATCAGCAATGACTGGACATTTTGCTGGTCAATGGCAAGGTTGCCGTTGTAGGCAAAGTTGATCAGAGCCTCCAGGGCACTAGAGGAAAGAGGGAAAGCTGTGAGGTGCTTTCAGAGACGAGTCTTGGCCCACGGGAGACTCAGGCCCTAACTGAACTGACATTACTTAGCCCAGGCCCTTTGAGAATCTATCTAATGGAGTAACTACTTCACCACAGCCTAAAACTCATTCTACCAAGTTGTCTTCATTGCCCTACAGAAAATTCTAAAAAAGAGAACACAATCACCTACAATTTCACTACTGAAAAAGTCAACAGCGGTCATTTTTCTACATTCATTTTTAGTCCTTGATCGCCAACATGCATGAATTATATGGATATAATCATAAAATACTTATCAAGCCTTTCCCATGTTGGTACACTGTCTTCATGTTTATTGTTTTTAGTGGCTGCTATATAATATTTCAACATGCAAATATGCTATCATTTATTTCCTTTATTGGTAAGCATAATAGCCATTACCATCTTATTGCTGTTAGAACGTTTTTGAATTATTTCTTTGGGGTAAATTTCTAGAATGAGATTTCTGACATTTTTTCTGCTTTCAATTCACACTGAAAATGAAATCCAAATTCCAGCTATAAGGCTGTATGTGCTCTGGTCCCTCTCCATCTATCTATCCTCCTCACCTCCACTTTCTCCCTTTCTTACTTGATTCCAACATTCTGGACATATTCTTACCTCAGGGCCTTTGCAATGACTGCTCCCTGTTTGGAGGGCTCTTCCCCCAGATGGCTCATTCCCTCACTTCAATTAAGATGTCTCAGCTCAAATGCCACCCCATGACAGGTGCCTTCCCTGATCACCTGAAAATAGCACAGACTCCACCATCCTTCACTAGCCTTTACTCTGCTTTACTTTTCTCATATCACTTTCACTCTTAGCCATACCATGCATGTATTTGGTGACTGCCAAATCACTACTAGAAAGCTGGCAGAAGCCGGGCGCAGTGGCTCACGCCTGTAATCCCAGCACTTTAAGAGGCCGAGGCGGGCGGATCACCTGAGGTCAGGAGCTCGAGACCAGCCTAACCAACATGGCAAAACCCTGTGTCTACTAAAAATACAAAAATTAGCCGGGCGTGGTGGCATGAGCCTGTAGTCCCAGCTACTTGAGAGGCTGAGGGAGAAGAATCGCTTGAATCCAAGAGGCGGAGGTTGTTGCAGTGAACAGAGATCATGTCATTGCATTCTAGCCTGGGCGACAGAGTGAGATTCCATCTCAAAAAAAAAAAAACAAAACAAAACAAAACAAAAAAAAAAAACGGCAGGTGCCTGTAATCCTAGCTACTCATGGGAGGCTGAGGCAGTAGAACTGCTTGAACCTGGGAGGTGGAGGTTGCAGTGAGCCCAGATCACACCACTGCACTCCAGCCTGGGTGCCAAGAGTGAGACTCCATTGCCTCCCCCTCCACTCCCCCCAAAAAAAAGGTTGGCAGAATGAGAAGAGGTGCTGTTTTCTCACTGCTATACCTCAGATATTTGATAGAGCTGTGCTCATCATGGATGTTCAGGCAATCTCTGTTAAATGAAGCCCCTGGACTATTCATGGGACGAGCATGCCTCCTTCAGACACACACCTCAGAGAATAGGAGGGCACAACTGCCCTTGGACACCTTACTTCTACGTCTTTCCTCATAAGTAACTGGCCTAAGATTTCTTTCTTTCTTTTTCAAGAGTCAAGGTCTCACTCTGTTGCCCAGGCTGGAGTGTAGTGGTGTGATCACAGCTCGCGGCAGCCTTGACTTCCTCGGCTCACCTCCTACCTCAGCTTTCTAAGTAGCTGAGACTACAGGTGTGCACCACCATGCCCAGCTAATTAAAAACAATTTTTTTTTATAAAGATGTGGTTTATGTTGTCCAGGCTGGTCTTGAACTCCTAGCCTCAAGCAATCCTCCCGCCTTGACCTCCCAAATTGTTTGGATTTCAGGTGTGAGCCACCTTGCCTGGCCTGACCTGAGATTTCTACCTTGCCATGGGTATATAAATCCTCTTCCGGTATTGGGGCACTTTGATCATCTAGAGGGTAACACACAGTCTCCTAGCTCTTTTCCCCCTAGTTGTCACCACTGTCAGATTAAGAGGTTGGGCAATAACTGACTACCAGCTAAGGGGATAACCTTGGGCTTGATCTCCTTGAGCTTCAATTTTCTGAACCATGAAATAACCATAAGATCTGCCACCTTCTAAACCTGTGTTGTCTAATATAGTAGCCATTAGCCACATGTGACTATTTAACTTTAAAATTAAATTGATTAAAATTAAACAAAATTTAAAATTCAGTTCTTCAGTCCCACTAGTCGTATTTCGAGTGCTCAATAGCCATCTGTGTCTAGTGGCTACCATTTTGGGCAATACAAATAGAAAGAACATTTGCATCACTGCAGAAACCTCCAGTGGACAACACTGTTCTAGACTGATAAGAAGGGATGTAAATGAAGACACTTATTTGAAGAACTGTTTTGTCAGCTAAAATGACTAGCCCAGAAAAGTGCAGAGAATAATATACCACCACTCTTAAACCCAGCCCCAGTCAAAAAAAAAAAAAAAAATCATGGAGTCTAGGTCCTATTAAATGTATTTCTCTTATAGTAAGGTAAAAACAGCCCCATCAAAACTCCCTTCATTTTAACCCTATCTCAGACCACTGGCCCAGGTTCTAATCTGCTTATTAATCACTTATTATTTGTGTAGAGCTAGGCTATTAGACACTGTGTCCTGCTGCAGGTCCTCAACGGAACCGTGCACAGGCTGAAACTGCACTTGGAAAGCAGCCTGCGAAACCTAATGGTGGGATTCAGTACCTTGGGTCCATTCCTTGCATTACAATCTCATCCTGCTTGCACTCCATCATGTCATTTGTAAACATAGCATGGAAATACGGGATCGAGGCTGCTAAGACAATCCGGTGGGCACTGAATTTGTGGTCCCCAATCTGTGGGCAAAGTAAAATACAAAGACAGATATTGAGGAATGCAAAACAAAAACAAACAAACAAAAAAACCCACCCTGCCCCTCCGCCCGGCTCCACAGCATACCCCACTGCCCACTGCAAAGGCGGTGAAGGCATCCCAGGGCATGGAGGCCAAGGCTTAGCATGATGACCCTGAAGTATTTTAAATGCAATATACTCAGTTACAGTAGAAGAATGTAAACAATACATTTTAATGAAGCGTTAAAACAGCTAAAAAATTTAAGCCTGAATGGTTTCATGTAATCGTTTTTACTTATATGGTAGTCTCCAATGCACCCCTTTCAGCTACTCCACCAACTCAAATACCTGATTCCTGTAACACTTTATCCCAACCTCAGGCAGATGGACTAGACAAATGGTCCAAGAATGCTGGTGCTCCTAACAGTATGCTCCTCAAGAAGAGTAAATATGTAGTGACTGGGCCGGAGGCAGGGGCATGAGGAGATACACTGGTGTTGTGGACTGGCTGCTGCTCTGTATGGCTAGCAGGGACAGAGGCCAACTCTTCCTCCAATGAGTGTCAAATCCTCACTGACACACCCTTAGCCTGAGGAATTCTATAAAGTGTTTTCCAACTATCTGCCAAAAGGCTCTTCCCTTCAATAAGCCATTTATAGCTCCAAGCTATATAAACATTTCCACTTAAGAACTTTCTATTCTCCAGGAAGAGCAAAACAGTCCTTTTTTCCTTTTTATCAGGTTCCACATTAGTGAAAAGCCAGGGAATCTCACTATCTGATGGTCATCTCTTTGTGTCATATTTATCCAAGGATTGAGGTTGGAAGATCGAATCATTGGATTAAACAGGCGTGAGCCACCGCACCCAGCCTCTGCTCAAATTTCTTAGAGTTGTTCTATGAGGTTTATTACAAAAGAAAAAACAACAACTAGCAGTCTCTGTTTTCTTGATTCCTTGCCCGCGATTCCTACTCCCAGGGGCAACCTCTTGCTTCTAGGACTTTTCTCCATCTTTCTAAATAATATGTGCTTACATATTACTTGTTGACTTTTCACTTTGAGTTATTCCCTGTGGTACCCAACCTCTAAATAGCTCCCAGTAAATGCTCACTCTTGGTATTTACACCCTTGTGCAGTCCCCTCCCACAACATGTCAGGGTTGGTCTATGTGACCAACAGAATATAGCAGAAGTGACGATGGTATGTCACATTCAAAGCTAGGTCATAAAAGGCACTGAAATTCCTCTTACCCTCTTCTTCTGGATCACTTGCTCTAAGAGAAGCTAAATAACATATCCTTAAGAGAGGCCCATATGAAGAAGACTGAAGACTTCTACAGCTACCTGAGTGAGCTTGGAAGAGCATCCTCCAGCTCCAGCCAAGCCTTCAGATGACAGCAACTTTGTGAGAAATGTCTAAGCTGCTTCTGAACTCCTGGCCAGCAGAAACTGTGAGATAATAAATACTTGTTTTAAGTCACTAAATTTTGGGCCGGACGCAGGGTGGCTCATGCCTGTAATCCCAGCACTTTGGGAGGCCAAGGAAGGTGGATTGCTTGAGGGTGGATCAGGAGTTTGAGAGCAGCCTGGGCAACATGATGAAACCCTGTCTCTACAATAAATACAAAAATTAGTGGGCGCATGCCTGTAATCCCAGCTACTTGGGTCACTGGGGCAGGAGAGTCGCTTGAACCTGGGAGGCAGAGGCTGCAGTGAGCCAAGATCGTGCCACTGCACTCCTGCCTGGGATGGAGTCTCAAAAACAAAAAAGTCACAAATTTTGGGGTAGTTTGTTATGCGGCAAAAGATAACTATTATATTACTAATCTAATTCCTATTATGGAAGATTAAGAATTTGTCCTGATACCTTTCTTCATGTACTATCCCCTACACTCTCCCTATCTTTCCAATATAATTAGGTCAAATTTTGGTTAAATTAATATGAAGAGTTGCATTAAGTCTATGTAAATATTATTTGTAGCCAAGCCATGCTGTATACTGTCAGTATATATTTCCTTTTTGTATAATTTTTCTTTTCCCTAGAGCATAAAACTCTGGTTAATATATTCAGTCAGGTACTCTATCAGTTGTTTGTTTTAAGTTGTCTGTTTCTTGAGACATTATCTACTGGAACTCTTCCTGGGAATTCTGTTTCCCTCACCTATACTAACACCCCCGTTTCCTGAACCCCACGTAGTCCTCTTTCTTATTTATTCACTTGTTCTGGTAGAAAGTGTCTTTTAGGCTGGGCATGGTGGCTCACACCTGTAATCTCAGCACTTTGGGAGCCTGAGGCGGGTGGATCACCTGAGGTCAGGGGTTCGAGACCAGCCTGGCCAACATGGTGAAACCCCGTCTCTACTAAAAATGCAAAAAATTAGCCCAGCGTGGTGGCAGACACCTGTAATTCCAGCTACCCGAGGTGCTGAGGCAGAAGAATCACTTGAACCTGGGAGGCGGAGGTTGCGGTGAGCAGACACCGTACCACTGCACTCAGCCTGGGCAAGAAGAACGAGATTCCATCTCAAACAAATAAAAATGTGTCTTCTAGTAGAGCCTCATAAGAAGGGGTCTATGTACAATGTCTGAAAATGTCTTTACTACCCTCAAGCTTAGATAATAATTTAGTTGGTTAAAAAATTCAAAGTTTAGACTTTTTTCCTGTCAAAATTTTGAAAGTATTGCTCCATTGTCTTCTAGTTCTTTTGTTTTTAGAGATGGGGTCTTACTCTGTCCCCCAGGCTGGACTTGAATTCCTGAGCTCAAGCAATCCTCCTGCCTCAGTCTCCTGAGTAGTTGAGACTATAGGCATGCTAGTGTGCACCTGGCTATGTTTAAAAATATATATATGTATATATATACACACATATATATGTATATATGTATATATACACACACATATACATATATACGTATATATGTATATATACACACACATATACATATATACGTATATATGTATATATACACACACATATACATATATACGTATATATGTATATATACACACACATATACATATATACGTATATATGTATATATACACACATATACATATATACGTATATATGTATATATATACACACATATACATATATATGTATATATGTATATATGTATATATATACATATATATGTATATATGTATATATATACATATATATGTATATATGTATATATATACATATATATATATTTGTACAGACAGGTCCTGCTTTGTTGCTCAGGCTGTTCTCAAACTCCTGGCTTCAAGCAATCCTCCCACCTCAGCCTCTCAAAGAGCTGGGATTACAGGCGTGAGTCACCACACCTGGCCTAGTTTGTTGTTATTGAGAAATCCAATGCTATTTTGAATCCTAACTCTAAGTATGTAACTGTGCTCTCTAGAAGCCTTTAGGATTTTCTCTGTATTCTTGTAGTTCTAAAATTTCACAGTATTGTATCTTGGTATTGGTTTTCTTTTATTGTGCTGTATCAATCTACAGACATTATTTCAGTTCTGGAAAAATCTCTTTACACCATTTAATCCTTGATAATTTCCTCCCTCCTATTGTAATTTTTTCTCCTCAGAAATTTCTATTAGTCAGGTGTTAGATTTCTTGGAATAATCCTCTAATTTTCTTATTGTTCTTCCTCACTTTCCATCTCTTTCATTTGGTCTATCAGTGAGGAAACTTCTTCAACCCTATCTTACAATCTTTCTGTGTTGTAGGTTTTTATACTGGCTATCATATTTTTAATTTCCTAGAGTTCTTGTTTTCAAAAGCTTCCTTTTTAAAAGAATCCTGTTCATCTTTCATGAATGCAATATTTTCTCAAATCTCTCCTGAGACAGTATATAGTTACAACTTTTTTTCTTCTTTATCTCTCTGCTTTTACTGTTTCCTGAGATATTTTCTCTTCCAATTGTTTTGATCTCTGTCTTCTATGTTAGAGGTTTTCTTTAAATGTCTGGTGACACTTGGCTAGGGGGTAGGCTTGTTGATTTGTGGGCTTCACATTAGGGTGATCAGGCAAGAATCGGCCATTTGATTGAGGACCCCTAGAAGTATTCAGTATCTTCAGGACTTTTTCTCTGGAGTTAATTTTATCAGAGCACGATCTTCCAGTCTCTTGCAGGGAAATATCTGTCGGCCTACAGATATTCTGGAAACTGGGTCTAAGAGGTGGATGGTTCTACCATGCACTACTGATAACTCTTATCTTAAAGCCCTTCTTTTCAGTTTTGTTCCATATTGCACCCTTTCTCCTATGCTTGGTGTGCCTGATTCGGAGCCTCTGGTTCAGTATCTAAGACTAAACTTCCTATCTCCTGAGAGAGTGGGGGAGGGGGTGCAGGCATCTAATTGCCTTTCATACAGACTTCCAAGTAATCTTCCTGTTTTCAGTATTTGGTGTCTCCAATTCTGGAACAATTCCAGGGTTCTACACTAGAAATCCTCTTCCTTCTCAGTTTCTCCCCCGGGAGGCACTTTCAGTTCCTCTGGCCCACTAAGTCTTCCACACATGCTCTCTGGCTTTAATATTCCATTGATTTCTCATTTGCTGATATGTCTTTCCCCTCTTACTACTATTTTAATGGGGTTATGGAGGGGAATGAAAGTTAAGTATGTGTTCAACTGGCTGTGTTTAACTGCTGTGCATTTATTTTTCATCTAGAAAATAAACAGAAGACAAAAGAACAAGCTGTATGTGCACCAACAGAGTGACCTGGTTTCAAAAAAAAACCAGCTACAGAGAAGATAGGCCTATCTTGGGATATGTTAGCCTGATTACATTTGAGTTCTGTATTCAGCTAAGGGGAACAACAAATTGGACCTTGTCTAGATGAGGAAGACCAAGATGGGCAAGAGTCTGAAAGCTACATCTTATAAGGAATAGCTAAAGGATAGTCTGGAAAAGGTAATTTAGGAGGAACCTGATAGTTGTTGTCAAATCCTAGAAGGGCTATCACATGGATTAGGGCAGATCTAGAAAATTACAGGAAGGCAGATTTTCTTTTATCATAAAGAATAAGAGCTAAGTGCAGGGCGCGGTGGCTCATGCCTGTAATCCGAGCTCTCAGGGAGGCAGAGGTGGGAGGATAGCTTGAGCCCAGGAGTTCGAGACCTGCATGGGCAATATAGCGAGACTCCGTTCTTCACAAAAAGGAAGAAAAAAAAAAAGACAAAAAACAAATAAGCGTAAGAATAAGAGCTAAGAACACTTAGCGGGGTCCTGGACTGGTTTCAAAACTATTAAGTGACTACTTAGAGGCCTTCCAATTCTACAATCCTGTGATACTACATTTTTGTGAAAAGCTTTTAAAAACCCAAACACTCTCATTTGTAATCTCAGTTTTTACATGTCTCATTTTTTGCTGGGCACAGTGGTTTATGCCTTTAATCCTAGCTCTTTGGGATGCTAAGGTGGGAAGGTTTCTTGAGGCAGGGATTTTTAAGACCAGCCTGGGCAACACAGCAAGACCTCATCTCTACAAAAAACTAGCCAGGCATGGTGGTGCATGCTTGGGAAGATGGTTTGAGTCCAGGAGTTCAAGGTTGCAGTGAGCTATAATTGTCACTGCACTCCAGCCTGGGCAACAGAGCAAGAGAATGTCTCGAAAAATAAAATAAAATAAAATGTCATTTTTTAAAAAAAGAGATGATCATTTATTGAGCTCCTTTTGTATGCCACTGACTATGCCAGGTACCCATTCTGCACATTTTCTCATTTCAGTCCTCACAGCAACCCTCTGCAGTAGGCAGCTACTGTGAATCATGTTCTATAGATGAGAAAACCAAGATTTGGAAGTTAAGTAGCTCACCCAATGTCAGGTAGCTATTATGTGAAGAGAAGGAATTATGCTTAGGTTGTTACTGGTGGAATTGGAGAGGGACCTAATAAATAGCATACCTTCTCTCAGCTTGAGTTCTCAGTCAATTGAGAAAAAAATTATAAATAAAAAACCTACACATGATAAAACTACATAGAATTAAATATACATATACACAGAATGAATAAAAGTAAAACTGAAGAAATCTGAATAAGATTGCAACTGAATATTCTAGTTGCAATATTGTACTTTCAGTTCCTCTGGCTTAATAGTTTTGCAAGATATTACCACTGGGAGAAACTGGGCAAAAGGAAAAAGTTGTGGGCATGGTGGTTCATGCCTGTAATCCTAGCACTTTGGGAGGCTGAGGTAGGAGGACTGCCTGGGTCCAGAAGTTTCAGACCAGTCTGGGCAATATGGCAAGACCATGTGTTTACAAAAAATAAAATAAAATGAATTAGCTGGGTGCAGTGGTATGCGTCTGTAGTCCCAGCTACTTAGGCAGCTGACACAGGAGGATTGCTTGAGCCTGAGAGTTGGGGGTTACAGGAAGTTATAATCACACCACTGCATTCCAGCCTGGGCAGCAAAGTGAGACCCTTTCTCTATTAAAAAAAAAAAAAAAAAAAATTAGGCCGGGCACGGTGGCTCACGCCTGTAATCCCAGCACTTTGGGAGGCCGAGACGGGCGGATCACAAGGTCGGAAGATCGAGACCATCCTGGCTAACACAGTGAAACGCTGTCTCTACTAAAAATACAAAAAATTAGCTGGGCATGGTGGCAGGCGCCTGTAGTCCCAGCTACTCAGGAGGCTGAGGCAGGAGAATGGCGTGAACCTGGGAGGCGGAGCCTACAGTGAGCCGAGATTGCGCCACTGCACTCCAGCCTGGGCGACAGAGCGAGACTCCATCTCAAAAAAAAAAAAAAAAAAAAAATTAAAAGGTATGTGTGATTTCACTGAATTATCTTACCACTGCATGTGATTCTACAATTATCTCAAAATAAAACATCCATTTAAAAAAAGGACTAAACTAAGCATGGTGGCACATGCCTTGGATCTCAGCTACTAGGAGTTTGAGGCCAGCGTGGGCAACATAATGAAACCTAGCCTCTCAGGGGGCGGAGGGAGCACAAAGCGAATGGGAGATAAAAATATTATTTTCTTACCAATAAATGTAACATAAACTATAGCTTATATAAGAGGGTAAGTGGGTTCCCTATAATTAATATCTAGAATTACACAGGCCCATGCAAAGGCCACTTTCTCCACTGATCTGCAATTACCTCAAATCTCCCCTCTTCCCCACTCCTAAGGTGGCAAAGACATGTGAACTGGTGCCACACAATTTTTTCAAAAAAATTCATCTGTAAGAAACACATAACTGGTTGGTTAGAAAACTTAAGGCTATTTAGCATACATCTCTACCTTTAGTCACATTTTGCTACATACCCACCTCTAAAAATATACTTCTTATAAAATATTATCAATGAAATGGAATCAGACAGTAGATTTAAAGTATTAGAGTTAGGTTCAAAGTCCAAGATAGGACAGAAAAAAAGAAATGAATCTATGGTATACACAAAACACTCTACACTAAAATAGCTATACCCATGAATACACATGGAAGCTGCTGAGGCTAGATCAGGACATGAGATCTCCTTGTGTATTCAACAAACAGTGCCCCTGCCCATACTACCACTGTGGAATTATTTGCAATGAATAGCATCTACGAAGCAAATTTGGGGCAATCATGGGACTTCCTAGATATGTACAACACCTCCGAATTTGCTTCTAAGAAAAAAAGATCAATTCAAATGAGAAAGACTAAACCACTTCCACTAAAACTAGCAAAGACTCAGCATTCATGCCCCTTGGCTTCTACAAAGAGTGGATACAGAATTCTTCCTGAGCAGGGCTCTGCATAATACACTCTGAAGACTGAAAATGCAGTACTCCTGCTTGCCTCTATATTATTTTTTATTATTATGGCCCTGAAACTTTAACACCTGTCAACAGCTTTGTTTGGTAAATTAAAAGAAGTGATGGAGTTACACAAGGGGGAAGAAGATTAGGTCTACCAGTCAACAGATAACTTATATGTTCATATGTTGTAACTCTACTATACTTGTTTTGTTTGTTTGTTTGTTTTGAGACAGAGTCTTGCTCTGTCACCAGGCTGGAGTGCAGTGGCGCAATCTCGGCTCACTGCAATCTCCGCCTCTCGGGTTCAAGTGATTCTCCTGCCTCAGTCTCCTGAGTAGCTGGGACTACAGGCACCTGCCACCATGCTCGGCTAATTTTTTGTATTTTTAGTAGAGACGGGGTTTCACTATGTTAGCCAGAATGGTCTTGATCTCCTGACCTCATGAACCGCCCACCTTGGCCTCCCAAAGTGCTGGGATTACAGGTGTGAGCCACCACGCCTGGCCTATACTTGGTTTTTAAAATCATGAACATACTATTCCTTTGGTAAATGTTTGAGATCAGTGGCTTCCATGATTCAAGAACAGCTATGAAAAGCAAAGTGATGTGATGTGAGGCTGACTAAATAGATGGGACACTCAAGAATTCTACATGTTACTTTAAAAGTATCAAGAGGCCAGAAGATCGAGGTCATCCTGGCTAACATGGTAAAACCCCGTCTCTACTAAAAATACAAAAAATTAGCCGGGCGAAGCGGTGGGCGCCTGTAGTCCCAGCTACTCAGGAGGCTGAGGCAGGAGAATGGCATGAACCCAGGAGGCAGAGCTTGCAGTGAGCCAAGATCGCGCCACTGCATTCCAGCCTGGGCGACAGAGCGAGACTCCAGATCAAAAAAAAAAAAAAGTATCAGGAAACCAGGGAACAGGACTAAGGAAGAAATTCGAAGCTGACCAGGCCACTCTGTGGAGATAGAGTATGAACTGGAGGGACAGGAGTGGCAGCTAGGAGTCCAGCCATGAGACCACTGCCTGGTCCAGAGAGAGAAGAGCTGAGCTCGGCCTGGATGGTGGCAGTGGGAAAGGAGAAAAGAAGTCAGACTCAGGAAAGATGCTGACCTTAGAACTGCTGTGACCTGGTGACTGAGTAGATGTGGGAGTGAGGGAAAAGAGGTGTCAAGATGACTTCCAGGTTACTGGTGCGATCTGGCATGTGGAGGTGCCATATACTTAGATCAGAAACGACAGAGAAGGACAAAGTCAGGAGTAAATGACCAAATAAAGTTTTGGACAAGCTGACACCGAGTGCCTGGGAGGCATCTAAACAGAGACTATGTAGAAAGTGGATGACAGAGTCTGGTATACAGAGATAAGTCTGGGCTCAAATAACACTTTTGGAAATAATCAGTGAAGACAGAAAAAAGATCATTCAGGGAGAGAACTCGAAGTGTGAAGAAAAGAGGCTATAAGACAGCCTTGAAGAACTTCAACATCTAAAGATCACCTAGTAGAGGATCTATCAGCAAAGAAGACACAGAAGGGAGGTACACAGAAAGGAAATGAGAAGAGAAGCAGGAAGATGTCTGGAGGTAGAAAAGAGTGTAGGTCCACCAGACAGGCAATGTGGCATAGAGACTGGATGGAATCAGAAGGCCCTCACCAGCTCTGCTACCTCAGACAGGGCTGCTCAACACAAATTCTGTTCCCTACCACAGGCAGGTGGGGCTCAGCATTCAAACAGTAAAGCAGCCTGGCAAAATCTGAGTTAGGAGTAATCTGAGACAGGTGTTCCCAAAGAAAGTAAAAGATATACCCAGAGTAGATTTCTCTTTGATGGAAAACATTTTGATACTACTGTTCCTACCTTCAGGAGCTCACAATGAATATACATAAGGCATTAAGAACAGTTAACCTCCCCCTCCCCCTCCCCCTCCCTCTCCCCACGGTCTCCCTCTGATGCCGAGCCGAAGCTGGACTGTACTCCGCCATCTCTGCTCACTGCAACCTCCCTGCCTGATTCTCCTGCCTCAGCCTGCCCAGTGCAGGCGCGCGCTGCCACGCCTGACTGGTTTTCGTTATTTTTTTGGTGGAGACGGGGTTTCGCTGTGTTGGCCGGGCTGGTCTCCAGCTCCTAACCGCGAGTGATCCGCCAGCCTCGGCCTCCCGAGGTGCCGGGATTGCAGATGGAGTCTCGTTCACTCAGTGCTCAATGTTGCCCAGGCTGGAGTGCAGTGGCGTGATCTCGGCTAGCTACAACCTCCACCTCCCAGCCGCCTGCCTTGGCCTCCCAAAGTGCCGAGATTGCAGCCTCTGCCCGGCCGCCAACCCGTCTGGGAAGTGAGGAGCGTCTCTGCCTGGCTGCCCATCATCTGGGACGTGAGGAGCCCCTCTGCCCGGCTGCCCAGTCTGGGAAGTGAGGAGCATCTCTCGTCTGAGCTGTGGGGAGCGCCTCTGCCCTGCCGCCCCGTCTGGGATGTGAGGAGCGCCTCTGCCCGGCCGCGACCCCATCTGGAAGGTGAGGAGCATCTCTGCCCGGCCGCCCCGTCTGAGAAGTGAGGAGCCCCTCCGCCCGGCAGCTGCCCCTTCTGGGAAGTGAGGAGCCCCTCTGCCCGGCCGCCGCCCCGTCTGGGAGGTGTACCCAACAGCTCATTGAGAACGGGCCATGATGACGATGGCGGTTTTGTCGAATAGAAAAGGGGGAAATGTGGGGAAAAGATAGAGAAATCAGATTGTTGCTGTGTCTGTGTAGAAAGAAGTAGACATAGGAGACTCCATTTTGTTCTGTACTAAGAAAAATTCTTCTGCCTCGGGATGCTGTTGATCTATGAGCTTACCCCCAACCCGGTGCTCTCTGAAATATGTGCTGTGTCCACTCAGGGTTAAATGGATTAAGGGTGGTGCAAGATGTGCTTTGTTAAACAGATGCTTGAAGGCAGCATGCTCCTTAAGAGTCATCACCACTCCCTAATCTCAAGTACCCAGGGATACAAACACTGCGGAAGGCCCCAGGGTCCTCTGCCTAGAAAAACCAGAGACCTTTGTTCACTTGTTTGTCTGCTGACCTTCCCTCCACTGTTGTCCTGTGACCCTGCCAAATCCCCCTCTGCGAGAAACACCCAAGAATGATCAATTAAAAAAAAAAAAAAGATGGCAACAATAGACACTGAGGACGATGAGAGGAGGGAGGGAGGGAAGGAAGGAGGGAGATAAGGGTTGAAAAATGACATATTGGCCGGGCACAGTGGCTTACGCCTATAATCCCAGCACTTTGCGAGGCCAAGGCGGGCGGATCACCTGAGGTCAGGAGTTCAAGACCAGCCTGGCCAACATGGTGAAACCCCGTCTCTACTAAAAATACAAAAATTAGCCAGGTGTGGTGGCATGCACCTGTAGTCCCAGCTACTTGGGAGGCTGAGGCAGGACAATCACTTGAACCTGGGAGGTGGAGATTGCAGTGAGCCAAGATCGTGCCATTGCACTCCAGCCTGGGGGACAGAACAAGACTCTGTCTCAAAAGAAAAGAAAAGAAAAACTACATATTGACGACATATTGGGTTCTCTGTACACTATTTGGGTGACAGGTTCAATGGAAACCCAAACCTCAGCATCACACAATATGCCTATGTAACAAACTTGCACGTGTACCCCCTAAAAATCTAAAATTTTTAAAAAAATAAATGCCTGCACCCAGGAAAAAAAAAAAAGAACAGTTAAGTGCCCAGACTGCATGGAAAGAATGCCCTTGGGATCAGTGGGGTTAAGACTAAGCTTTAACACAGTCACAAAGGATGCTGAAAGTGCATGATAAGTAGTAATCCATACTTTTATTGATGCACATATTTGAATCATAAAGGCCATGAAGCTGGTGGGTAAGAATAAGTCTATAAAATGGAGAAGCAGTAGGGATAAATTAATCCCCCCCAAAAATTTAAAAGAATAAGGTAGGCAGAACTGCCCTATCAGATGTCAACACCTATAAAGCAATAGAAATTAGGAAATTGTGGTACTGAAACAAACCGACCAAATGAACAGAATAAGCAGTCAGAAATACATCCCATATATATGTAAACTTGATAAATGACAGAAATGGCATTGCAGATAATATGGAAAAGAGAGTCCACTTAAAAAATGGTGTTGGGACAACTAGTTATCCACATGGAAAAAAAATCAAATTGAATTTCTGCTTCACATCACACTCCAAAATCAATTCCAGATAGAAAAAAGCCTTAATGGCCAGGTGCAGTGGCTCACGCCTACAATCCCAACACTTTGGGAGGCCGAGGTGGGAGGACTGCCTGAGCCCAGGAGTTTGGGATTGGCATGGGCAACATGGCAAGACCTTGTCTCTATTTTTTTTATAAAATACAAAAAAAAAAAAAGAAGAAAAATCTTAAGCATTAAAGGCAAAACTTCAAAATTTTGGAAGAAAATATTGTAGGTCTTTTTGACCTTGAGATTAGGATTTCTTAAACAATAATTCAAAAAGCATTAACCTTAAGAGAGAAGACTTCAATATCTGACTACAGTAAAATTAAGAACTTCTGTCCAGGCCAGGTGTGGTGGCTCACGCCTGTAATCCGAGCACTTTGGGAGGCTGAGGTGGGCAGATCACTTGAGGTCAGGAGATCAAGACCAGCCTGGCCAACATGCTGAAACCCCATCTCTACCAAAAATATAAAAAATTAGCCACGTGTGGTGGCATGCACCTGTAATCCCAGCTACTTGGGAGGCTGAAGCAGGAGAATCGCTTGAACCCGGGAGGCGAACGTTGCAGTGAGCCAGGATCTTGCCACTGCACTCCAGCCTGGGTGACGGAGCAAGACTCCATCTCGAAAAAAAGACAAGTTACAAGTGAGAAAAGATATTTGCAAACATAAAACCAACAAATAATTAGTATCCAGAGTACATAAAGAACTCCAATAAATCAACGAATCATAATTTGAGAAAAAAAAAGTGAGCTTAAGACTTACCTAAAACTAGGTATTTCATAGATAATGAAACAGAATGGTCTAAAACAAAGGAAAAGATGATCAATCTCAGTAATAATCAGGGGAATGCTAGCATCACAATGAGATATAATTTCACATCCAGGAGAAGTCCAATTAGGAAGTCCAATAATACCCAAAGCTGATGATGATGTGGATGGACAGAAGAGCTCTTAAGCACTGCTAGAATGTATGTAAATTTACACAATTTCCACTTTGAAAAATAATGCCAATACTAACATGATCATGAAAAGTTGAACACGCACATACTCAATGACCTAGCAATTTAACTCCTAGCTATATACCTTAGATGCATACGCTCCAGAAAATATGTAATAAAATGTTTACATCACTATTCAGAAAAGCAGAAAACTAAACAAAATAAAAAACCACCTAAATAACCACTGAGAGGAGAATCCTAATTTCTGATATTCATATAATGGAACATTATTCATCAGTGAAAATGAATGAATTAAAAGCTACACACAACACAATGTAAAATCCCCAAGGGCAGGAATCTGACCATGTCAAAAATGTTTCCTCTCTTACAATGATATTTGCATTATGCAATATTTGATACATAGAAAATAATATCTGTAAATTAGGAAAATAAACCCATGAATCCATCAAAGGTCCAACATGCTTCGAAATAGTCTGTAGGTCAAAGAGGAGTCTCTAAAAAAGGAACGGAAATTTAAAAATACATTGAATGAATGAAAGTGAAAATACAACATATCTAAAGCAGTGGTGAGATTATGACACTAAATGCTTACATTAGAAAAGTCTCAAGTGAATAACCCAAACTACCTCTCCAAGGAACTAGAGAAAAAATAAACTCAAAGCAAGCAGAAGGAAGGAAATTAAAAGGAGCAGAAATCAATGAAATTAAAAACAGGAAAACAGTAAACTAATGAAACAAAAAGATGCTTCTTTGAAAATATTGATAAAATTGACAAAGACAGAAAAGACAAATCACCAATACAGGAATGAAACAGTCGATAATACTACAGACCCCGCAATCATAAAAATGATAACAGGAGAATACTATGAACAACTCTACACATAAATTTGACAACTGATGAAATTGACCAATTTCTTGAAAATGACAACTTACCCAAGATGGGGGAATAATTGAAAAGCCTTATAATTAACAAGAAAACTAAATCTGTAATTTTAAAATGCTTGAAAAAGAAATCTACCAGGTCCAGATGGTTTCACCAGAGAATTCTACCAAATGTTTAAAATAGAATTAATACCAATTTTAAACAATCTCTTCCAGAAAACAGAAGATTAAGGGATAACTCCAAGTTCATTTTATGCAGTATTACCCTAGTACCAAAACTAGACAGACAGTATAAAACAAGAAAAGTACAGACCAATATCCCTCATGAATATATATGCAAAAATCCTTAACAAAATATCAGCAAACAGAATTCAGCAATATATAAAAATAATTATATACCATAACCAAATAGGGTTTATCCGGGTTAAGGCAGACTTAATATTTGAAAATAAATCTATGTAATCCAGTATATTAATAGACTCAAGAAAAAAGAAGTGACACAACCCTCTCCATGCAAAAAAAAAAAAAAAAAAAAAAACTTGACAAAATTCAGCACTCATCCATAATAAAAATTCTCAGAACACTAGGAATTGAGGGGAACTTCCTCAACTTGACAAAGAACATCTACAAAAAACTTCTAGTATTCTAGTAAAACACTGAACGCTCACCCCTAAGATGCTGAACAAGGCAAGACTCTTACCACTGCTATTTAGCACACTCTTGGAAGTTCTAGCAAGCTCAGTAAGGCAACAAAATGAAATAAAAGGAATACAAATCAGAAAATAAGAAATAAACTATCCCTATTTGCTGATGACATTATGGGTTTTTTTCTTTCTTTTTTTTTTTTTGAAACAGGATCTCCCTCTGTCACCCAAGTTAAGAGTGCAGTGATCCAATCTTAGTTCACTACAACCTCCACCTCCTGGGCTCACACCATCCTCCCACCTCAGCCTCCCAAGTAGTTGGGACTACAGGTGGGCACCACCACACCCAGCTAATTTTTGTATTTTTTGTGGAGATGGGATTTCACTATGTTGCCCATGCTGGTCTTGGACTTGTGAGCTCAAGTGATCCACCCGCCTTGGCCTCCCAAAGTGTTGGGATTACAAGTGTGAGCCACAGCGCCTGGCCTGACATTATTTATGGTTTATGTAGAAAATCCAAAGCAGTTTGCAAAAAAACAAATAACCCTAGAAATAATAAGCGAGTTCAGCAAAGTTACAAGACACAAGATCAACATACAAAAATCAGTTGTGTTTTCCATGTACCAGCAAGTAACACTTGGAAACCAAAATTTAAAATAAAATTACATTTACAATCACTAAAAAAATTAAATACTTATGTGTAAATCTAACAAACCAATGTACAGGACTTGTGTGTCTTGCTCTGTTGCCCAGGCTAGAGTGCAGTGGCATAATCGTAGCTCACTATAGCCTCAAACTCCTGGGCTCATGCAATCCTCCTACCTCAGGCTCCCGAGTAGCTAGGACTACAAGATGCGCACCACCATACCCAGCTAATTTTTTATTTTGGAGACACGGAGTTTTGCTATGTTGCCCAGGCTAATCTCGAATTCTTGGCCTCAACTGATCCTCCCACCTTGGCCTCCCAAAGTGCTGGGATTACCAGCAAGATTGTTTTTATAGCTATAGATGATATTATTCTAAAATTTATATGAAAGACAAAGGAACTTGAATAGCTAAAACAATTTTGAATGAGAAGAATAAAGTGCAAATGGCCAACAAGCACATGAAAAGATGTTCAACATTGTTAGCCACTGTATGTGTGTATGTAGAGATAGGGGATATAAGGAAAATCTCTGTAGCTTTCACTCAATTTTGCTGTGAAACTAAAACTGCTCTAAAAAAATAAAAGTTGAACTTTGGGAGGCTGAGGTGGGAGAATCACTTCAGGCTAGCAGTTCGAGACCAGCCCGAGCAACATAGGATAGAGCTCATCTCTGTAAAAAAAAAAAATTAAAAATTAGTTGGGCATAGTGGCATGTGCCTGTAGTCCCAGCTACTTGGGAGTTTGAGGTTGCAGTGAGCTATGATCATGCTACTGCACTCCAGCCTAGGTGACAGAGAGGCCATGTCTCAAAAAATGATGATAATAAAACAAATAAAATCAATTTAAAAAGGGAATGAAATTCTGGTCAGGCACAGTGGCTAATGCCTATAATCCCAAGACAGGAGGCCAAGACAGGAGAATTGCTTGAGCCCTGCAGTTTGAAGCCAGCCTAGGTGACAGAACGAGAGCTTGCCTATAAAGCTGCTAAGCCCTGAGCCTTGAACGGAAAGGATGACACCAGCTGCCAGTCTTTTGGTTGTACAAGAAGATAAGGATGATGAAAACTTTTTCTGGATTGGTTCCTTTGAAGTTTTGTCACTGAAGTCAGGAAGTACCTTGCCAGTAAGGGATGGTCTTTTAAAGTTCTTTGGTATTGGACAATGCCCCTGGCCATCTGGAACCCCAAGAATTCACCTATGAAGGCATCAAAGTGGTCTACCTGCCCCCAAACACAATGTCTCTAACTCAGCCTCTAAATCAGGGTGTCACAGGACCTTTAAAGCTCATTATACACAGTACTGTATGGAAAGGATTGCCAATGCTATGGAAGAGAACCCTAGTAGAGAGAACATCATAAAAGCCTGGAAGGATTATACCATGGAAGATGCCATCATTGTTATAGAAAAAGCTGTGAAAGCCATCAAGACTGAAACAGTAAGTTCCTGCTGGAGAAAGCTGTTCAGCTGTTGTACATGACGTCACGGGATTTATGACATAGCCAGTCATGGAAGAGATCATGAATATGGCAAAAAGGTGAGGGGTGAAGAGTTTCAAGATATAGATCTTTGAGAAATTAAACAGCTAATTGATACTATACCTGAGGAATTAATAGAAGACAACTTGATAGAGATGAGAGCTCCCAAACCAGTGCTGGACAACAAGGAAGACATTCAAGAAGCAGTGCCAGAAAACAAATTGACATTAGACAACTTGGCAAAAGAGTTTCAATTATTCATGGTTTCTTTTATGACATGGACTCTTCTATGATACGGGCACTGAAACTAAAACAAATGGTGGAAAAGAATTGGTACCATATAGAAAAATGTTTGGAGAAACGAAAAAGCAAAAAGTCAGATAGAAATGACAATGTACAGTTGATCCTTGAACGACACCGGCTTGAACTGTGTAGGTCCACTTGTACACAAATTTTCTTCCGCCTCTGCCACCAGGGACAGCAAGACCAACCCTTCTCTTCCTCCTCCCAGACTACTCAATGTGAAGATGATGATGGTGATGAAGGCCTTTATGATGATCCACTTCCACTTAATGAATAGTAAATATATTTTCTCTTCCTTATGTTTCTTTTTGTTTGTTTGTTTGAGACAGAGTCTCGCTCTGTTGCCATGCTGGAGTGCAGTGGCGCGATCTTGGCTCACTGCAACCTCCGCCTCCTGGGTTTAAGCAATTCTCCCACCTCAGGCTCCTGAGTAGCTGGGACTACAGGTGCACGCCACCACACCCAGCTAATTTTTGTATTTTTAGTAGAGACAGGGTTTCGCCATGTTGGCCAGAATGGTCTTGATCTCTTGACCTCATGATCTGCCCACCTCAGCCTCCCAAAGTGCTGGGATTACAAGCGTGAGCTACCATGCCCAGCCATTGAGTTTTTAAACAACATTTTATTTTCTCTAATTTCCTTTATCGTAAGAATACAGTATAACACATAACATAATACACATAACATACAAAATATGTGTTAATAAGCTGAGCACAAAGGTTCACGCCTGTAATCCCACTGCTTTAGGGGGCTAGGCAGAAGGATTGCTTGAGGCCAGGAGTTCAAGACTAGCCTGGGCATCATGGCAAGATCCCGTCTCTACAAAAAATAAAAAAGTTAGCTGGGCATGGTAGTGGTAGTGTGCACCTGTGGTCCCAACTGCTCGGGAGGCTGAGGTGAGAGAATTGCTTGAGCCTGGGAGGTCGAAGCTGCAGTGAGCTATGATCATGCCACTGCACTCCAGCCTGGATGACAGAGCAACATCCTATCTCAAAAAGAAGAAGAAGAAACAAAACAAAACAAAGTTAATTGACTGTTTATGTTATCTGTAAGGTTTCCTTCTAGTCAACAGTAGGCTATTAGTAATTATGTTTTTGGGAAGTCAAAAGTTGCACTTTGATTTCTGAATGGGGGCAGGGGGTCAACATTCCAACCCCCACATTGTTCAAGGGTCAACTACATAGCTACAGTAAGACTGTGTCATATTGGTGAAGGGACAGGAACAAAGAACAATAGAACAGAATAGAGAACCCAGAGGTAACCTCACACAAGAATGGCTAGCTGCTTACTGACAAAGGTACAAAAGCATTTAGATGGAGAAAAGAGTTTCTTCAACTATCAATGGGGCTGGAACAACTGGATATCCATATGCAAAAAAAAAGAACTTCAACCTATACCTCACACTGGAGGCAAAACTTAACTCAGAATGGACCAAAGATTTAAATATAAAACTTAAAACTATAAAACTTTTAGAATAAAATATAGCAGAAAATATTCAGGACTTGGGGTTTGGTGAGAAGTTCTCAGACATGAGACCAAAAGCACAAACCATTAAAAAAAAAATTGGACTAAATCACAACGAAAAACTTTTGCTCTGTGAAAGAACCAGTTAGAATTAAAAGACAATCTACATACTAAAAAATATATCTGCAAACTACATACCTGACAAAGATCTATCTGTATCTATAATATGTAAAGAACTCTAAAAACTCAACAATAAAAAAACAAAAAACAATCCAATGAGAAAATGGGCAAAAGACATGAAAAGATATTTCATTAAAAAGGATATACAGATGGCAAATAAACACATAAGAAGATGTCCAACATCATTACCCATTAGCAAAATGCAAATTAGAATCCCAGTGAGGCCGGGCGTGGTGACTCAATGACTGTAATCCCAGCACTTTGGGAAGCCAAGGTGGGCGGATCACCTGAGGTCAGGAGTTCGAGACCAGCCTGACCAACATGGCGAAACCCTGTCTCTACTAAAAATACAAAAATTAGCCAGGCATAGTGGCGCATCCTAGAATCCTAGCTACCTGGGAGGCTGAGGCTGGAGAATCACTTGAACCTGGGAGGCGGAGGTTGCAGTGAGCTGAGATCGCACCATTGCACCCCAGCCTGGGCAACAAGAGTAAAACTCTGTCTCAAAAAAAAAAAAAAAAAAAGAATCACAATGAGATACCACTACTCATTTAACAGAATGGCTAAAATAAAAAACAGTGATCATATAAAATGCTAGGCTGGGTGTGGTGGTTCATGCCTGTAACATGGTGGTTCATGCTTCTAATCCCAGCTGGTCTTGAGCCCAGGAGTTCAAGACCAGCTTGGGCAACGTGGCAAAACCCATCTCTACTAAAAAATAAAAATAAAGAGAATTTAAATATATATATATACACACACACACACACATATACACATATATATACACACATATACATATGTACACACATATATACACATACACACGTATATACATATACATATATACACACATATATATATATATATATATATAAAATGCCGGTGAGGATGCAAAAGAATTGGGTCACCCATATTAGTCAGGGTTTTCCCGAGAAATAGAATGGGGAAGAAAGTAGGAAGGAGGAAAAGAAGGAGGTGGGGAGAGAGAGAAGGTGAGGGATAAGAGTGGAGAGGGGGAGAGAAGGGAAAAGGGGAAGACAGCGGGAGGGAAGAAGGGAATGGAGAAGGGAAAGAGGACAGGGAGTGAGAAAGAGAGAGGGAGGAGGTATGGCGGGGAGAGACAGAGAAACTTATTTTTATTTTAAGGAATTGGCTCATGCAATTGCGGAGGCTAGCAAATCCAAAATATACAGTGTGGCTAGCAGGCTGGAGATTCAGATAAGGTTTGATGTTACAGTCTTGAGTCAGAAATCTGCAGGGCAGGTGAGCAGGCAGGAAACTTAGGTAGGGTTTTTATCTTGCAATCTTTTTTTTTTTTTTTTTTTTTTTTTTTTTGAGACACAGTATCACTCTGTCACGCAGGCTGGAGTGCAGTGGTGCAATCACGGCTCACTGCACCCTGGACCTCCCAGGCTCAATCAATCCTCCTGCCTCAGTCTTCTGAGTAGCTGCAACTACAGGCATGTGCCACAACATCTGGCTAATTTTTCTATTTCTTGTGGAGACAGCGTCTCACTATGTTGCCTGTGCTGGTCTCAAACTCCTGGGCTCAAGCAATCCTCTTACCTCAGCCTCCCAAAGTGAGGTAAGATCATAGGAGTGAGCCACTGCGCCCAGCCTATTTTGCAATCTTGAGGAAGAACTGCTTCTTCAGGGGAAAGCTCAATTTCTGCTCTTTAAGGCCTTACACTGACTGGATGAGGCCCACCCACATTATGGAAGGTAATCAACTTTACTGAAAGTCTACTAACTTATTATTATTTTAAAATGAGATGGGGTCTCACTATGTTGCCCAAGTTGGTTTCAGACTCCTGGGCTCAAGCAATCCTCCCGCCTCAGCTTCCCAGGTAGCTGGGATTACAGGCACATACCACTGTACTCAACTAAAGTCTACTAATTTAAATGTTAATCACATCTAAAAAATATCTTCACAGCAACATCTAGACTGGTGTTTGACCAAACAACTGGGCCTAGCCAAGGTGACACATAAAATTAACCACCACACTTATATATGCCAATGGGAATGCAAAATGATATCGCTACTCTGGAAAATAGTTTGACAATTTCTTCTAAAATTGAAATACACAAACTGTATGACATAAAATTCTACTCTTGGGCATTTACTACAGAGAAATGGAAACAAGTTCACTCAAAATCCTGTACATGAATATCCATAGCAGCTTTATTCATAATACCTAAAAACTGAAAAATGTCCTTCGATGGTTGGAAATGGTTAGACAAATTATGGTACAATCATATCATGGACTACTACTGAGAAATATAAAGGAAAAAATGATCAATACACACAATAACTTGGATGGACCTCATGGGCATTAGGCTGGGTGAAAAAAGGTCACGAACTCTACGATTTCATTTATATAACAGTTTCAAAATGAGAGACAACAAATTCATGGTTGCCAGAGATTAGAGATGGTGGGTGGGAGGGGGCTGGATGTGACTATAAAAGGTGGCACATGGAGATCTGTGTGGTTATGAACTAGCTCTGTATTGTGGAGGTCATTAGTAACCTTGACAAGAGCAAATGGTGGTGGCCTGATATAACTAACTTATCTAATCCTTACTAAAACATGGGCTGCACCAAGGGGGCAATCTTCATGTTTCATGTTTCCTGGAATAGTCAGAAATTAATATTCAGTATTTGTCGAATAAATGATGTTTTTGAATGAGTCAACTCAACATATAATTGAGTCTGGTCATGTCAGTCCCCATTTTAGGGGGCTCCCTACTGCCTACAAGTCAGATCCAAACCCTAAACAGGTTTTTTTCTCTTTTTTTTTTTTTTTTTTTAGAGACAGGATCTCACTCTTGCCCAGGCTGGAGTGTAGTGACACAATCATAGCTCACCGCAGCCTCTAACTCCTGGGCTTAAGTGATCCTCCCAAGTAGCCGGGACTATAGGTACCTGGCCAATTTTTTTATTTTTGGTAGAGATGGGGTCTCACTTTGTTGTCCAGGCTGGTCTTGAACTCCTGGATTTAAGGCTTCCTTCTGCATCAGCCTCCCAAAGTGCTGGGATTATAGGTGTGAGCCGCTGCACCTGGCCCCCATCCAGTTTTATCCCCCACCATGACTCTCTTCTAAAAACTGTTGGCAATTCCCAGAAATTGTCTTGTTCCCTCAGGTTGGATTCTTATCCCCTCATTTTTCTGCCCAGTGAATTATTCCTCATCCTTGAAGATTAAGCTGAAATGTTCCCTCCTCTGAGGGGCCTCTGACTTCCAGGCAGTCAGCTCTCTCCTTTCTGTGGCACTTGGTACAAGCGTCCACTACAGCACACATTATATTGTCCCTAATGAATGTCTCTCCATCCAGGCTGAATATTCTTCCCAAAGAAAGGAAGGTTATATCCTAGTACTTAACACAGTGCCTCATACTCAGTTGTACTTAATGAATTCTAAAGCCTATTTCATCTAAAAATAGGCTTCATCTGAGATACAAACAAGTAACAAAATTTCTGATGAATTTTACCTCTTCTTTTTAACTGTTGACCTTCTGGCTCAGGACTGGCAGAGCTGGTCAAAGTGGGAGCTCAAAGGTGGAAAAGCATGACCTTCTCATCTCATCTGAAAATTCAGTTGGCTGAAGTAAAAAGCTCAAGAAAAAGATGGTGAGGCTTAGGGTCAATTTGTGGAGGGCCTGACTCCCAGGGTAACAGTGCATTCCCAGTCCTGAAGAAATAAACAGACCACACTAGCTACTTTGTGGGTTTCTAACAAGATGGCATATAAGGAAATGGAAGTCAGGGGGATTCTTTCACCTTCAATGCTGATGGCCTGACTGCCAGCCTAGAATACGGACAGAGAGACACAGGTTCATATAGTACTACCACAAGCAGAAATGATGAGTCCTCATAAACTCTTGGGGTTAAGAAACTGATGGCAAGTATAATAAAACATACTGGGCTCAGTCTGCAGTTTTCGATAGCATTTTAGAGCACACTCTTTGAACACTCTGTGATGGAGTTTTGGTCTCTCTGCTTTAGAGTGCCCCACTGGGTAGTGACACAGGAAGGGGGTGAGGAAGGAAGTAGCTGACCAGCTGACACTAAAAAAGGACTTGGGGCTCCAGTCCCATATGAACAGCTGGCTAAAACATTCAGGCTGCTTCCCACTTCTTCTAAACCCTCCCCCCACTTCCTACTACTCAGATCCAGCAAGGTAGAATGGGAGCAGAGGAAGGGAGAGAAGTGGGCAGAGTCCTCAGGAACCACTGAACATGTAACTATACCAACTTCAACTGATTTGCAGGTGTTTCTTAGCAGTCTAGACTCCTCACCATGAAAATTTAAGGAGTACACAGTCTGTACTCAATCGACCTCTCCAATCCCACCTTCCACCTTGCTCCTCTATGTCTTACTTATTTAAGAAACACTGTAGGTGTACTTTCATGCCTGGGCCTCTGAACACTCTCCCCTGGCCTGGAATGCCTCTTTCCACTGTGCCTGTCTGTCAAAGTCCTATTCATCTTGCAATGTACCAACTAAATACCATCCTTTCCATGCAACAGTCACAAACCCTCAGAACTGTAAATATCAGCTACTCCTTTGATGTTCCCTTAGGCCTCTGGTGATGCCTATGCAGTTACAGAATTTATCAGACTCTGCCTTTTCTCATAATTATTAATAATTGATGCATAATCTATCTTCCCCACTCATCTATAAATGCCAAAGACAGAGGCTGACTCCCATTCACAGCAGGGTGTCTCATGCACCTACAAGCACCAAGCACAGGTAAATGCACTTATATAGTATGTTGACTGAAGAAGCATCTCAAACATAAGGTCAGGGGTTAGTTAAGGTAATTCAGTAAATACTTTTAAGTGCTTGAAACATGCTAAGAACTATACTAGGTAAGAGATGGCTCACGATTCAGGAGTTCAACATCTAGAGGGGAACAAAAACACTCGAACCATCTACATCCTGCTCAGACCAGTAAGGGGAGTAGGACCAATGTGTGGCGGCAATGCTTCTCAAACTTTAATGTGCACAGGATGTAAGAAGCACCAGATTCTAGTTCAGTAGGTCTGGGGCGGGACCTGAAATTCTGCACTTCGAACAGGCCCCCACCCAGGTGATGCTGACGCTATTAGTCCAATGACAACACTAAGTAATGAGGGGTTAAGGTGCAGTGGAAGAGGGGGAGATGAACTACACCTGGAGGGATATGAGAAGACTGTCTTCAGAGAGATGGGACTTCACACAACCCCCCACTGTGATAGGACAGAGCACAAGAAAGAGGGCATGGGTCCCTTTGAGAAAAGAAAACTTTGAAGGGGCCGGGCACAGTGGCTACACAGCACTTTGTGAGGCCGAGGTGGGAGGATTGCCTGAGGCCAGGAGTTCGAGACCAGCCTGGGCAACAAAGCAAGACCCTGTATCTACCAAAAAAAAAAAATTTTTTTTTAAATTAACTGAGTGTGGTGGCAACACACCTGTAGTTCCAGCTACTCAGAAAGCTGAGGTGGGAAGATCACTTGAGCCCAGGAATTCGAGGTTACAATGAACTATGATTGCACCACTGCACCAGCCTGGGCAAGAGCAAGACCCTGAAGAAAGAAAAAAGAAAAGAGGAGAAAGAGAAAGGGAAAGGGAAAGCAAGGGAAGAAAGAAAAAGGAAAGAAAGCAAAGGAAGAAAATATGGAAGAAAGCTTGAAGCATGGATACGGCTCTGCTTGGCAGATGTGAGCAGATACTCCAAGCCAAAGGAACACTAGAGCAAAGGCCCAGAGGAGGGGGAACACAGTCATGGAGAGATGGCCAGCTGATGCAAGAGGACACTGTGGGAAAGCAGGGTAGAATAGCAGAGAGGGGCCACATCTGCAGGACTCTGAATATCAAGAATACAGCTGGCAGTCTTAGAGAAGTCAACCAGAATGGCTGTCAACAACAGAACATGCTTAAGCTTCTCCCTCTGACGTCTGAGACAGCAGTGACTGGTGGATTTCTATGAGCAGCTTAGAATAATCAGAGATTCAGTTAAATCAGCAGTCCTTTCCTAAATCCTACAGAAAACTAGCCACCACCTGCTGCTCCTGCATTCCCATTACCCCTCAGATATCGTGATTACTTAAAATGCTAAGCCATATACACGGAAAACACAAGCTTTCTCAAACATGAGGTAGAGGCACGTTTTACAACCACCAAGAGCTGAGCAGCTCTGCTCGACTCACGGCTCCGCTGACAAGTTTCTAACCTCTGATTGTCACTGTGTGCAGAACAGAATTTCCTTCAAGAACAAGTCAGAATTAGTCTTCTGGCTCCGGCCATTATCATCATCTCTCCTAAACCGAAGGGGAAAGTGCAAGCAAAACGCAGTGCTGTCTTCATGAACCATGGAATATGCATCCTAACTTTCTATTACCTTAGGTATACCTCTAACACCCTGCCCTGATTTTTTATTCATAAATACATAATTATTGATTGGTTTCATTCATTCATTCACAACGTATTTACTGAGCCATACCATACACATGCAAGGAACTGTGCTGGGCTGGGTGGCTACTTCTCTGACCTCGTGTCCTTCCACTTTTCTCCTTGGTCACTCTGCCCTTATCATTCTGGCTTCTTGCTGTTTCCCCAAAACACCAAGTGTGCTCCTGCCTCAGGGCTCCGTGCTTACTGTTCCCTCTGCCTTCAGATATCCTCATGGATTGCTCCCTCACTTCATTTAGATCTCTATTAAGAGAGGCTGGCTCCTGCTTTACTTTTCTTCATGGCACTGGTCACCACTGGACATCTTCCATCTGTTTATTGTCTGCTACTCCACTAGGATGTAAGCTCATACTCAAAAAGGCTTGGCCTACTCTGCTCACTGCTGCACCCTCAGCACCTAGAACAGTACTTGGCACATGGAAGGTGCTGACATACCTGCTGAGCACCCTGCTGAATGAAAACGAAATGAGAAGCCACTCAGAGCAGAATAAGATCAGAATTAAGCCTGGGGAAAAACAATCTGTTAGTAGCTCATTCCCTACAATGAAATCTGTTTTTCCCTAGAAAAACAATCTGTTAGTAGGCTCATTCACTAGAAGGTCGGTAAGAATTCTCTCAACATGCTAGTAAAGTTAAAGAAATCCTGGGTTAGGTAAAAGATGAAGAGGATCTCAATTAGGACAGTGGTTTACTGAGCAGCTATTATGTAGATACCTCAGTAAATAATTCAGTCACAGCCCTGCTCTTGTGGAGTTACAACACTATAAATAGTTATGTAATTACTATTGTAATAAGTGTCACAAAATACACATAAGAGAGGATGAGCCAAAGACAATCCCAGAGTTTCAACTGTGCACGACTAGATGGATTGTGTGCCCCCCTAACACAGAGGAAACAAAAGATGGGCAAGGGTGTTCACTTTAGACATAATGAGTATGAGGACCCACAGGACAAATGGGGTAGAATTATAGGTTTGAAAGCTATTTGTAATTTGCAGATGATGCCAACACACCTTTACTTGGAAGACATGTTAGCACGGCTTGTTTTGCTGGTCCTCAAAATAGCTCTGTCAAGGTTACACGACATTTACAGCTTACAAACCAACCCAAGAAAAATAAGCTCACAACACATCTGCATCTCCTAAATATGTACCTCTTAGAAGGCAATTCCTTTTAAGTGACCATTTGAAGTGCAGCTACAGGGCTGAACTAATACAATTTGACTCTTAACAGCTGAGGCACCAAGTACAAAAATAAAGAGTAGGAAAGATTACTCCTTAGCATCAGATGTTTCTAATCATTGGGTTTCAATAGAAAGACAAATTGTTTTTAGTGTCTACAGTCACAAAGCACTATAAGCAATCTCTCTTGCCCACCTGGTAACAAGTCTTCTTGAGCTAATTATCTTTTGAAAATTGGATTAAATATAAATAACATACAGTTTACCATTTTAACCATGTTCAAGTGTACAGTTCTGTGGCATTAAGTACATTCTACAACCATCACCACTATCTGTCTCCAGAATTCTTCATCTTCCCAAACTGAAACTATACCCATTAAACAGTAACTCTCCATTCCCCCTCCTCCCGGCCCCTGGCAACCATCATTCCACTTTCTGTCTTCATGAATTTGACTATTCTAGGTAGTTCATATAAGTGGAATCACACAACATTTGTCCTTTTGTAACTGGCTTATTTCACTTAGTGTAATGTCTTCAAGGTTCACCCATGTTGCAGCAGAATTTTCTTCTTTTTAAAGGCTGAGTAATATTTCACTGTATGTATATACTTTTTTTTTTTTTTTTTTTGAGACAGGGTCTCGCTGTTGCCCAGGCTGAAGTGCAGTGGTATAATCATGGCTCACTGCAGCCTTGACCTCCCGGGGCTCAGGTGATTCTCGCACCTCAGCCTCCCAAGTAGCTGGAACTACAAGTGCATACCACCACGCCTGGCTAATTTTTGTATTTTTTGTAAAGACAAGGTTTTGACATGTGGCCCAGGCTGGTCTCAAACTCCTGGGTTCATGCCATCTGCCTGCCTTGGCCTCCCAAAGTGCTGGGATTATAGGCATCAGCCACTGTGTCCAGCCATATACCATATTTTGTTTATCCATTCACCCAGTGGTAGACCCTTGGGTTGCTTCCACCTTTTGGCTATTGTGAATAATGCTGCTGTGAACATTGGTGTACAAGTATCTATCTGTTCTTGAGCTTATTTTTTGAAAGCTTTTTTTTTTTTGAGATGGAGTTTCACTTTTGTTGCCTAGGCTGGAGTGCAATGGCACGATCTCGGCTCACTGCAACCTCTGCCTCCTGGGTTCAAGCAATTCTCCCGCCTCAGCCTCCCGAGTAGCTGGGACTACAGGCATGCGACACCACGCCTGGCTAATTTTATATTTTTAGTAGAGATGGGGTTTCACCATGTTGGTCAGGCTGGTCTCGAACTCCTGACCTCAGGTGATCCACCCACCCTGGCCTCCCAAAGTGCTGGGATTACAGGCGTGAAAAGCATTTTTGTGTTCTGATCAGCTATTCAGAACACTCTGCCCACATATACCATTATATTGGGTCATATTTGAACTACAGTTCACCTATTTTGCCTGCCAAAAGCCCAAGCTCTGACCTTTACCTTCAAGGCCCTGAACACAGACTGTCTGTTTCACTGGAACGTAAGAGCCATCAGGGTCTCTGGCCTGCCATTCTGCCAGCAGCTAAGCATCCTCAGCTTCAACTGAGACAGAATGGGAGCATGGTGTCTTTAGTTAAGACTTTGGAAACATTCTGCTTCAAGTTCCAGCAGAGCGTGAAGGCTTTACAAATGAGATGCTAAATTTAACAGTAACTTCTATGTTACTTACTCACTTACTAATCAGTATAGTCCCATGATCACCTGTAGTAAGCTGGGAAAATTTTTTTCACTTCCGGTTCATTTGTATTCTTTAACAAGAAATGCTTCAATTCCTAAATACTGTGTTGAAACTACAGAAGTATATGCTAGAGCAATAAATAATAAAAATAAAACCTACTTCAAAAGCCTTAGAGGCCCTATCAGTATATAACAGGTCAGTAAACTATAGGCAACGGATTCAGCTCATGCTTCTTTTGTAAAGTTTCACTGGAACACAGCCACACCCATTCATTTATACATTGTGTATAGCTGCTTTTGCACTATAGCATCAGAGTTAAGTAGCTGCAACTGAAACTATATTACCCACGAATCCTTAAGTATTTACTATCTGGCCCTTTACAGAAAATGCTTGTTAACTCTTAGTTCACGCACCTTGGTTCACCCACTTTTGTCCCCAATTGGAAAAAAGTGGTGATGTAATCAGCTGCTTGGATGTTCTTCCTAAGGTCTTCCTAAGCTAACCACAGGCCAGCTGGCTGGTTCCATGCCAAAGAGGCAATGACAGTGCCAATACTCAACAAGTTCGAAAGTAGAAAGGTAGCTGCCATGCTTGTAATTTGGGAAGGGCTAGGAACACACATTTAGAAAAACAATGTGGTCTCATCTTCCATCAACTAGCCTACAAGCTAAACCAAGTGGGGCTAAGGGGCAAACAATGGAGTCTCATGTACAGAATAATAAAGGAACCGTCTGCAGTTAAGAAACATCCCCAAGCACAGGCTTCTTAAATGTACCTGGCGAGCCAGTCAGCCAGCCAGCAAGCTCCAGAAGCCTTAGGGTGAACATGATGAATGTTGCTTGACTGGTAACGGATAGTCCAGGCTGTACCTCCAACTCTCTTTCCCCACCCACATGTCAGGCAGCATCAAGCTCTCTAATTCACCTAATTGGTGTCCAAATTTAACAGCATTATTCACAACATAACTTGAACAAGGAGATTAAAACTGAATTTTTGATAGGAAATTTGTATAACAAGTGCTGTGCCCCTCAAGGAGCATGTTCTTCCTCTCAGTTCTTATTGCTCATTAGAAAGAGACAAGGCTGGGCCAGGTGTGGTGGTTCATGCCTGTAATCCCAGCACTTGGGGAGGTGGAAGCAGGAGGATCGCTTGAGCCCAGGAGTTTGAGACCAGCCTAGACCACAAGGTGAGGCCCCATCTCTCAAAAAATAAACAAAATTAGCCAGGCGTGGTGGCATACACCTGTGGTCCCAGCTACTTGGGAGGCTGAGGTGGGAGGATGGCTTGAGCCAGGGATTTCGACGCTGCAGTGGGCTGTGATCCACCACTGTACTCCAGCCTGGGCAAGAGATGAGACCCTGTCTCAAGGAAAAAAAAAAAGAGGGAGACAAAGCTAACTACACAGAGAGAGATAAACCTAACTACATGAAAAATGTCAGTAGAAAACCCTGGGAATGAGCAATATTCAGAAGCACAAGTTTTCCAATACAATGTCATTTCAAAATCAGAGTCAAGAATTCATATGTCTAAAAGACTAGTAGAAAAAGCCTGCATCTTCTCTCCTGAAATAAAATGTTGGTGTGGCATCTGGACATTCACATCTTTGCCCTCTGTGCTCAAGAATGACACTAAGGATGCTTTGTTCCCTACTATGCTTCATACCATCAGCAGGGCAGGTGAATAATCTGACAGGATGTAAAAGCATGGCTTCCACCAATAAACAGCTGTGTTAGATCTCAGCTGATACAGCTTTGTGCCATGGGCAAATCCCTTAATAGCTCTAAGCCTCAGGGTTTTTTACATCTGTAAAATGATGGCTTAAAAATGTTTTTATTTGTATAAATTTAGGGGTACAAGGGCAGTTTTGATACATGGATATATTGCATAGTGGTGAAGTCTGGGCTTTTAGTGTAACCATCATCCAAATAATGTACATTGTACCCAGTAATTTCTCATCCCTCATCCCACTCCAGTCTCCATTCATTCCACACTCTATGTCCATGCATTCACATGTAAAATGATAGCTTTGATAGGGAACCTCTACAATTCTCTTTTTTCTTTTTTTGAGACAGAGTCACGCTATTGCCAGGCTGCAGTGCAGTCGTTCAACTATGGCTCACACTGCAGCCTTGACCTCCTGGGCTCAAGCAATCCTCCCACCTCACTTCCCAAAGTGCTGAGATTACAGATGTGAGCCACCGTACCCAGCCTACAGCTCCTTTTAATATGATTATTCTAGCTCTATAATTAACCCTGTGTAACTCACTGTACTATATACACAACATAAAAATGGTATGCATCAACAAGCCCTTACTTCATTTCCTCATATCCTTCTCCACCTACTCTTTCATCACAAAGCCAGTGGTGACAACAAATTAGGCAAGATTCCAGATTCAAATGTGTAGCTCTTGAAGCCAATTTCGTGAAAACTGTGTGCCTACATTTAGTGGGTAACACAAGGAAATATTCTAATACTGTACCTTTCACCCATGGAAAAAACATTTCCTTCTGAGGGCTAAATTATCAGAGCCAGGTTCGAAACCTCAGCAGGGGCCTTGGGAAAATGCTGAGAAGACTAATGCCAGCAGATCTTTCAGGAACCATTTATCAGCGGTTGCAAAATAAAGGGTGTGTGTCTATATAGGGAGCTCCTCTCTCCTTTAAGCTTATGGCCCTGTGAATAATACTCAGGTTTGGTGACCTCATTATGCTGTCACTCAAAAAGAAAATAAATGTGTGAGATAAAGGGAGAGCAGAAATATATGAATTTCAATGCCTTACAGAAGCATAGGGGAAAAAATAAATATATAAAATCTGGCTCCAAATCTCATGAATAAGAAGAAAAACTCATTAAACCTAGCAAGTGTGCCCAACTGGCTAGACCCAGATGAATCAGACAATGCTTCCTGAGCCTTGGGCTCCTGGCAGCCCAGAGCAAAGGACACGAAACTCAACGCTGGGAAGAAGGGATGAGAGCGTCCATGGACACAAATCTCTCTACCTAGGCCAAGCCTTATGCCAACAAGTCTTGCACTACAATCCTCATAACTTTTAAGATAAAATGATTTGCCAAGGAAAAGGACCATGGGCTTTTTCTCATAACAGGTTCAAGCCATGGGAGATACAGAATGTGATTTTTTTTAAATGAATATGTTACTCTTTTCTGTCATGCCTCTATCTCACTATCCGACAGGCTTCCAGTGAATTTAAATTTCAAATATTTTCCAAAAGGAAATTAAGCCTAGGTTCAAGTGTTGGCAGTTAATTTTGAGAATGTGGCATGCCTGCTAATATTTATTTTCACGTTCTCCCTAAAATTCAGGAAGATAGAAAAGATGACACGCCATTAAGGATGAATACAGTAGACCTGAGGTAGATTAATTCACGTGGTAGCAGCTGAAATCAGTTCATTTACCGTCAGTGACAGAAGATGCAACAGGAGAGCATGAGAGAACACCTGACCCTGAATATGGAGACGAAGAGTCTAGTCCCAGTGCTGCTTAACTCAACCTGTGACCTTGAGTAAGTCCCTTCCCTTTCTGGGCTTGGGTCTTCATTTGTAAAGAGCAGGCTAATGAATTAGTGCAGTGGTTGGCAAAGTCTTTTTTTTTTTTTTTTTTTTTTTTGGAGACAGAGTCTCACTCTGTCCCCAGGCTGGAGTGCAGTGGCGTGATCTTGGCTCACTGCAACCTCCGCCTCCCAGGTTCAAGCGATTCTGCTGCCTCAGCCTCCTGAGTGGCTGGGACTACAGGCCCGCGCCAGCATGTCCAGCTAATTTTTGTATTTTTAGTAGAGATGGGGTTTCACCATGTTGGCATGGATGTTCTTGATCTCTTGATCTCGTGATCTGCCCATCTCGGCCTCCCACAGTGCTGGGATCAGGCGTGAGCCACTGTGTCCTGCCAGCAAAGTCATTTAAGGCAATGAACATTTTGTCCAGATAAAATCATTCAAAGTTCAACAGAAGCTAAAACAAATTCAAAATGGCAGGTTGAACACATGAATTTATCTCCACTCCTTCTAGAAACTCCATTAAGTTATTATTAATAAATATATACTACTGGCCGGGCGTGGTGGCTGATGCCTGTAATCCCAACACTTTGGGAGGCCGAGGCAGGCAGATCACTTGAGGTCATAAGTTTGAGACCATCCTGGCCAACATGGTAAAACCCTGTCTCTACAAAAATTCAAAAATTAGCCATGCATGGTGGTATGTAGCTATAATCCCAGCTACTCAAGAGGCTGAGGCAGGAGAATCGCTTGAACCTGGGAGGCGGAGGTTGCAGTGAGCCAAGATTGCGCTACTGCCCTTCAGCCTGGACAACAGAGCAAGACTCTGTCTCAAAAAAAAGAGAGAAAAAAAAATACACACACACACACACACACACACACACTACTGAGCATTTACTACATGATTATTTGAAGTACATTAACTAATTGAATCCTCAACACTCAAGTAGGTGGTGATGTGCATTTTACAGACGAGACAGAGAATCACCAGTGTTTAAGGAAGCTGCTCATTTTCACAGCTAACAAGTGGCAGACCCAGAACTCAAACGTAGGCAGTGTGGCTGCAGAGTCTGTGTGATACCGCCTTTCGGACTGATGATCAAGGAACAGCAAAGCTCTGAAGGAAAAAGATGCAGAGAGAGACAGCACATTAGAAGGGTCAACAAAATTTTAGAAGGGTCAACAAAATTTTAGAAGAAGAAAAGAAGACACATGAGTAGTAACTGACTTAGAGGATACTGAGTATTGCGGATGGCAAGCCACTGAAGAATCCCCTCCAAAATGGAACCACTGGAGGTACCAGTTTCCTCTGAAGTTGTGAGCAAGAAGAAGGGCCGAAATCAGGAAGTACTGGTCCCCCTCCCCAGACAAGCAACTGCAGAAGACTGGAGGTTTACTCTTCAGACAGGATGAACAAGAGCCTCTGGATCTGGGTAACCAGGGCACCACAGAAGACAAGGAAGTGGTACCATTTAGGGGGATTAAGTGAAAGTCTGCATACAGAAGGGAGAACCTCCAGACCTCTCCTACCATAAGGCTCCCAAAATAACAGCCAGGCTTATACCACCTAGGAAGAAGCCTGGAGGAAGATCTACGGACTTTGAACACATCCCACAGAAAAACGACAGGTCCATCACCCTACAACCATGGCTCTCAGAACGTGGTCCCAGACTAACAGTAGCATCACAGGGGAACCTGTCAGAAATATGAGTTTTCAGATCCATGCCAGACCTAATGAATCAGAAATTCTGGGTGAGGTCCAACAACCAGCGTTTTAACAAGGCCACCAGGTGATTCTGACGTCCACTGAAGTTTAAGAACCACTGCCTGACAGGGAGGCCCACCAGTCAAGAAAACATCTCACACCCAAAAGCTTCCAACCAGTTTTTCAGTGTCTGTTTACTTGAAAAACACTGTGGAGTCACCAGAAAACTGAAGGAAGACTTTGACAAGAAAGAGAGACAAAATAGATTTCCCAGGACAGCTCTGGTGGCAAGTAGTGAAATGTGCAGAGCCTGGTTTGCATGCTCTTTCCCCGGTCCCACCATTATATTGCTACAGAGCTACTCCTTGGGCTCTACAATAAAGTTTTCAAAATCAGTGAAGTAAATGCTCTCTACAGTCCCGTCCAGCTCTAGCCCATGCGTTTATACTAGTCCTTCCCACTGAAGGCTTTTTATTAAAGAGAGAAAAAAATAAATATACTGGTCCTTATGTTCTAGATCCCTGAAGCTAACACAGCAATTCGGGCTGACCGTCTCAGTTGAAACTACGTCTGATTCTTTTTTTTTTTTTTTGAGACAGGGTCTTACTCTGTTGCCCAGGCTGGAGTGCAGTGGCACGATCTCGGCTCACTGCAGCCTCTGCCTCCCAGGCTCAAGTGATCCTCCCACCTCAGCCTCCTGAGCAGCTAAGAAAGACTAAAGGTACACACCACTACAGCTAATTTTTTGTAGAGATGGGGTTTCACCACGTTGCCCAAGCTGGTCTCAAACTCCTGAGTTCAATGCAATCCACCTGCCTCGGCCTCCCAAAGTGCTGGGATTACAGGCGTGAGCCACTGCACCCAGCCATGTCTGATAATTTACTTGTCCCTTTGAATGAACAAGCAATATTCTGCTAAAAGATTACCATATTCAGTATCTGCATTAAATGTACTATTAATACTTTATGTAGAAGTATCTGTGACCATCCCACGCTGCCACGCCCTTTTTGATTCCCTGTGTCTTGTAAGATTCCCCTGGTTCACCCTTACAGCCTAAATCTTTTTTTTTTTTTCCCCAATAGAGACGGGGTTTTGCCATGTTGCCCAGGCTGGTCTCAAACTCCTGGGTTCAAGCGATCCACTCGCCTTGGCCTTCCAAAGTGCTGGGATAATAGGCGTGAGCCACGGTGCCCAGCCTACAGCCTAAATTTTAATCTAGAAATTCACACCTATTACTGCTTTTCACTAGTCTCTATTTACACCAAGTGTTGCTGCCAAAACCGGATCATTTTTCTGCTTACAAGTTTCTAGTGGCCTTAACATCTTCTACCATGTAATCACTGTGGACAAAAACTTCTAATTTACTTTTACTTCCTCTGCTTCCTTTAGTCTAGCTCATTTTTTCTCAATTCTCTTGGTTCCTCTTTCCCATATGAGAAGATCTCACGCCTTCTCAGATCACTTCACTCCTCTCCTGGAAAAACAACCTCCTTCAGGAGGGGTTTAGAATGATGAAAAGGGCCGGGCTTGGTGGCTCACGCCTGTAATCCCAGCACTTTGGGAGGCTGAGGTGGGCGGATCACGAGGTCAGGAGCAGTCTGGCTAACGTAGTGAAACCCTGTCTCTACTAAAAACACACACAAAAATTAGCCGGGCGTGGTGGCGGGCGCCTGTAGTCCCAGCTACTTGGGAGGCTAAGGCAGGAGACTGGCTTGAAGCCAGGAGGTGGAGGTTGCAGTGAGCCAAGATCATGCCACTGCACTCCAGCCTGTGCCACACAGCGAGACTCTGTCTCAAAAAAATAAAAATAAAAGCAAAAAAACCGAGGCTTACAGAGATTAAGTAACTTGCTCAAGGTTACAACTAGGATTTTAATCCAAATCCTTCTGCTTTCAAAGCCATACTCAACCATCCTACTCTACCATCTCCAGAGGTCTGACTCAACTATGTTGCAGAAGAAAAGTTTCCTTAACCATGTAGAAAATAAGAAGAGCAGGCTGGGCGCGGTGACTCACGCGTGTAATTCTAGCACTTTGGGAGGCCGAGACAGGCAGACTGCTGAAGCTCAGGAGTTCGAGACCAGCCTGAGCAACATGGTGAAACCCTGTCTCTACTAAAAATAGAAAAAATTAGCCAGGGGTAGTGGTGCGCGCCTGTAGTCCCAGCTGCTGGGGAGGCTGAGGCAGGAGAATCGCTTGAACCCAGGAGAGAGAGTTTCAGTGAGCCAAGATAGCGCCACTGCACTCCAGCCTGGGCAACAGAACGAGACTCCGTCTCAAAAAAAAAAAAAAAAAGAAAAAAGAAAAGAAGAGCAAAAGAATCTCTGCATAGTTTTATTTTTTCTTTTATTTATTTATTTGTGTGTGTGTGTGTGTGTGAGAGAGACAGAGAGAAATAGGAGAAATAGGATCTTGCTGTGTTGCCCAGGCTGGAGTGCAGTGGTGTGATTACAACTCACTGCAGGCTTGACCTCCTAGGCTCAAGCGATCCTCCCACCTCACCCTCCTGAGTAGCTGGGACTACGGGCACAGGCTACCATGCCCAGACAATTTTTTATTATTTGTAGAGACAGGGTCTCCCTACATAGCCCAGGCTGGTCTCCAATTCCCCCACTCAAGTGATCCTCTCGCCTCTCAAAGTGCTGGGATTACAGGTGTGAGCCACCATGCCTGCCCTGTTTGTTTTTTAAACAGGGATCACGCACAGATGCTGAGAGCTTTCCAGCTAAAGCCCAACAGGGAGCCCCACTGATCATCTCCCCAACCGGACGTCTCCACATGGTTCGGTGGCTTGGCCAGGCAGCAGCACAGCATGCCTCTTCCTCATGAAAAGACCCAGGCACAGGAGGGAGGCTGGCTCTAGCGACCAGAATGCTGGTGGGGAACAGGTGGTTAAGATATCTTTCCCTCTTAATATCAGTCAGCATCCCTCTCCCCACGCGGCCAGCAGGCCCAGCCCCGGGGACCTTTGTGGTGGTGAGTGGTGCCTTCCAGTATGGGGCAGGGTGGCTTCCCACCTCAAAAATTTTCCAGAGAAGATTTTAAAAGCTCTTAAGAGACAAAGTAGTAATTCAACAATTAAGGGCAATGATTCCTAAGGAGAAGCCTTCTCTTCTAGAACAGCACAGCCAAGTTCGACAGGCACAAAGAAATATCTGTAGTGACAAGAGAAGGTTCTTCAGTGGTGCCCATCAGCATGTGGAGCCGGCCACCGCCCCTGCCTCCATAGAAGGTAAGTCCATTTTCTCTTGTCTGCATGACAGAAAAAGGAGGCTGTCACCCGTGTCTCCCACTCCAAGGGCCTAAGCGGCGCACCTCTCAACCTTTCCTTTCAAGGGCTGAAAGGTTGTCCTCTTCCTCTCCCCACTCGGCCCCGATCCCCTTTTGCTCGGCACCTCTCTCCCCACTACTCGGCCCCCCTCACACCTCTTCTCCCCACCCCTCTCCCTGCTAGACCTCTCTTTCTCTGTCCCCCGCCCCTTTTTACTCCCCGCTCGACCCCTTTTCCCTCAGCCCGCTGCCGCCCAGTCCGCGGTACCTTGAGGGTCACGTCGCACAGCTTGCCCTGCCGCCGGATCTCCTCCATGACGCCGTAGCCGCGACTAGGCAACTCAGACACGGAGAAGTGCACCAGATCCTCCAGCTCCTCCGCGCCGTCCTCCACCATCTTCCCCGGCCGCTGCAACTGCGCAGGCCTCGCCGGCCGGCTAGACACTAACCAGGGCGGGGCGATAGCGCACGCCGACAGCCGCTCGGAGCGCGGAGCAGCAATCGGACGGGCCTCCGCGGCCGCCGTAGTTGAATCTCCTCGGCGCCGGAAGCCCCGCCACTCCGCTTCCTGGTTCATGTGCGGCCTTCGTTCCCTCGCTATCTCGACCTTGACTTCGCATGTGCATCCGCCGAAG